>NC_000002.12:200822951-201125981 GCF_000001405.40 Homo sapiens | reverse complement strand
CCCTCCTGACTGCCAGCCCTGCAACATCTAGGGTGACCGAGTCCCAGGAAACCCCTCAGTCCCAGGCAAACAGGGATGGTTGATCGCTCCAGCACCCCTGCCTTAATGAGGAAGCCTCTACCACTCCTACACCTCCAGTAGCAAGTTCCGAAGGAAGGGAGAAGAGATAACACAATCTGAAAACTACTCACCACCACACCCTGGTGGTTTCCTGAGCTGGGCCCCTACGGCTGCTCAACAGTTTCATTTACAGGAAGACTCTGTTCAGCTCCTTTCCCACACCCTTCAAGGAGTGTGGGAAACCTCCAACACTCCACAACTCTCTTCCATCCCAACACCACCCCCAGTGCCATTTCTCATCCATGTATCAGGCACAAACTCCTGCCACCTTCCACCTTTCCACTGCCCCAGCTGGTCCCTCCTGTCCCTCTGCTTGCCTAGGGCTAAGCCTCCCTGTGTGCCCTCCTGTCTCTACTAATCCCCTATGTCTACTCTCTTCATCCTCTCTACCTCCAGAGACGGCTCCTCCCAGCTTGTAAACATGTGCAAGTCTCTTCCATCTTAAAAAATAAAGCCAAACCCTCAAAAAAGCCTGAGGGTCCCCTAGACCTACCATCCTTTCACTTTATTCCCTTTCACATAAAGCTGGGACCTCATGAAGGAATAGTCTGTACTCAGTGCTTCAGTTTCTTCAACCACAATTCACTTCTCAACATGCCTCCACCTGGATCCCCTCACCACCATCTCCTCTACACAGCCACACTCAGTCCTGAGCCATACTGGAATCTGAGGCAAAAGGGACAATCAGCAATACTGACGCTGTCTTTATTTAAAATGTTGGTATTTTGTTCATCATAGATTTTTTGCATTTATGTCTGTTTTTTAAAATATTGCATTAAAATATTATCTATCTTGATGACTGACTTTTTGAGCACCCCCTCACATGTTGTCCTGAAGCCAGTGCCTCGTTTGCCCCTGCTAGTATCCCAGCCCTGATGACACAGCTCTTGTTGAGGCCCTGGTGACCTCCTGGTTGCCACATCCAAAAACTTGGAAGTCCTCTTTCATCTGACTGCTCAACTCCAGCTGACACTGCTAATTCATCCCTCCTTGAAACTCTTCTCCCTTGGCTGAGCTCACACCACTATATTCTACACAGACCCTTCTCTAACTTTCTTCTACTCCTCAGCATACTCTTTCTGCACCTGTCCCTTAAATGCTGGTGCCTACCATCCGTCTCTCATCCAAACTCATTCCCCTAGCCATTCTGTTCCCCCTGCTTTAGACCTCACCCTCTCCAAATCTACCTTCCATCTAAGTGAAATTTCTAAAGTTCATGCCTGAACTGGCCAGGCGCGGTGGCTCACACCTGTAATCCCAGCACTTTGGGAGGCCAAGGCGGGCGGATCACTTGAGGCAAGGAGTTCAAGACCAGCCTGGCCAACATGGCAAAACCCTGTCTCTACTAAAAATACAAAAACTAGCTGGCCGTGGTGCTGCATGTCTGTAATCCCAGCTACTCGAGGGGTTGAGGCACAAAAGTCTCTTGAGCCTGGGAGGTGGAGGTTGCCAGTGAGCTAAGATTGCGCCACTGCACTCCAGCCTGGGCAACAAGAGTGAAACTCCGTCTCGAAAAACAAAACAAAACAAAACAAAACACCTCTATTGAAGCACTTAACACACTTCCCTGGTACCCACATTAGCCCTAACCAGGTGTCAGCAAATGTGGTTAAGTTTAGTCAGGCCTCTCAACCTTTCTCACAGAACACCAACGCTGCCCCCAAACTATCTGGTAACAAAGGCACATATTGTTCCCTGTAATCAGTAGCAAAGCATGCAGCATGACCAGCTAAGCCATCCAAAGACGTACTTAACATTCCCTTCTTTCTACTGCTTCTCTAGTGAAGCAAGGTCATCGTATGGCATGAAAGCAATGTCATGTCCAGTGAGCCACAGCGTGAATGCAAATGTAATTTCTTGCAACCCCACAAACTGGGCGGCAATGGAGAAACCTGTCTTGCCAGCTGCAGAAAGCAGCATGCAAACCTGAACTTTCAGGTGTCTGGGAAGCCCCAGTGGAGATATGAACATGAAACAAAGTGTCATCCAGAAGTTTCTAAAAGCAGAAGAGGTTGCACAATTCTGGGTAAAGTAGAATGTGGCCATCTCACAGAAGTTTTGTGCATTCATCTTGAACATAACAAAATTCACCTTCCCCCTCCATTGGCGTGCAGAACAACAGATGATCCCAGTTATAAAATGACATAAAATTAGAAGTCATATTTTATAAAATTATTTGATGAGGCTGCTATGGTTTGAATGTGTCCCCTCCAAAGTTCAGGTATTGCCAATATGATAGGATTAAGAAGTGGGGCCTTTAAGAGGTGATCATTCCCTGGAGGCGCCTCCCTCCTGAATGGGATTAGATGCCCTTATAAAGGGGGCTGATAAAGGGAGTTTATTTCTCTTTTTGCCCTTCCACCTTTTGCCATGTTAAGACACAGCATTCCTCCCCTCCGTAGAATGCAGTGTTCAAGGCACCAGATTGGAAGCGGGGAGCAGCCCTCACCAGATGTCAGCACCTTGATCTTGGACTTCCCAGCCTCCAGACTGTGAGAAATAAATTTGTTTTTTATAAATTACCTGGTTGTGGGTATTTTGTTATAGCAGCACAAAACAGACTAAGAACAGACTTTTCATGACTCTCAAGGAAGCTCCCACAAATTCCAACCAGACATTATCGCCAATAACTTCCTTGGTTCCTAACACTTATGTGTAGGCTGCAGAAAATGAGAATGAATCAGAAATGAGAAAGCATCTAAATCAAAAGATCATAAATCATCATCTAATTGGATATAGAAACATGGGCAAAGTCACCAGGAGCAAGGGAGCTAAATCAGTTGATGTAGTGCCCTTAACTAAATTTAAATTTTCACTTTGGCAGGTATACTTGCTCAGCTTACACAACGGATTGCCCACTGTAACTAACGGGCCAAGAGTGGTCCTGCAGGAGATAGCTCTGTTCAAAATCAGAAATTGTGCATAATACTATAGACAAACTTCTGATACATAGCTCAAGCACTAAGAGTATCATCCCCACTTCAGCCCAACCCATAATCTAACTCCGAACCAAAAATATCTCAATGTTCCCTGGACAGTATTTTTCTGTCCCAGCAACTTCACTCAAGCATTTGCCTCCATTTGGAAAGCCCCTTCCCTCCTCTCAGTCTGTACCTGAAATTATATCTTCTCTCTCAAGATGTCTCTTCTATAAGCTTGTCTTGATCCCCAAATCAAGTCTCTCTTCCTGCTTTGTAGCACTATTTGTGTTCTCTTCCAGCATTTTATCTTATTCTATCCTATGTGAGACTCAGTTGAGTACTGTCATATGTGGAGGTCCTTGGGGATAGATAGGCTTTTACTCATCTTCATTAGGCTGTGGTAAACAATGGCCAGGGCTGCCAATCTCAGCCCTCTTGGGTCTTGAACAGACTGGTCATCATTGGACCATTGCAGCCCATGTGTAACGCTTACTCATCCCTTCATAACATACAATGAAGCAAGATGGAGCTGGTGGTGTAGTTAAGATACCATACTTGGAATCTGGTTGTTGGATCCAGAAGAGCTTGTGAAAGGAAGCTTTTGCAGCTACATGAGATAACAATGCTAATGCTTTAGAGTGACTTGCAATGTGATTCTAAAAGGATGGGTAAGCCCCCATGCAAAATTTTCTGGAAACTGGCAGGACCTCATTGTGAGTGGGGAGAATACAATGTCTCCAACCAAGGGGATGTTTGGAACTCATCATCAATTTATTACCAGGCTTCAATTTATTTGATAGAGAAAAATGAGAACAGGTCAAGCTGCCTGAGTTTAAGCAAGATGTAAGATTTTAATGCTTCAGCAATAACTGAGTTCAGAGACCAGGTCTCAACTTCAGGTAGTACGAAGAAGACCTATGGCTTAGCCTCACTTCTTTTTAGGTATCTAAACCATCTGATGTCACCTTTAGAGGAACTGGATGTCTAACTTCATGCAACAGCAGTCAGGAAAACAGGCATTCCTTCTCCTCAAGGTTTTGATCAAAGGAATAAAAAGTGGCTCAAGAAACAACCCCATCTATTCAAGAGAATAGCATACTATCAATCATGCTACACTACTGCAATAAAATATTTAGGAGACGTTCTCTTAAGTTCATCTAGACAAGATTGGCTTAAATTAAATTTCAACTTGGCAGGTGTATTTGCTCAGTTTACACAACAGATTCTCCATTGTAACTAAAGGGCCAAACTTGGCCCTTTGGGAGATATCTCTATTCAAAGTCAGAAATTGTACATAACACTAGGGATATATAAAGTTCTTAAAATTACTTTTATATAGCATTCATTTTCTGTAAAAAGCACTACCTGCTTTTTGCTCTAAGAAAATCTGGAAAATAGAGAAAAGTAGAGAAGAAAATAAAAATTCCCCACTTGCTTCAGTCTCATCACCATCCCTGGTACCTACTCATCTGTCCCCTAGTTTCTCATCTCTTGCCTGGGTCCTCGTTCTAGGTTCCTTTACATTCCTGGTGATGGCCCAGGTTAAAGGGATAGACTCATTCTACATTTAGGCTGAATGATAGCCAGCACGTTTACAGAAAGCCTAGGCAGACAGCAACTGATATAGTGTCTCCTCTGGGGGTATAGCTTTGTGCTATATACAACTTGTCTGTGCTACCACATATTTTATTAATAGCTACATCACGGAGCACAACCTTATAATTACTTACCAGATTAAAATAATCCAGCTTTATAATTATTTGCCAGATTAACATAATCCAGCCATGGCTTAGAAAAGAACTCAAGTATAAAATCTGAACTATGGGGTTTCAATAGCATACCATGGCCAAGGTTTTGGGTGAAACTTTTGCGCTGCTTCTATGTTTTCCAACCAGAAAGGGAGCTCCAGACAGCAGAGGGAGATCTACATGCCCCCATTCCTCAGCCCCAGCAGGTGCTCAGTAAATGCTGAAGGAGTTACTTTTTTCATTTAACTCTTGATTCAAAGTTGTGGTTATTGTTGCAGGGAATTTGGTTCACTCACTAGATAGTATTCAAGCAAGAGACTGTCAGGTACCTACTCTTTTAAACAATCTCATTGACTTTGAAAACTACTTTTGAAAGCTGCAAGTAAAAACAAACAAAAAACACAGATATATAAGCCAAAGGGAAGATAAAAAGGAAGTTCAAGGAAAAAACTCAAGAATTTCACAAGTAGATAAGGAAGCTTTGGTTCCCATTTCTAAAGTCACATGACTAAAGAAACTCATTACCCTGGGAAGCATTTTTAAACCTTGGAGTTAAGTAACTATGAGAGGATTTTTCAATTACATTTTTAAAAGTATACAAATATACATATAAATTATTCATTTCTTCAACTTAAGAGTTCACTGCAGAAGATACAAATTATCATGAGTATGCAGATGAAAGTGGTATCAAGTGGTGTAGCTTCTCTCTTTCATAATAAGTACTAAATCACCAAAGATGGCAACCCAGTATCGAGAATAAGAGAAAAATAATGTAGAAGATGTTTATCTATTTGGGCCAAAAACTTAAATCGCCAAAAAAAGAAAGTGGCTAGAAGTGGAGACCATCAGAGGAACATAAATACAGAACAAGTGTAGAAAAGGAAGCAATTTTCACAGGAGAATCACTTGAACCCAGGAGGCAGAGGCTGCAGTGAGCAGAGATAGCACCACTGCACTCCAGCCTGGGTGACAGAGTGAGACTCTGTCTCAAAAAAAAAAAAAAATGTAGCTGGGTGTGGTGGCACACACCTGTAGTTCCAGCTACTCCAGAGGCTGATGTGAGATGACTGCTTGAGCCTAGAGTTAGAGGCTGAAGTGAGATATGATCACCACTGCACTCCAGCCTGGGCAACAAGCAAGACCTCATCTCAAAAAAAAAAAAAAAAAAAGAAAAGAAAAGAAGGCCCCACCTTGAATCTTTTTTAGAAAAAAGCAGGTTGTAAATAAACACAATTTTAAAAAATGAAATATCTTGCAAACTAGAAAATAAACCAAAAAAATTGAGTGTTTATTTTTAAAAATATGTAAAAGACTGTATTTGAGAGCGCACATGTGTGAAAAAAAAAAAAAAAACATTAAACTGAAACCTTTGGTTATCTCTACGGAATGAACCCCTGGAGGTTTTCTCTATTTACTTTGCATGTATTTTAACTCATAATTATAATACAACTTGACTGAAGAGTGTCTGAAGAAAATGCATTACAGTACAGAATGTTAGGTACAATCCTGAAGCAAGTGCAAAGACAGCCGCTGAGCATATGAAAGTACAGAGAAAGGGCACCAGGGTGGGGTGTCAAGTCTTCTGAGGGGAGATGACAGGAAGAGAGTATAAGGGAGAGACAGGGCATTCCAATAATGATAGTGCTTTTCACCTCACTGATCTATAGTAAGAAAGAACGACCGGGTTCTGCAAGTTACCTGGGCATACTAAAAGAAAAGACAAAACAAACAAACAAATAAACAAAAAGAACCCATGGTGTCATAACTGCCCCACCATGGCCCACAGGCTTCCTCCAGTCAGGCTGTCAGTGGATCTTGTCTAAACTGCCTTGACTCGAAGTTACCTGTGTAGGTAACTGCTGAGTCTTCCTCAACCACATTGTGAGGTTATGGGGACAAGAACCAAGTTTAGATCCATTTCTATGTCCTCGGCACCCAGAACTCTGCCTGGCCCAGAGAAGCTCAATAAATGTTGGTAGGATTATACTGAATTAAAGGCAAGGAGGCATTGGAGTCCATAAACACGAGTTTAATTAGCCCCTGGGGCTCTACAGGGAAGAAATAATCAGACTTCAAGGGTGCCCCATTCCCCAGAGTCCATTCCTGGTATTTGAAAGAGCAACATGCCCCGGAGTGTTGTGAGTCCTCTGGAGGCTCAAGGAGACCTAGGGCCAAAAGCGAGGACTCAATCCTTTTCTGCCAGTATCGGGGGACAGTGCCCCGACGTCCCAGGAGCCCAGGGCGACACCAGCCCAGGGGCGGGGATCGGGCAGGATTCTCGGTCTACTCACGCCCGGGCAGCCGCCGGCTCTTCCCACTGGATCTCCGCCGGGACCAACTCCCACCCTCGCCGGACAAGCTCAGACCTGCTGCTCCGCAAAACCAGAATTGGAAATGCTCCAGATGGGACGAGGAACAAGGACAGAAAGTCAAAAGCATCAACAGGTGGCTTCGCCGGAGGGCGTCCGAGAACCTCTGCCTGCTGAACCGCTTCACGCCTAATCCCCGCCACCCACCGGCTGAAATGTTACCACACAAGACATAAATTCTAGAATCCTGTCTGCGGAATTCCCCGCCCCCCGCGCAGTTGAAACTTGCACAGGGCCACTCGCGTGTCTCTGGGTGGTAAAATTCTCCATGCGTGGTCAAACGGCTTATGCATAGCTCAGGACCGTTACGTGCGACCCCACCAGGACTGAGTGGGGACAGCCGCTGCGCCCCCACCACCTACTAGGAGCTGCGGTAGGACCTCCAATGCCCCAGGGGCCTAGGCAATTTCCGCTTCAGCTTCCTGGAGGTCCCCAGCCCAAGGCTCAAAAAACTGCACACTATCCGGCCCACCCCGGGTCGCGCAAGACTTTCGGGGGGAGGGGGAAACCCAGCGACCCTGCAAATGGCTTCACCTTGGAAACCGGTATAAGGAAGCAAGTAATACCGTGTTAAAAGAAGGTCAAATGTCAGTTACAAACAGAAACGTAAAACATAAAGTCGCTAGAGAAAGCCATTTTAACGAGGACATTTGACCCAAAAGCTTAAGTAAAGCAAGTATTAACAAAACAAGAAAATGGATGTAAAGCAAACAGTAAACATTAAAAACTCCCTTTCAACCCAGTCTTTTTTGTTTAGATCTTGGAGTTGGGCCGGGCATGGTGGCTCACGCCTGTAATCCCAGCACTTTGGGATGCCGAGGCGGGCGGATCACCTAAGGTCAGGAGTTCGAGACCAGACTGACCAACATGGAGAAACCCCGTCTCTATTAAAAATACAAAACTAGCCGGGCATGGTGGTGCATGCCTGTAATCTCAGCTACTTGAGAGGCTGAGGCACGAGAATCGCTTGAACCCGACAGGCGGAGGTTGCGGTGAGCAGAGATAGTGCCATTGCATTCCAGCCTGGGCAACAAGAGTGAAATGCTGTCTCAAAAAAAAAAAAAAAAAAAAAAGATCTTGGAGCTCCAGCCAGGTTTTTTGTTCAACGAAACTTTTGTAAGGTTATTTAGGGGAATCACCAAACCGAAAAGTGCCAAAAACTCCGTTCCTCTTATCGGAAATCTCTCTCTAAAGCAGGTCAAACCTTCCAGAGCCCGCTGTCTGTTGTAGATTATCGCAGTTTGTTGATGTCCAAAAAGCTTTACTTATGCTATACGCTATCCCCCTACTGGTTTCACCCCTCATTGCTTAAGAACAAATTTCAAATGTCAACCAATTAAAATATTCGCAAGACCTCTGGCGTCCTTGAATTTACTTCCTGCCCGTGGAGCCAAAAACTGATTCTGAATTTCAGTGGCCTTTGTTCTACTGCGTGCCACTGTTAATATTAAAAGAACATGGCCTTCTGTCCAAATCCAGACACCCTCAAGCAAGAACATCTTGAAGCCAGTTTACATTTCCCAGTCGTTTTGAGGCGGTGGAAAAGTGGCAGAAACAGGTTCATTTTAAAAGGCTCTAAAAACTTTTCATTAGCCAAGCATTCCCAGCTTTCCCAAGGCAAGCTTTCCTTGCACTTGGGCAAAATAGACATTAAACTGCTCTGGAAAATAACCGCCCTGACCAGGCTATTGTGAAATTCCCTCCAGGGCGGCGGCTCCCACTGAGTGAGATCGAGCGCATACACAATTGTTGGGAAAGTCCACGTTCCCAACAACTTTCGAAAGGAAAAATGCCAGATCTTCTCAACAGTTCACCCCAAGAATTGAACTCTCAAGATCATTTTAAGCAAAGTTTACACGACGCTGAGGGCCCGCCACTGAAGCTCGCGGGTGGGCCTCTGGGGCTGCGGCTGCAGGGGGCGGCCAGAGTTGGCCAAGGGTTACTTCCGGTCTCTCAGGTCCATCGGGGTGCAGCTTGTACCGCTGTGGCCCAGGTCGCCCCTTTCTGGGAATCCGGGGCGGAGTTGCGGGTAGAAGGGGTTCGGGGGTTCGGAGCCGGGCGGAAACGGAAGCGGGGGCATTCCGCAAAGCCCGCGGTAAACAACCGAGATAAGGAACCTACAAAACTGAGTCAGGTTCCAGAAGCGCCCCCGCCATCCCCTGGCCACTGCCGGCCACCTGCAGTTTCCCGGAGCGCAGGGCTGTGAGGAGCGGCGCGGGGTGGGACGCGGGGCGCGGCGGCGCAGGGCCTGCTGCAATGCTGACTCAGGGCCGGGCGTCGGGGCTTGGGGTCTGGGACAGCTCCGGCGCCGCCAGCGCGGGGGTCGAGCGCGGGGCACGTACCGTCCTGTCGCGGCCGGACTCTCCTGCCGCTGCCACCTCAGCCTTCGCTCCCCTAGACGCCGGGAAGGCGCACCCAAGATGGAGGCAAAGAAACCGAAAGCCTGGAAGCGGACTTGGTGCTGGGCGATCGCTGTTCGCGGCGCTTCTCTCCTACACCTCCTCCCGTGGTCCTTGTTGTCTCAGCTGTCACTGGACAAAAGTCCAATAGCCGGCACTCACTGTGTGAGGCCGAGTCCCCACCCCTAGCTCCGGGAGTCCCTTTTAGTTGAGACTCGTCGGTGAGGCTGCAAGCTCGCTGTTTCCTGCTATGGCTTGTGTGACTGAGTATGCAGTAACCGGGGGTGGATGTCGACACAAGTTCCACGCGTTAGGAGTAAACACTGCGAGTGTTTTTTTTTTTCTTTCTTTCTTTCCTTCTTTTTTGAGACAGAGTCTCGCTCTGTGGCCCAGGCTGGAGTGCAGTGGCGCAATTTCAGCTCACTGCAACCTCCGCCTTCCTAGTTCAAGCGATTCTCTTGCCTCAGCCTCCCGAGTAGCTGGGACTACAGGCACGCGCCAGCACGCCCGCCTAATTTTTGTGTTTAGTAGAGACGGGGTTTCACTGTTGGCCAGAATGGTCTCGAACTCTTGACCTCGTGATCCGCCCGCCTCGGCCTCCCAAAGTGCTGGGATTACAGGCGTGAGCCACCACGCCCGGCGCGAGTGTTTACAATTGTTGTCTGGGAGTCATAGCAAACGTGAACACACTTTGTGGTTTTTTGTGTGTATGTTTTTGTTTGTTTTTTTTTGTTTTCCTTCTTGAGACAGGGTCTCGCGCTGTCGCCCAGGCTAGAAGGCAGTGGCGCCATCACAGCTCACTGCAGCCTGGATTTCCCGCTCTCAAACCATCCAGCCCTCAGCCTCCCAAGTAGCGGGGACCACAGGTGCAAGCCACCATGCCCGACTAATTTTTTTTTTTTTTTGTATTTTTAGTAGAGATGGGGTTTCACCATGTTGGCAAGGCTGGTCTCCAACTGCTGGCCTCAAGTGATCCTTGCCCGCCTCGGCCTCCCAAAGTGCTGGGATCACAGGCGTGAGCCACCGCGCCCCTCTACGTTTTTATTTATTCCTAATAACTACTTTATTGTGATTCTTAAAGAGCTTTAACTTTTCTTGAGATAATTTTAAACTCACAGGAAAGGTGAAGAATAATACCAAGAGAGACTAACAGCAGGACGGCATGAAGAGCTCGGGATTCACCCCTAGTGAAACTGAAAATTATTTAAAACAACAAACAACCATTAACCATTTAAAGCCTTTGAAATGGTCCTAAGGGCAAACAGCAAATGAAGAAACATCTGTTCCAAAAAATCTATGAAAACTCTTGGATCAGAATGTGAGAGTCAGTCTGTGGTATTTAAACCAAACCTCTCCCTTTGTTCAGCAAGAGACTCCACTCCAGACTGCTGCAACTCAGAACCTCTCTCTTCCCACAGCTCCCAGTCAGAGACCAGCATATCAGCATTTCTCATCTTGCCCCTAGCTACCTGATGCTGAAGGTAAATCCTGGGGGAGTGTGGTGGAGAGGTGGGAGATTCCTTCTTCCATCCAGAGGCTCTACCTTGGGTGGAGTGCTGAGACACCAGAGGAGACTTCAGCTCTTTTTCTCCATCACTTTCACCCCATATTCACCCCCAACCTTTTTTTTTAATCTCTCCATCTTCCCAAGATAGTTATATTCTGTTTGATTAATCTTCAGTATATATGCTATTATAATCATGTAAACGGTAGTCACAGCCAAGTTATGTACCAAACTATGATTACTTTTCCTTTCCCACACAACTTTTAGTTTTTTCTGGAGTTAATAATTGTCTTGTTTTGTTGGTTTTTCCATGTAATTCTATCCTAAACTCTGTCAGTTATCCAAGTTTGGTTTTTTGTTTGTTTTTGAGACAGGGTCTCACTCCAGGCTGGAGTGCAGTGACCCGATCACAGCTCACTGCAGCCTTAACCTCCCAGGTTCAAGTGATCCTTCTGCCTCAGCCTCCTGAGTAGCTAGGACTACAGGTCCTAGCATGCCACCATGCTAGGTGTGCCACTACAGGTGCCACCATGCCCAGCTAATTCTTTAAAAAAAAATTTGTGGCCCGGCGCAATGGCTTATGCCTGTAATCCCAGCACTTTGGGAGGCTGAGGCGGGTGGATCACGAGGTCAGGAGTTCAAGACCAGCCTGGCCCAGATAGTGAAACCCCATCTCTACTAAAAATACAAAAAATTAACTGGGTGTGATGGCGGGCGCCTGTAATCCCAGCTACTCAGGAGGCTAAGGCAGAGAATTGCTTGAACCCGGGAGGCGGAGGTTGCAGTGAGCCTAGATTATGCCAGTGCACTCTAGCCTGGGAGACAGAGTAAGACTCCATCTCAAAAAAAAAAAAAAAAAAAAAAAAAAAAAAAATATATATATATATATATATATATATATATATATCTAGTAGAAGCGGGGGTCGTGGGTGGCAGGGAGTCTTGCTATGTTGCCCAGGCTGGTTTTGAACTTGCCTCAAGTGATCTTCCTGCCTAGGTCTTCCAAAGCACTGGGATTACAGGCATGACCACTGCTGCTCTTGGCCTTTCTTATCTTTTTAGTACACCAAGAAAATTTTATTACAGATCAGCACCTGTCCTTAATTTGGAAACTACTATTCAAGAACACCTAGCTTAGCACCTCCATCACCACCTCCAACCCACCCTATCCCAAGTGAAAGCCATTTCTGGTTGTCAGTAGAACCATCATAGTGGACTTACCCCAGGCCCACCTTGCATGCCCACTGATTCTTACCACTTCAACACACACCAGTATGACTTCTAACCCAGCATATCCATATGTCGTTCCCTGAGGGCTTTTTCTGGCTCACATTGGAAGCCCATGTTGTCATCCCATTTGGCAAACCAGTAGGGGCAGGCATTTAACCCCCTACCCCTGTGCCATCCTTATCCTTTGGCTTCAGCAGCCCTCAAAGAATGACTGTATACACCTATGTTGACACTCCCACCTGCAGTCCACTTTCCATTTACATCCTCTTAAAATCAGCCACCCCTTGGGCTTAGGGATGTGCATACTTGCAGCATAGTTTGTCCCTGGGGTATGGACTTGGGGAAGAGGCCAATGTAGGCCCTGGTGGGAGGCTCAGGGCTCTTTGCGTAGAGAACTTCAGGTCTTAGGTACCCAAAGAGGGTTTATTCTTTTTGTTTTTTTGAGACGTAGTCTCACTCTGTCACCCAGGCTGGAGTGTAGTGGCACAATCCTGGCTCACTGCAACCTCTGCCTCCCAGGCCCAAGCAATTCCCTTGCCTCGGCCTCTCAAATAGCTGGGATTATATGCGCGCACCACCATATCCGGCTGATTTTTGTATTTTTAGTGGAGACAGGGTTTCACTACGTTGGCCAGGCTGGTCTTGAACTCCTGGCCTCAAGTGATCTGCCCACCTTGGCCTCCCAAAGTGCTGGAATTACAGGCGAGAGCCACCACACCCAGCCCCAAAGAGGGTTTTAAACAGAGGGTCTCGGTGTGGGCATGTCCTCTTGACCTTGCAGACTCCTCCCACCTCTGATGATTCTCCTCACCTGAGGGAAGGGCACAGCCCAAGAAGAGCCGGAGCAAGGCCCTTCTAAATCAGGGCCCACAACAGGACCCCCAGTGCCTGGGTCCAAGGGCAGTATTGCTTAAGCCTCTCTGACTTTCTGTTTCCACACTTAACAAAGTAGCAACAAATGTTCACGTTTTCATCAAATTCACTGGTTGTAAACCTTGGCTGCACATTAGACTGTCCCCAAGGAGCTGCAAAAACCTCAGTGGCCAGGTACCATTCCAGACTAATTGTATCAAAATCTCTGAGAGTGAGACCCAGGGATTGGTAGTTTTTAAAGCTCCCCGTGTGATTTCAATGTACAGTTAAGATTCAGAACAACTGATCTAATCCAAACATTTTCTCACTCCGTCAACCACAACCCAATTTTCAGATGAAGAATCTGAGGCTTAAAGTGAGTTAATAAATTGAGACATCTCACAACTAGCTAGTGACAGGACTAGGACAGGATGCCAAGAATTTATCTAATGCTTTTCCTTATATCACAGTGGGTGACTTGGGAATGGAGAATTAATAGCCACAGCAATGACTTTATATCTACTCTCTTAGCCACACATCCTGCCTCAACTCCTCTGACATTCTGGGAGAATATATTCTTGGCTGGGTATGGTAGCTCATGCCTATAAACCCAGCACTTTGGGAAGCCAAGGCAGAAGGAACACTTGAACCCAGGTGTTCAAGATCAGCCTGGGCAATACAGGGAGAGCCTGTCTCTACAAAAAATTAAAAAATTAGCCAGGTGTAGTGATGCATACATGTGGTCCCAGCTACTCAAGAGGCTGAAGTGGGAGGATCACTTGAGCCAGGCAGGTTGAGGTTGCAGTAAACCATGAGCACAGCACTGTACTCCAGCTTGGATGACAGAGTGAAACCCCGTCTCAAAAAATATATATAAATAAATTTAGTTTAAAAAGAATACATTCTTTTTTTTTTTGAGATGGAGTCTCGCTCTGTCGCCAGGCTGGAGTGCAGTGGCATGATCTCAGCTCACTGCAACCTCCGCCTCCCGGGTTCAAGCGATTCTCCTGCCTCAGCCTCCCGAGTAGCTGGGACTGCAGGTGCGCGCCAGCATGCCCAGCTAATTTTTTTTTTTTTTTTTTTTTTTGAGACAGAGTCTCACTCTGTCACCCAGGCTGGAGTGCAGTGGCACGATCTCGGCTCACTGCAATCTCCGCCTCCTGGGTTCAAGTGATTCTCCTGCCTCAGCCTCCCAAGTAGCTGGAATTACAGGCGCCCACCACTACGCCCAGCTAATTTTTTGTATTTTTAGTAGAGACAGGCTTTCACCATGTTGGCCAGGCTTGTCTCGAACTCCTAACCTCATGATTCACCCGCCTCGGCCTCCCAAAGTGCTGGGATTACAGGCATGAGCCACCGCGCCCAGCCATAATTTTTGTATTTTTAGTAGAGACAGGGTTTCACCATGTTGGCCAGGATGGTCTCGATAAAAAAAAAATACATTCTTGAGAAGAATAAATAAACACAATTCTAATATGCTGGTGCTATGGTTTGGATATTTGTCCCCTCTAAACCTCATGTTGAAATTTGATCCCCATGTTGGAGGTGGGCCTCATGGAAGGTATTTGGGTCATGGGGGTAGATACCTCATGAATAGATTAATGCCTTCCCTTAGTGGTGAGGGAGTTTTTCTTCTATTAATTCCCACAAGAGCTGGTTGTTAAACAGAGCCTGGCACTTTCCCCTTTTTCACTGTTTCTTCTTCTCTCACCATGAGAGAAGCCTTTTGCCTTCCACCATGGGTGGAAGCAACCTGAAGCTTTCACCAGAAGTCAAGCAGATGCCAGTGCCATGCTTCTTGTACAGCCTGCAGAACCATGAGTTAAATAAACCTCTTTTCTTTATAAACTACCCAGTCTCAGTTATTCTTTTATAGCAATACAAAACAGACTAAGACAGCTGGGTTTCTATAGAAGTAGTCAACTGTAGATTTGTAGCAACAGCCTTTACAAGCAAAGCAAGGTGCAGAAATTAGTAGTTAACTAAGTCATTTCCAGAAATATATCTGGCACTATTACATAAGGATTAATAGTACTGCCTCTGGAACTAGTTCTGGGTTTGCATTCCAGCTTTGCCTCTCACTAGCAGTGTGAACTTCTGGGTAAGTTTCCTCTTTGTGCCTCAATTTTCTCACCTGTAAAAAGGGAATGACAGTAATAGTCCCAACCTCATAGAATTATTACACAAATTAATATTTGGAATATGCCTGGCATGGCCAGGCAAGGTGGCTCACGCCTGTAATCCCAGCACTTTGGGAGGCTGAGGTGGGAGGAACACTTGAGGCCAAGAGGTCAAGACCAGTCTGGGCAACATAATGAGACCCTGTCTCCACAAAAATAATTTTTAAAAATCAGCTCAGTGGGGGTAGCGCACACTTGTAGTCCCAGCTGCTCAGGAGGCCAAGGTGAGCATATTGCTTGAGCCCAGGAGTTCAAGGCTGCAGTAAGCTTGATTGCACTACTGCACTCCAGCCTAGGTAACAGAGTGAGACCCTGTCTCTGAATAATATGCCTGGCATATAGTAGGTGCTAAATAAATTAAACACTATGTACCAGGCATTGATTTAGCCTCTGGGAATATAGTGGAAGGAAAAAGGAAAGGTCCTACACTTGGAGCTTAGAAGTTATATTGACAACTTCCATTTCACCTTTTCCCAAAAGTTTTCCCCCATGGTTAAGTGCAAGTGAGCAAATAATTGATTTTATTTTATTTTATTTGTATTACTTATTTATTTTTGAGATGGAGTTTTGCTCCTGTTGCCCAGGCTAGAGTGCAATGGTGTGATCTCGGCTCGCTGCAACCTCCGCCTCCTGGGTTCAAGCGATTCTCCTGCCGCAGCCTCCCAGGTAGCTGGGATTACAGGAGCCCGCCACCACATCCAGCTAATTTTTTGTATTTTTAGTAGAGATGGGGTTTCACCATGTTGGTCAGGCTGATCTTGGAACTCCTGACCTCAGGTGATCCACCCACCTCAGCCTCCCAAAGTGCTGGGATTACAGGCGTGAGCCACTGTGCCCGGCCATTTTTTTTTTATTATTTTTCAGAGATGGAGTCTCACAGTGTCACCCCCAAGCTGGAGTGCAGTGGCATGATCATACCTCACTGCAGCCTCAAACTTCTGGCCTCAAGCAATCCTCCTGTCTCAGCCTTCTGAGTACCTGGGACTACAGGGATGTGCCACCGTGTTTGGCTAATACTTTTAATTTTTGTAGAGAAAGGGTCTTGCTTTGTTGCATAATCTAGCAAATAAATTTTAAAAATAATTTCTGTCACACCAGAAGGCTACGCTATAATATCCATTCATTGGCAAACATTTTTGAGCTCCTACTATGTGCCAGGTACTACATAAAAGAAATAGAGGCCAGGCACAGTGGCTCACAACTGTAATCCCAGCACTATGGGAGGCCAAGGCAGACGGATCACTTCAGGTCAGGAATTTGAGATCAGCCTAGCCAACATGGCGAAACCATCTACTAAAAATAGAAAAATTAGCCAAACATGGTGGTGCATGCCTGTATTCCCAGCTACTCTGGAGGCTGCGGCAGAAGAATTGCTTGAACCTGGGAGGTGGAGGTTGCAGTGAGTTAAGATCACACCACTGTACTCCAGCCTGGGAGACAGGCTCAAAAAAAAAAAGAAAAAGAAAAAAAAGAAATAGAGTCTTTGTCCTCAAGGAATTCCTAAGAGGGATATTCAGCTGTAAAACTCTTATTGAATAATGCAATACTATGCGTGCATTTCCATGTATTTATACATATAATTTTATTGATAATATATATAAGGTAACGCCTTGTTTATCAGGAAATAACTTTTACCCAACAACCTAGCCAAGAATTAGGGATTATTAAGGAAAAGAGGCGCCTGTAATCACAGCACTTTGGGAGGCTGAGACAGGCAGATCACCTAAGGTTGGGAGTTCGAGACCAGCCTGGCCAGCATGGTGAACCCCTTTCTCTACTAAAAATATAAAAAATTAGCCAGGCATGGTGGCATGTGCCTTTAATCCCTGCTACTCGGGAGGCTGAGGCAGGAAAATCGCTTGAACCCAGGAGGCAGAGATTTCAGTGAGCCAAGATCGCGCCATTGCAATCTAGCCTGGGCAACAAGAGCAAGACTCCATCTCAAAAAAAAAAAAAAAAGGCATTTGAGTGTACAAAAAAGGTGTCACTAAACTAACTCAGTTTGTTTGTAAGATCCTTGGGGTCTAGTTATTTTCATCACAAATGTTAACAAGTTCATTTGGCTGGTTTCCTACGTTATAATGAGCTGAGAATTAGGAGCTTCCAGAGCTGGATCAGGAATAAGAAGTGGCAGCTGGTGATGAATGAAGCAAAATAATATGTGATGAAAGTGACAGAAAAATCATTTTCTGTCATGGCATCTCTCTGCCATGGACCAGTGCAGTAACAGATGCTTTCGGTCAGAGCTTGAGTCAGAAAAAGGTTAAAGAATGTTCTGTTCATGCTGTTTTAAGAGGGAGAAAAATATTTAATGCATTTTAGAAGGCTTTTTGTGAAAGATGATGCAAATGTTTTAAAAGGTTTAATTCTTATAGAGTTGAGTAATCTGGAAGATTCACTTAAATGATACCAAATAACTGGGAAAATATTGCCTTTGATTATTATTTATGCATAATAATGATAAATTCTGCAATAAGAACAATGTAAAATATAATGTATAATAAAAATGTTGCTTATAGGTTAAAGATGAGAACAAAAGGAAGATTTCAAGCTGGAATTGCAGAAGGAGGATTTGAGATTAATGCTGGGTCTGAAAATTGAGCAAAGGTGTAATGGTAAGATTGAGTGAGAGGAGATGGTGGTCTAAATGAAGGAATTATTGTTGAAAATGTTAAAAATGCAGCAGAATAGCCTGGGCAAAATGGTGAGACTTTGTCTCTACAAAAATTACAAAAATTAGCCAGATGTGGTGGCTTGAGCGTGTGGTTCCAGCTACTTGGGAGGCTGAGGTGGGAGGATCACCTGAGCCCGCCTGGGAGGTTGGGGCTGTGGTGAGCCATGATTGCACCACTGCACTCCTGCCTGGGCAACACAATGAGACCCTGTCTCAGAAAAAAAAAAAAAGTGCAGCAGAGTAAATTCCTGTTTGATCAACTTCTTACAATGAATGTTTACAGCCCTTGCTGGGTTAGAAAATCAGCTTGAAAACATACTTTGTATATTTATTTTGAGTCTATGTGTACTTAGTCTAATTCATGCATTTATCCAGTAGACATTCACTGAATACCTACTAAGTGTCTGGCATCATTCTAGGTGCTGAGGGTGTCTCTAAGAACAAAACTAGCTGTGCCCTCAAAGAGATCCTAGAATGTAGACTACTAAGAATTAACAGAGAAAACACTAAAACTTGTATGCTTATTAATCACTGTGTAAGTAATAAATGGAGGTCTCATTTAGATAAAACAAAAGCCTTGCGATCTCCATTAGTCAGAGTAATATAGATTTGCTGGGCATAGTGGCATGAGCCTGTCGTCCCAGCTACTCAAGAGGCTGAGCTGGGAAGATGGCCTGAGCTTGGAAGGTCGAGGCTACAGTGAGCTGTGATTGCACCACTACACTCCAGCCTGAAAGACAGAGTGAGTCCCTGTCTCAGAAAAAAAAAAAAAAAGTAATATAGATTTGATACAGTAGACAGTGTGGCGTAGCAGAAAGAACATGGGCTGTGAAGTCAGAGATCTGAGTTCAAATTTTGACTCTGAGACTTAATAAATATCTGTGTGACTGTAGCCAAGTTAATGAATCTCTCTGAACCTAATTTTTCTTATAATAGAGATAGTGAATACCTTCTTGTTTAAGGAATAAATGAGATAATAGAGATAATACCTTCTTGTATAAGGAATAAATGGAATAATATGTGTAGTGATGGTAGATCAAGGCTATGAAGAACTGGGCATGCTTTGCTTTGGTGAGAGCATTGGTTTAGCTTTGGGGAGGGCCCATAACTGTTGGGGGCATAAAAGGAAGAAGAGGGTTTTGTTTTTGTTTTTGAGATGGAGTTTCACTCTTGTTGCCCAGGCTGGAGTGCAGTGGCACAGACTCAGGTCACTGCAACCTCCACCTCCCGGGTTCAAGTGTTTCTTCTGCCTCAGACGCCCAAGTAGCTGGGATTACAGGCACCTGCCACCACGCTGGCTAATTTTTTGTATTTTTAGTAGAGATGGAGTTTCACCATGTTGGCCTGGCTGGTCTCGAACTCCTGACCTCAGGTGATCCACCCGCCTCGGCCTCCCAAAGTGCTGGGATTACAGGCATGAGCCACCACGCCTGGCAGAGAAGAGTTATTTTGGAGATAAGAGGATAAATGTCAGTTACAGGGAAATGGAAATTTTGGTATAGCCTGTACATTAGACACTATTGTGTATGTTAAATTTCATGGGTATTGTCTTAATTCATTTGGGCTGATATGATAAAATACCATAGACTAGGTAGCTTATAAACAACAGAAATTTATTTCTAACACTTCTGGAGCTGGGAAATCCAAGATCACTGGCAGATTCAGAGTCTGGTGAGGGCCTGCCTTCTGGCTTATAGATGTGGTCATCTTCTCACTGTGCCCTCATATGGTAGAAGGGGCAAGGGAGCTCTCTATGATCTCTTTTATAAGGGCACTAATCCCATTCATGAGGGTTCCACCCTCATGACCTTTTCATCTCCCAAAGGCCTCACCTCCAAATGCCATCACACTGGGGATTAGGTTTCAACATATGAGTTTCAGGGGGAAACATTCAGTCTATTGCAGGTATGATAGTGATATTGTGATCATGTAGGAGAATGTCTTTGTTCATAGAAAACACACACTGAAGAATCTAGGGGTAAAGTATCATGATGTCTGCACATTACTGTCAATGATTCAGCAAAGTGTGTGTGTATGTGTGTGTCTAGAGAGAGAGATAAAGTAAATGTGGCTAAATGTTAACAATTGGTGTCTGTAGGTAAAGGGTATATGTGTATTCTTTAAATTTTCTGGTTTTCAGGTTTTGTTTTGTTTGAGACAAAGTCTCTCTCTGTCACCCAGGTTGCAATGCATTGGCACGATCTCAGCTGACTGCAACCTCCATCTCCCGGGTTCAAGCAATTCTCATGCCTCAGCCTTCCGAGTAGCTGGGACTACAGGTGTGTGCTACCATGCCCAGCTAATTTTTGTATTTTTAGTAAAGACAAGATTTTGCCATGTTGGCCAGGCTGGTCTCGAACTCCTGGCCTCATGTGATCTACTCACCTAGGCTTCCCAAAGTTCTGGGATTATAGGCGTGAGCCACCACACCCGGCCTGGTTTTCAGGTTTGAAAATAAAAAGTTGGAAAAATATCTACACATGATTCTGTATTCCCCCAATTGTATTTGGGATACAATGTAAGACTTTTCATGCACATAATTTTCCTTAAAAATCTTATCTTGAGGTTTTTTTGGGGGGGCAGAAATATGAACAATTTCTGTGCAAATATTAGTCAAAAACACCATATCCAGAGAAAAATACATTCCCTGATGTTTGATAAAAACAAAGATACATTCCACTTGGAAGACATTTATCAGGGAGGTGCTTTGCACCTCCTGTGTGACTGCATATGAATTTTTTTTACTTTTTATTTTTATCCCCTTGATTAATCTATTTTGTTTGTTTGTTTGTTTTTTGAGACAGGGGCTCCCACTGTTGCTCAGGCTAGAGTGTAGTAGCATGATCATGGCTCACTGCCACCTAGACCTCCCAGGCTCAAGGAATCCTCAGTAGCTGGGGCTACATGCACATGCCACCATTCCCAGCTAATTTTTTATTATTTGTAGAGACAGGGTCTCACTATGTTGCCCAGGCTGGTCTTGAACTCCTGGGCTCAAGCAGTCCTCCTGCCTTAGCCTCCCAAAGTGCTGGGATTACAGGTGTGAGCCACTGCACCCTGCCTGCTTTATTCTTTGCAAATGGTAAGGCCATGTAAATCTAAGAATGTGGAAAAGCCTAAATGCAGTATACACAACCATCTGTGGTTCTGTTGAATTTACATGTTCTGCTCTGGCAAGCTGGAGTAACAGGGACTGGTGTATCCTCCTGCCTGAAACAACTGAAAAACCATGTAGACAAAATGTCTACCTGCATTCTAGCCTGGGCAAGTAGCAAGACTCCATATCTTAAAAAAAAATACAAAAGAGCAAAGAACCAGGAAAAGATCACTCATATGAGGACAATAACAATCAATCAATCAATAGAATTACACCCAGAAATGCCATAGGTAATAGAATTAGTATATTTGCCTTGGCTTTTGAGGTGAGGTAAAACAAACAAGCAAAATAATTAGTAGATAGGGATACTAAAACAGATTCTATAGCCATATTTCAATAAGATAGAGGAAAGACTGAGCATGTTAAGTTGAGACATGGAAGATATAAAGACTCGTATTAAAACTATAGATGGGGCCAGATGCAGTGGCTCACACCTGTAATCCCAGCACTTTGAGAGGCCAAGGTGGGAGCATCGCTTGAGGCCAGGAGTTTGAGATCAACCCAGGCAATAAACAGATATCTCATCTTTACAAAATAAAAAAATTAACTGGGCACGGTGGCACACACTCTCAGCTATTCAAGAGGTTGAAACAGAAGGACTCCTTGAGGCCAAGAATTCAAGGCTACAGTAAGCTATGATTGTGCCGTTGCACCACTCCAGCCTGGGTGACAGAGCGAGACACTGTCTCTAAAAAAGAAAAAAAGCTCTAGATGGGCCAGATGTGGTGGCTCATGCCCATAACCCCAGCACTTTGGGAGGCTAAGACAGGAATCACTTGAGGCCAGGAGTTCAAGACCAGCCTGGGCAACATAGCAAGACATTCATCTCTACAAAACAAACAACCACCAAAAAACACACACAAAAAAACTTCTAGATGCAAACTACAATGTCTGAGGTGAAGAATACATTGCATGAGGTTAAAAGCAGATTAGATACTGAAGAAAAGATTAGTGAACATGAAGACACACAATATAAATTATCTAAAATGAAATACAGAGGCCTTGCATGGTGGCTCATGCCTGTAACCCCAGCACTTTGAGAAGCTGAGGTGGGCAGATCACTTGAGGTCAGGAGTTTGAGACCAGCCTGGCCAACATGGCAAAACCCCATCTCTACTAAAAATACAAAAATTAGCCTAGCGTGGTGGTGGGCGCCTGTAAACCCAGCTACTCGGGAGGCTGGCAGGAGAATCACTTGAACCTGAGAGGTGGAGGTTGCAGTGAGCCAAGATTGTGACATTGCACTCCAGCCTGAGTGCGACAGAGCGAGATTCCATCTCAAAAGATAATAATAATAGAAAAATGAAAAACAGAAAAATTACTGAAAGAGAAAAATAAAGAGTATCAGGGAAACCATAACACAGTATCAGGGAGGCTAATATATGTGTAATTAAATTCCCTGAAGGAGAGGATGGGAGATAGAAAAAATACTTGAAGAGGTCGGGCGCTGTGGCTCATTCATGCCTGTAATCCCAGCACTTTGGGAGAGGCCAAGGCGGGTGGATCACCTAAGGTCAGGAGTTTGAGACCAGCCTGACCAACATGGCAAAACACTGTCTACTAAAAAAATAACAAAAATTAGCCGAATGTGGTGGCGGGTGCCTGTATTCCCAGCTACTCGGGAGGCTAAGGCAGGAGAATCGCTTGAACCCGGGAGGGAGAGGTTGCAGTGAGCCCAGACTGCGCCACTACAATCCAGCCTGGGCAACACAGCAAGACTCTGTCTCAAAAAAAAAAAAAGAAAAAGAAAAAGAAAAAATATTTAAAGAAATAATGGCTGAAAAATTCCAAATTAGATAAAAACAAACCCTTTGATCAAAGAAGCTTAATGAGCTCGCTTCCTCTAAGCAGCCTGAGGTGATCTGTGAAAATGGTTCACTATTCATTTGTCCTAGAAAACTTCACAAAATCATGCAAATCAAAAGGTTCAAATCTTTGTTTTCTTTAAGAATACGGGTGAAATTATCTGGGCCATCAAGGGTAGGCATACACGAGAAGCCACCAAGTATTCTGAAAGATGTCACTTTATAAAAGTACTGTGTAGAAACCACGCTACAATGGTGGAGTTGGTAGGTGTGCCCAGGCCAGACAGTGGGGCTAGATACAGGGTTGCTGGCCCAAAAAGAGTACTGAATTTTTGCTGCACATGCTTAAAAATGCAGAGTAATGCTGAATTTAAGGTTTTGGATATAGATTCTCTGATCATTGAGCCTATCCAGGTGAACAAAGCACCCAAGATGCACTGCTGGACTTACAGAGCTCATGGTCAGATTAACCCATACGTGACCTCTGCCTGCCACATCGAGATGATCCTTACTGAAAAGAACAAATTCTTTTTTTTTTTTTTTTTTTTTGAGACAGAGTCTTGCTCTGTCACCCAGGCTGGAGTGCAATGGCGCCATCTCGGCTCATTGCAACCTCTGACTCCCAGGTTCAAGCAATTCTCCTTCCTCAGCCTTCCGAGTAGCTGGGATTACAGGCCAGTGCCACCATGCCCGGCTAATTTTTGTATTTTTAGTAGAGACCAGCTTTCAGCATGTTGCCCAGGCTGGTCTCGAATTCCTGGCCTCAAGTGATCCGCCCGCCTCGGCCTTCCAAAGTGTTGGGATTACAGGCATGAGCCGCCGCACCCGGCCAGAACAAATTATTCTTTAACCAGAAGAGGAAGTTGAATTGAAGAAAAAGATATCTCAAAAGTAACTGAAGAAACAAAAACAAAAACTTGTGGCATGGGAATAAATTCAGAATAAAATAAATGCTAATAAAAGTTTGTGGCCAGGTGTGGTGGCTCATGCCTACAATCCCAGCACTTTGGGAGGCCGAGGCGGGTGGATCATTTGAGGTCAGGAGTTCGCGACCAGCCTGGCCAACTTGGTGAAACTCCGTCTCTACTAAAATACAAAAATTAGCTGGACATGGTGGTGTGCGCCTGTAATCCCAGCTACTCGGGAAGCTGAGGCAGGAGAATCGCTTGAACTCAGGAGGCAGGGGTTGCAGTGAGCCTAGATCATGCCACTGCACTCCAGCCTGGGCGACAGAGCATCCGTCTCAGAAAAAAGAAAAAAAAAAAGTTTGCATTTGGAGACCATTATTCTAAGTGAAGTAACACAGGAATAGAAAACCAAATGTCATTATGTTCTCACTTGCAAGTGGGAGCTAAGCGACCGGGTGCAGTGGCTTATGCCTGTAATCTCAGCACTTTGGGAGGTTAAGGTAGGCGGATCACTTGAGGCCAGGTGTTTGAGACCAGTCTGGCCAACATGGTGAAACCTCATCTCTACTAAAAATACAAAAATTAGCTGGGCTTGTGGTGCTCACCTGTAATCCCAGCTACTCAGGAGGCTGAGGGAGGAGAATCACTTGAACTTGGGAGAGGGGGTTGCAGTGAGCCAAGATCGCACCACCGCACTCCAGCCTGGGTGACAGAGCAAATGAGACTTTGTCTCAAAAAAAAAAAAAAAAAAAGCGGGAGCTAAGCTATGAGGACACAAAGGCATAAGAATGATACAATGGACTTTGGGGACTTGGGGAAAAGAGTGAGAGGGAGGTGAGGGATAAAAGACTACATATTTGGTACAGTGTGCACTGGTCAGGTGATAGGTGCACCAAAATCTCAGAAATCATCACTAAAGAACTTATTCATGGAACCAAACACCACTTGTTCCCCAAAAACTTATTGAAATTATAAAAAAAGAAGTTCGATGAACCCCAGGTACAAGAAACATGAATAAAATTGCACCAACAAACATGATAATCAAATTGCTTAAAATCAGTGCTATTCCTTGGATATGAATGATCTATCAATCTGTCCCATAACTTGCCCTTTGGACAGGAAAGGACTAAGCTAAAGACACAGTATCTCTGGAATTTTGCCAGGATATGAAGTTTAGTGTCTGCTCCATTCCAGACTTTTTATTTTTTTCTTTTTTGAGATGGGGTCTTGTTCTGTTGCCCAGGCTCAAGTGTAGTGGTGCAAACATGGCTCACTGTAGCCTCGATCTCCTAGACTCAAGCAGTCCTCCTACCTCAGCTTCCTAAGTAGCTAGTACTAAAG
Source organism: Homo sapiens (assembly GCF_000001405.40). Taxonomy (NCBI): domain Eukaryota; kingdom Metazoa; phylum Chordata; class Mammalia; order Primates; family Hominidae; genus Homo; species Homo sapiens. The sequence continues at coordinate 201,100,773 of NC_000002.12, read as the reverse complement.
GCACATGCCATCATACCTGGCTAATTTTTACTTTTTTTGTAGAGACAAGGTCTCCCTATGTTGCCCAGGCTGGTCTTGGACTCCAGGGCTCATGCAGTCCTCCGGCCTCGGCCTCCCAAAGTCCTGAGATCACAGGTGTGAGCCACCATGCCTGGCTAAGACTTTTTAAATGAATCAGACCAGCCCTAACACAAGGGATTCAGTCCTAGACAATAGCAGCTGTAACCAGCTTTCATCCAGATGGCCTGCCAGTTACTGTCCAGAGTTGTTCCATTTCTCTTCTTTGCCTGCCTGGCTTGATGATCCCCTTGAATTAGAATCTATGCTCTTGTCCTTGCACCATCTTACTTCCATAACCCATTTGGACAGGATTTTCTAGCTTTGGGTCTTAGCACTCTCTTTAGACATTATTTGGTAAATGTCCTCTGCCCCAGACCTCAGGACATATACCACATGGACCCCACCACCATTCCTACCCATTTTTCTGTGAAAATTTTCCAGAAATAAATTTCTGATCATGTGGCCAATCAACCCACTACAATCTCAACCAAGACTGCATATGCAAAACCACTTTGTTGTTTTAGATTTTGTCACTTTTTGGAATTATAATTTTGTTATGCCATTTATTCCCCTTAGCAAGAATAATTAATTGCCCTTAAAGGATAGTGGAAGGCGGAAAATAATGATGTAATGTTTAGAAATATTATAGCATTAGAAATAAATGCTCAGAAATATTAAATTAGTCTTTCCACCAGGATATAAAGGTCCATCTTCTGCTGAGAAGTCTATGAGAGGCCAAGTAATCATTTACGAGAGTAGCTGCGTAACACATTGGTTCGCTGCAGGCTCTCTTATTGGTTTTTGATACAGGTTTCACACAGGCTTCATTTGCCAATTGTGTTGTTTAGTTGGGAAGTAAAAGGTTCTTGAGATTGGGGTGGAGATGGGGAGAGGAACACTGATTGATTCCTGGCTTGGGACAGGCGATTGTTGCTATATTGCTATACTCTTACAGGAGTATTATCTCCTTTGTCAAAATATAGCCAAGATGTGAAATTGAAATAGTAATTCTCCTTACTTAAAAATTATTTATTTCTTTTTTTGAGACAGAGTTTTCACTTTTCTTGCCCAGGCTGGGGTGCAATGGCACAATCTCAGCTCACTGCAACCTCTGCCTCCCAGGTTCAATTGATTCTCCTGCCTCAGCCTCCCAAGCAGCTGGGATTACAGGCGTGTGCCACCACGCCTGGCTAACTTTTTGTCTTTAGAGACCATGTTTCACCATATTGGTCAGGCTGGTCTCGAACTCCTGACCCCAGGTAATCGTCCCGGCTCTGCCTCTCAAAGTGCTGGGATTACAGGCATGAGCCACCGCACCCGGCTCCTCCTTGCTTAAAAATTCTAATAAGTGGCTGGGCACAGTCGCTCACGCCTGTAATCCCAGCACTTTGGGAGGCTGAGGTGGGCGGATCACAAGGTCAGGAGTTCAAGACCAGCCTGGCCAACATGGTGAAGCCCCGTCTCTCCTAAAAAAAAAATACAAAAATTAGCCAGGCATGGTGGGGCGCGCCTGTAGTCCCAGCTACTCGGGAGGCTGAGGCAGGAGAATTGCTTGAACCTGGGAGGCAGAGGTTGCAGTGAGCCAAGATCATGCCACTGCACTCCAGCCTGAGCGACAGAGCAAGACTCCGTCTCAAAAAAAAAGTGGGGGAGGGGCTGGGTGCAGGGGCTCATGCCTGTAATCCCAGCACTTTGGGAGGCTGAGGCGGGCAGATCACGAGGTCAGGAGATTGAGACTATCCTGGCTAACAAGGTGAAACCTCGTACAAAAAATTAGCTGGGCGTGGTGGCGGGTGCCTGTAGTCCCAGCTACTCGGGAGGCTGAGGCAGTAGAATGGCATGAACTCGGGAGGCGGAGTTCGCAGTGAGCCAAGATCGTGCCACTGCATTCCAGCCTGGGTGACAGAGTGAGATTCCATCTCAAAAAAAAAAAAAAAAAAAATGGTGGTGTGCATTGATGGAAAAGTTACATATTATAAAACTCCTTCAAAACCTGTTGTGTGTTTATTTTCTCAGTTACTCTTTATCTGACTTTTCTTTTTCTTTTTTTTTTTTTTTTAAGAGATAGAGTCCTATTCTGTCACCCAGGCTGGAGTGCAGTGTTGGCATGCTATAACCTTGAAACCTTGAACTCCTGGGCTCAAGTGCTCCTCTCACCTCACCCCGGCCTCCCAAAGTGCTGGGATTACAGGCATGAACCACTGTCTGTGCCTGGGCTCCCTCGCTCCCTCCCTCCCTCCCTCCCTTTCCTTCCTTCCTTCCTTCTGATGGAATCTCTCTCTGTCACCCAGGCTGGAGTGCAGTGGCACAATCTCGGCTCACTGTAACCTCTGCCTCCCAGGTTCAAGCAATTCTCCTGTCTCAGCTTCCAGAATAGTTGGGATTACAGGCGCCTGCCACCATGCCCGGCTAATATTTGTATTTTTAGTAGAGACAGGGTTTCACTGTGTTAGCCAGGATGGTCTCAATCTTCTGACCTCGTGATCTGCCTGCCTCGGCCTCCTAAAGTGCTGGGATTACAGGTGTGAGCCACCGCACCCAACTGTGTTTCTTTCTTTTTTAAATGATTGACTTTATTTTTTTTTTTATTTTTTTTATTTTTTTTATTTTTATTTTTTTTTAATAGACAAGGTCTCACTATGTTGCCCAGGCTACAGTGCAGTGGCTAATCACAAGCAGATCCCACTACTGATCAGCACAGGAGTTTTTGACCTGCTCTATTTCTGATCTGGGCCAGTTCACCTCCCAGGTTCATCCCTCCTTGGTCAACCTGGTGGTCCCCGCTCCCCGGAGGTCACCAATGTTTTTTTTTGGTTTGTTTGTTTGAAATGGAGTCTCGCTCTGTCACCCAGGCTGGAGCGCAGTGGTGTGATCTTGGCTCCCGCAACCTCTGCCTCTTGGGTTCAAGTGATTCTCCTGTCTCAGGCTCCCAAGTAACTGGGATTACAGTCATGTGCTACCATACCCAGCAAGATCGACCTTAGATGGTCAACTAAAAGGGGAATTTATTGCTCCATAAAAGTTGATTTGGCCGGGCGCGGTGGCTCACGCCTGTAATCCCAGCACTTTGGGAGGCCGAGGCGGGCGGATCATGAGGTCAGGAGATCGAGACCATCCCGGCTAAAACGGTGAAACCCCGTCTCTACTAAAAATACAAAAAATTAGCCGGGCGTAGTGGCGGGCGCCTGTAGTCCCAGCTACTTGGGAGGCTGAGGCAGGAGAATGGCGTGAACCCGGGAGGCGGAGCTTGCAGTGAGCCGAGATCCCGCCACTGCACTCCAGCCTGGGCGACAGAGCGAGACTCCGTCTCAAAAAAAAAAAAAAAAGTTGATTTAAAAATCAAATAGGCAGGGCGTGGTAACTCACGCCTGTAATCCCAGCACTTTGAGAGGCCGAGGCGGGTGGATCACAAGGTCAGGAGATCCAGACCATCCTGGCTAACACGGTGAAACCCTGTCTCTACTAAAAATACAAAAAATTAGCCGGGCATGGTGGCGGGCGCCTGTAATCCCAGCTACTCGGGAGGCTGAGGCTGGAGAATGGCGTGAACCCGGGAGGCAGAGCTTGTAGTGAGCCGAGATGGCTGGCGCCACTGCACTCCAGCCTGGGCGAGAGTGTGAGACTCCGTCTCAAAAAAAAAAAAAAAAAAAAAAAAAAAAAAATCAAAGAATAAATAAAATGACTTTAACCATTTTCAATTGAATTCAGAAAATACTTATTGAGAGTTTACCTTTTTTTTTTTTTAATTTGAGAGGGAGTCTTGCTCTGTCGCCCAGACTGGAATGCTGCAGTGGTGTGATCTCGGCTCACTGCAACCTCTGCCTCCCGGGTTCAAGTGATTCTTCTGCCTCTGCCTCCCGAGTAGCTGGGATTACAGGCGTGCATCACCACGCCCAGCTAATTTTTGTATTTTTTGTAGAGATGGGGTTTCACCATGTTGGCCGGGCTGGTCTTGAACTCCTGACCTCAGGTGATCCGCCTGCCTTGGCCTCCCAAAGTGCTGAGGTTACAGGTCTGAGCCACCACACCCGGCCAAGAGTTTACTCTTCACACAGCACTGTGAAAGAAAAATAGTGTAACTATGTATAAGTAGTTTAAATGAGAATTTATATTCATTATAAGAATTTTTGGCTGGGCACCGTGGCTCAGGCCTGTGATCCCAGCGCTTTGGGAGGCCAAGGTGGGAGGATCATTTGAGCCCAGGAGTTTAAGACAAGCCTAGGCAACATAGTGAGACTCCATCTCTATAAAAATTTTAAAATTTAGTGGGTATAGTGGTGCATGCCCACTATAAAAAGAAAAGAATGATGATAAAAAAAAAAAGAATGATGATAAAGTATGCATTTAAACATGAAATTAGCCAGGGCCCGGTGTGGTGGCTCACGCCTGTAATCCCAGCACTTTGGGAGGCCAAGACGGATGGATCACCTGAGGTCAGGAGTTCAAGACCAGCCTGGCCAACATGGTGAAACCCTGTCTTTACTAAAAATACAAAATTAGCTAGGCATGGTGGTGCACACCTGTAATCCCAGCTACTTGGATGGCTAAGGCAGGAGAATCACTTGAGCCCTGGAGGCGGAGGTTGCAGTGACCGAGATCATGTCATTGAACTCTAGCCTAGGCAACAAGAGTGAAACTCCGTCTGAAAAAAAAAAAAAGAAATTAGCTAGGCAAAGTGGTGTGTGTGTGCCTGTAGTTCCAGCTACTTGGGAGACTGAGGTAGAAGGATCTCTTGAGCCCAGGAGTTCAGGGCTGTAGTGTGCAATAATCACACATGTCAATAGCCGCTGTACTCCAGCCTGGGCAACATAGCAAGACACTGTCTGGAATTAAGTTCAAATTAAGCATTTGTGAATGTTTCCTATGTGCAAGGCACTGTGTAGGAGACAGGATAAATAAGGCAAGATTTGCAAGATTTCTAATCTGGTAGAGATTAAGGCAAGTATAAAAATATCTGAGTTACAGGGCAGGTGCAGTGGCTCACGCCTGTAATCCCAGCACTTTGGGAGGCCGAGGCGGGTAGATCACCTGAGGTCAGGAGTTCAAGACCAGCCTGGGCAACATAGTGAAACCCTGTCCCTACTAAAAATATAAAAATTAGCCAGGCGTGATGGCGTGTGCCTGTAATCTCAGCAACTCAGGAGGCTGAGGCACGAGAATCGCTTGAACCCGGGAGGTGGAGGTTGCAGTGAGCGGAGATCACGCCATTGCACTCCAGCCTGGGCGACAGGGCAAAACTCTGTCAAAAAAAAAAATGCGAGTTACGAGGTAAAACAAGATATGTTTTATTAGGAGAGTACAAAGTTCTGTGCAATTTTTAAAAGTTTAATGACAATTTGGTTTTTTTTTTTTTTTGAGACAGAGTCTGGACCTTGTTGCCCAGGCTGGAGTGCAGTGGTGTGATCTCAGCTCACTGCAACTTCCACCTCTTAGGTTCAAGTGATACTCCTGCCTTGGCCTCCTGACTTGCTGGGATTATACAGGCGCCCACCACCACGCCCAGCCAATTTTTTTGTGTTTTTAGTAGAGACGGGGTTTCACCATGTTGGCCAGGCTCATCTTGAACTCCTGACCTCAGGTGATCTGCCCACCTCGACCTCCCAAAGTGCTGGGATTACAGACATGATTCACCACACCCAGCCAGTTTCATTTTTTATAATTCTTTTTTTTTTAACTTTTATTTTAGGCTCGGCGGTACATGTGAAGGTTTGTTATATAGGTAAACTCATGTCTTGAGGATTTGTCATACATTTCATCACCCACCCAGGTGTGTTAAGCTTAGTACCCAATAGTTATTTTTTCTGATCCTCTCCCTCCTCCCATCCTCCACCTTCAAGTAGATCCCAGTGTCTGTTATTCCCTTCTTTATGTTTGTGAGTTTTCATCATTTCACTCCCACTATTATAAGGGAGAAAATGTGGCTTTTGGTTTTCTGTTCCTCTGTTAGTTTGCTAAGGATAAATAGGCTCCAGCTCCATCCATGTTCCCACAAAAGACAAGATCTTGTTCTTTTTTTTTTTTTTTTTTTTTTTTTTTTTGAGATGGAGTCTCGCTCTGTCGCCCAGGCTGGACTGCAGTGGCGCGATCTTGGCTCACTGCAAGCTCTGCCTCCCGGGTTCACACCATTCTCCTGCCTCAGCCTCCCGAGTAGCTGGGACTACAGGTGCCCGCCACCAGGCCCGGCTAATTTTTTGTATTTTTAGTAGAGACGGGGTTTCACCGTGTTAGCCAGGATGGTCTCGATCTCCTGACCTCGTGACCCGCCCGCCTTGGCCTCCCAAAGTGCTGGGATTACAGGTGTGAGCCACCGCGCCCGGCCAATGCAAATATATATTTTTAAAAAACTCTTCGTTTTCTATAATAAGGTAAAATGCCTGACCAATGTATTTAAAATATGAAAGTAAATTTAGAACGATATTTGATTAGTTACCAAATCAGCAGGAAAATGTATGTTAAATGCTGTTTTTCCAAATTGAGCTTGGGAATTAATTAAAATGAGAGTGGGTAGAACGTGTGCAGGGAGTACTAAATATTTTTTTCTTTTCTTTTTTTTTTTTGAGATGGAGTTTCGCTTTTGTTGCCCAGGCTGGAGTGCAATGGCGCCATCTCGGCTCACTGTAACCTCCGTCTCCCAGGTTCAAGTGATTCTCTTGCCTCAGCCTCTTCGTCTCTACTAAAAATACAAAAATTAGCCGGGCGTGGTGGCGGGCGCCTGTAGTCCCAGCTACTCGGGAGGCTGAGGCAGGAGAATCGCTTGAACCTGGAAGGCGGAGTTGCAGTGAGCCGAGATGCGCCACTGTGCTCCAGTCTGGGCAACAAAGAGCGAAACTCCATCTGGAAAACAAACAAACAAACAAAAAACCCACAAAATATGTGAATTTTTCAAATTGCACAAAATCTTCTGATTTTCATTATAAGTATGCATGTTCTTATTTTGCAATGTTCTTATTTTGTAATGCATTCTCAGAAACACAAGTGTTTAGCAACAACCAAACCAAAATTCTTTCCAGTTAGTTTTGTAATTTGGGGCCATATTTCAAAAGAGTTACTTCATTTTGTTGCAGGTGATATTAAACAGAAAAATATACAGACCTTGAGACAAGGGAATTTTGTCCTTTTCTTTTTGACTTCTAAAGCAGTTTTAAATTGTTTATATGTATCAAAAGTAATTCAGTCTAATACAGTATATGGGACTAATAATTTAATCTTTAAATTAGTTAGCATTTTGGATAGTTTATTATAAGTGTAAACTTACAACAATGTAATACTATATATAAATTAAAAATATATATATATAACATAGTATAGAAGATTAAAATAAGATTCCTCTTTTCCATAAATCCTTTCTGACAGAATCAAAGGCAAGTCAATGCAAAACAAAAACAAAAGCAGAAAATTCGCTTTTTCTCCTCAAATTGGTATTGAGGTAAACCAGGACTTGAGGGATTCCACTTTCATAGCTATTTTTTGCTTGTTTGTTTGTTTGTTTGTTTGTGACGGAGTCTCGCTCTGTCGCCTGGGCTGGAGTGCAATGGCATGATCTCGGCTCACTGCAACCTCTGCCTCCTGGGTTCAAGCGATTCTCCGCCTCAGCCTCCTGAGTAGCTAGGATTACAGGCACCCGCCATCATGCCTGGCTAATTTTTGTGTTTTTGCAGAGACAGGGTTTCACCATGTTGGCCAAGCTGGTCTTGAACTCCTGACCTCAGGTCATCCGCCTGCCTTGGCCTCCGAAGGTGCTGGGATGACAGGCATGAGCCACCACGCATGGCCTCTCATAGATATTTGAATTGGAGTACTTTGCAACTCTAGAGATTTGGAGGGTGAGTGAGGATTATATAAAATTTTGAAACTCATGTTGCCAACTGAGAGGCCATCATGAAGTAACATTTATTTTATTTTTTATTTTTTTCTGAGACGGGGTCTTCTCTGTCATCCAGGCTGGAGTGCAGTGGCGTAATGTCAGCTCACTGCGGCCTTCACCTCTTGGGCTCAAACAATCCTCCCACCTCAGCCTCTCAAATAGCTGCAACTACAGGAATGTGCCACCACGTGCCACCACAGTGGCTAATTTTTTCTATTTTTTGTAGAGACAGAGTCTCTCTATGTTGCCCAGGCTGGTCTTGAACTCTTGGGCTCAAGTGATCCACCCACCTTGGCCTCTTGGAGTGCTGAGATTACCCGCATAAGTCATTGCGCCTGGCCACATTTAATTTTTTAAAAATAAACTACCTGGGTTGTACTTAATAAACTATACATTTAAAATACTCTAAAAATCTGATGAAGGCCTCAAATGCTATTTTAAAATTTTTAAATTTAGAGACAGAATCTCACTGTCGCCCAGGTAACCTTCCCTCCGGGCTTAAGTGATCTTCCTGCCTCAGCCTCCTGAGTAGCTGGGACTACAGGTTCACACCACCATGCCCGTCTGATTTTTAAAAATGTCTGTGGAGACGGGGGTCTCACTTCATTGCCCAGGCTAGTCTCCTGGGCTCAAGCAATCCTTCCACCTCAGCCTCCCAAAGTGGTAAGATGATACTTGTGAGCCCCCATGGCTGGCTATTTTTTTTTTTTTGAGACCGAGTCTGGCTCTGTCGCCTAGGCTGGAGTGCAGTGGAGGGATCTCAGCTCACTGCAACCTCCGCCTCCCGTGTTCAAGTGATTCTCCTGCCTCAGCCTCCCAAGTAGCTGGGACTAAAGGCACGTGCCACCACACCCAGCTGATTTTTGTATTTTTAGTAGAGATGGGGTTTTACCACGTTGGCCAGGCTGGTCTCGAACTCCTGACCTCAGGTGATCCACCCTCTTCGGCCTCCCAAAGTGCTGGGATTACAGGTGTGAGCCACTGTGCCTGGCCCCAGCTGCTATTTTTAAATAACTGAATATTGTGAGTAAAAATTACAGTAAATCCCAACCTGTGATGTAACATTTTGTTACATGTAAATGTTATCATATATGTACATTGAAAATACACAAATAGGCTGGGCACGGTGGCTCATGCCCGTAATCCCAGCATTTGGGAGGCCGAGGCAGGAGGATTGCTTGAGGTCAGGAGTTTGAGACCAGCCTGGGCAACATAGCAAGACCCCACCCATCTCTACTAAAAAAAAATACAAAAAATTAGCCAGACATGGTGGTACATGCCTGTAATCCCAGCTACTTGGGAGGCTGAGGCAGGAGAATTGCTTGAACACGAGAGGCAGAGGTTGCAGTGAGCCAAGATCACGCCATTGCACTCCAGCCTGGGCAACAGAGCAAGACTCTGACTCAAAAAACAACAACAACAAAAAAGAAAATACACAAAAGTACACAAATATGGAAACGAAAGGTAAGACAAAGATTAAACATTTTTAAATGTCTTACTAATCATGATGACTACACGCTATCATTAGTTAACAGATCAGTACACTGTTAGGACAAGTTTCATTGTTCTGATAGTGGGTCCAGGTCCTTTTTTTTATTTTTATTTTATTTTTTAGAGACGGAGTCTCGCTCTGTCATCCAGGTTGGAGTGCAGTGGTGCGATCTCGGCTCACTGCAACCTCCGCCTCCCAGATTCAAGCAATTCTCCTGCCTCAGCCTCCCGAGTAGCTGGGACTACAGGTGCACGCCACCACGCCTGGCTGATTTGTTTTGCATTTTAGTAGAAACGGGGTTTCACCATGTTGCCCAGGCTGGTCTCGAACTCCTGAGCTGAGGCAATCCGCCCACCTCGGCCTCCCAAAGTGCTAGGATTACAGGCATGAGCCACTGTGCCTGGGCTTCAGGTCCTTATTTCAATCTTCTTTTTTTTTTGGTTGACTCGTCTCGTGATTAGATCATCCTATTTACTGATAATGTTGCTGACGGAGTTCATAGCTCTTCTATTTTATTCTTGTTTGCTTGTTGTTGGGTTATTAGTATTAGCTTCAATCAGCAGTTTCTTTGTAAAAAAATCTTTTTAAGCCACTTATCTACTTCATGAAGGTTTAGTTAAAACTAGTAGACAAGGCTGGGTGCAGAGGTTCACACCTCTAATCTCAGTACTGTGGGAGGTCAAGGTGGGAGGATTCCTTGAGCCCAGGAGTTTGAGACCAACTTGGGCAACATGGTGAGCTCCCTGTCTCTACAAAAATAAAAAAATTAGCCGGGTGTGGTGGTATGTGCCTGCAGTCCCAGCTACTTATGAGGCTGCAAGAGGATCACTTGATCCCAGGAGGTCCAGGCTGCAGTGAGCTGTGCTTGCACCACTGCACCCAGCCTGGGTAACACAGTGAGATCCCATCTCAAAAAAACCCACAAAAAAGTGGGGTGCAGTGTCTCATGCCTGTAATCCCAGCACTTTGGGAAGCTGAGGTGGGTGGAACATTTGAGGCCAGGAGTTCGAGACCAGCCTGGCCAACATGGTGAAACACATGTGAGGCCAGGAGTTGGAGACCAGCCTGGCCAACATGGTGAAACACAACATGGTAGAAATACAAAAAATTAGCTGGGCATGGTGGCTTGTGCCTGTAATCCCAGCTACTCAGGAGGCTGAGGCAGGAGGATCTCTTGAACCCGGGAGGCAGAGGTTGCAGTGAGCCGAGATCGCGCCACTGCCCTCCAGCCTGGGTGACAGAGCAAGACTCCATCTAAAAAAAAAAAAAAAAAAAAAACCAAGAAACCACAAAAAATGAAAAACAAGAAAACAGTAATTAGTAGATAATAAATTCCAAAACTGAGGACATACAAAGTATAGTCTATAGCAATCTGCTGAAAACTCCTTTTGTTCTCTCCTTTGGAGGGTAGAACTCTTACTTTCACTTCAGGATAACTTACCACTAATTCTGTGTGACTGCTTTGGTATCCGCCATGTGAGAGCAAACTTCACTGTGAATCTATTAAACATTAACAACATTTAATTCATTTTCTTTTTTTTTTTTTTTTTTTGAGACGGAGGCTCGCTTTATCACCAGGCTGGAATACAGTGGTGCAATCTCGGCTTACTGCAACCTCCACCTCCTGGGTTCAAGCGATTCTCCTGGCTCAGCCTCCCGAGTATCTGGGACTACAGGCACGAACCACCACGCCCAGCTAATTTTTTTTTAATTTTTATTTTTAGTAGAGATGGGGTTTCATCATGTTGGCCAGGATGGTCTTGATCTCCTGACCTCGTGATCTGCCTGCCTCAGCCTCCCAAAGTGCTGGGATTACAGGCGTGAGCCACTGTGCCGAGCCACCAATTCATTTTCATTAAACATGGAAATAAAAACAGAGGTTTAAATACTTGCTCCTTTTACCCCAAGAGATAGTCTTGTACATTCCCTGGGTTTTGTTAGAAAGTGAGTGATTCAAAATTCTTAAATTTTTTTAAATTATTGTTTTTGAGACAGGCCCTCACTCTGTTGCCCAGGTTGGATGGAGTGCAGTGGCATGATCACAGGTCACTCTAGCCTCGACCTCCTGGGCCCAAGCAATCCTCCTGCCTCAGCTTCCTGAGTAGCTGGGACTACAGGTGCACGCCATCACGCCTGGCTAATTTTTTTTAACTTTTTTTGTTTTTAGAGACAGAGTCTTGTCCTGTTGCCTGGGCTGGTCTTGAATTCCTGATCTTAAGTAATCCTCCTACCTCGGCCTCCCAAAGTGCTGGGATTATAGATGTGGGCCACCACACCTTCCCTATTTTGAATTTTCTATCAGTAACTGAGAAAGAAGTGTTGCAATCTCCAAACATATCATAATTTTGTTTGGTCTCTAAGTTTTCTTTGTTTTTGCTTTACATATTTTGAAGCTCTGTGCATAAACACTTAAGATTTCTTAGATCCTCTTAATGAACTGACCCCTTCATTATTATGAAATGTCTCTCTCACAAGTAATGGTCTTCATTCTAAAATCTACTTTGATATTAATATATTTCAACATTCTTTTCACTGGGGTTTTCATATGGGCAGTTTATAGATGGGTCTTGTTTTTTGCCGAAGTTGATTATTTCTGTCATTCATTAATTCATTTATGAGACAGGGTTAGGCTATCTCCCAGGCTGTAGTGCAGTGGCATTATCTTGGATCACTGCAACCTCTGCCTCCTGGGCTCATGCCATCCTCCCACCTCAGCCTCTCAAGTAGCTGGGACCACAGGTGTGCACCACCACACTCGTATAATTTTTGTATTCTTTGTAGAGACGGGTTTTTGCCATGTTGTCCGGTCTGGTTTTGAATTCCTGAGCTCAAGTAATCCGCCCACCTGGGCCTCCCAAAGTGCTGGGATTACAGGCCTGAGCCACTGTGCCCAGCCATCTCTTTTAATTGAAATGTTTTAGAGTGGGCTGGGTGCGGTGGCTCACGCCTGTAATCCAGCACTTTGGGAGGCCGAGGTGGGTGGATCATCTGAGGTCAGGAGTTTGAGACCAGCCTGGCCAACAGGGTGAAACCCCGTCTCTACTAAAAATATAAAAATTAGCTGGGCAGGTGGCGAGTGCCTGTAATCACAGCTACTCAGGAGGCTGAAACAGAAGAATTGCTTGAACTCGGGAGGTGGAGGTTGCAGTGAGCTGAGATCTAACCACTGCACTCCAGCCTGGGCGACAGAGCAAGACTCCGTCTCAAAAAAAAAAAAAAAAAAAAAAGAAATGTTTCAGAGTTTAAACTTTAGGCAATTTACATTTAATATAATTATCAATATAGTTAAGTTAAATCTATCATCTTGCTATTTCTATTTGTCCCATTGATCTTTTTCCTTTTAAACTCTTTCCTTTTGCTTCTGGTATCCTGCTGGAAGATAGAGACTGTAAATTCCAAAAACAAAAACAAGACAGGTGGGGCGTGGTGGCTCATACCTGTAATCCCAGCACTTTGAGAGGCTGAGACAGGTGGATCACTTGAGCTCAGGAGTTTGAGACAGCCTGGGCAACATGGTGAAATCCAGTTTTTACCACAAACACAAAAAATTAGCTGGCTGTGGTGGCACTCGCCTGTAGTCCCAGCTACTTGAGAGGCTGAGGTGGGAAGATTGCTTGAGCCTGGGAGGCGGAGGTTGCGGTGAGCTGCGATCGGGCTACTGCATTCCATCCTGGGCAACAGAGTGAGACCCTATCTCAACAAACAAACAAAACACAGAGAAGAAAGTATGTATTAAATTTTTATCTAAATTAAAAAATAAACGCTTTCCTTTTTTTGCATGGAGTCTTTTTTATGTTTCATATTACCATATTCTATTTACCACTATCAGTTTATTAGAAATTCATCTCACTTTAGCATTGCTTTACATTTAAAAACAGAAATTTATGAAGAAAAAGTCACCTTGGGTGCGGTGGCTCACACCTGTAATCCCAGCACTTTGGGAGGCCAAGGCAGGTGGATCACATGAGATCAGGAGTTCAAGACTAGCCTGGCCAACATGACAAAACCTGTTTCTACTAAAAATACAAAAATTTGCTGGGCGTGGTGGTGGGTGCCTGAAATCCCAGCTACCTGGCAGGCTGAGGCAGGAGAATCGCTTGAACCCAGGAGTTAGAGGTTGCAGTGAGCTGAGATTGTGCCACTGCCCACCCCTCTAGGCTGGGAGAAAGACTCATTCTCAAACCAAAAAAAAAAAAAAAGAAAAGAAAAAAATTCACATTGGGATTTTCTCTGTTTCATTATTTAAACAAAATTATCACCCCTCCTCAATAAGTGTTACATCTATTTTTTTTGTTTGTTTTTTCGGAGACAGAGTCGTGCTCTGTCACCCAGGCTGGAGTGCAGTAGCGTGATCTTGGCTCACTGGAACCTCTGCCTACTGGGATCAAGTGATTCTCCTGCCTCAGCCTCCCAAGTACTTGGGATTACAGGTGCCCGCCACCACGTCTGGCTAATTTTTGTTTTTTTAGTAGAGTTGGCGTTTCACCATGTTGGCCAGGCTGGTCTGCAACTCCTGAGCTCAAGTGATCTGCCCACCTCAGCCTCCCAAAGTGTTGGGATTACAGGCATGGAGAATGTCTAGTTTATTGTTAGAAATACAGAAAAAGGTCAGGCGCGGTGGGTCATGCCTGTAATCCCAGCACTTTGGGAGGCTGAGGCAAGTAGATCATTTGAGCCCAGGAGTTTGAGACCAGCTTGGGCAACAAGGCGAAACCCCACCTCTACTAAAAATACAAAAAGATAGCCTGGTATGGTGGAAGGATCCCTTGAGCCCAGGGAGGCTGAGGTTGCAGTGAGCCAAGATCACTCTCCCACTGCACTCCAGTCTGGGTGACAGAGCAAAACCCTATCTCAAAAAACAAAAAAAAGAAGAAAAAAATGTAAGGTTTTTCATGACATAAGAACAATGAGGACTAAGGACTAAGAGGACTAAGCAAGAGTAGAAAATACCACAAAATACCACAATTAAGAAAAATGAACATGATACATGGATGTGTCAGCCAGAAAAGGGCAGTAGAATCTGGGTTCCTCTAAACCATCTGAAGAGGATGATAAAAGCAGCAAGGCCAGCCAGGCGCGGTGGCTCACGCCTGTAATCCCAACACTTTGGGAGGCTGAGGCGGGTGGATCACAAGGTCAGGAGATCGAGACCATCCTGACTAACACGGTGAAACCCTGTCTCTACTGAAAATACAAAAACAAAATTAGCTGGGCATGGTGGCGGGCGCCTGTAGTCCCAGCTACTTGAGAGGCTGAGGCAGAAGAATGGTGTGAACCCGGGAGGCAGAGCTTGCAGTGAGCCGAGATCACGCCACTGTACTCCAGCCTGGGTGACAGAGCGAGACTCCATCTCAAAAAAAAAACAGCAAGGCCAACTCCCATTTAAATACTTGTTAGTGCCAGCTAGGTCAGGACTAGTTAAAAAAAAAAAAAGAAAAAGATTAAAAAAAAACTTCTTAGAACATGCCCATTTGCTCAGCCAAATATATGATGCCTGCCTGCTATATGCAGAACGCACTACTGCTGTTCTCCAACCCCCTATGTATTCTAAACCAAATCTGATATGGCTTGAGACACTTTTTTTTTTTTAAGAATGACAAAAGCAGATTGGCATATATATATATTTTAATTGATTAAATCTTACTAATATTCTGTAAGGGATAAACCAGACAAGTAGGCTACAGAGAAGAAATCTTATTTTGGAGAGTTAAGAAACCACTATGATGCTTCCAGGTATTATCTTCAGTGATGCTTCTTATCTTTATTCAGGGACTCCAGGTAATATTCAGCTCCTACAGCTACCACAAATGCAGCAAATCCCCATTTGAATCCTTTAAAGAATACATCAGAAAAGGAAACACTCTTTGCAAAGCCACCCATGTATCTCCAAGCTTCATTGCTAGAAAAAAAAAAAGAAAAAATTATAATCATACACAACGTGTGTGTATATACGTTGAAGACATTTAATTTTCATCTTTCTAATTGACTTAAATGCTACCCTACAGAAGATCATTTAAGTGAATCGCAATAGGAATCTTTCTGTGGCATAGGATAATTAAGTATATGCCCAAGTTTCACATATAAAATAGAAGAATAAACACTTGATGGTTTCACATTTAATAGTCATATGCCTCAGGATTTTACAGAACCCTCAAATGCAAGACTCACGTCAGCTTATCTGTCACAGGTCAGATGGGCTCTGCCCACACTAGTCATTACAACATCACGGAAAGATGAAGTTAGAGACTTGGTATTAATCTTTGGTATGCCACTTATATTAGATTCACAATCTTGTAGGCTGGGCAAGATGCTTAGCCTGTCATGGTCTGCTTCCTGTTCTATTCAATGATGATTATTATCTACTTTATAATATCATAAAGACTAAACAGGCTCATGCATGATATATTTTGGCAGAGGAGTATGGAGTATGTAACACTTGACATTACTGTTACTATTCAAAAGGATCTCTGCTTCTCCCTACCATAGCAGCCTGAATTTTGGAAGATTGATACCCTGCTCTGGTCTGATAAGGACAAGCCAATGAAAAAATCATGTTATGAAAAACAAAAACTATTTAACTCTAGAAATATGACTTAGGAAATACGAGAGCTAATTAAATCTAATTGGGATACCAAAACCAGACAAAGATGTTAGAAGAAAAGCAGCTACAGAATACTATCCCTCATGAACATAGATGCAAATATTCTTTTTTTGGCGGGGGCGGATGGAGTCTTGCTCTGTCACTGAGGCTAGAGAGCAGTGGCACAATCTCAGCTCACTGCAACCTCCACCTTCTGGATTCAAGTGATTCTTCCACCTCAGCCTCCCAAGTAGCTGGGATTACAGGCACACACCACCATGCCCGCTAATTTTTGTTTGTTTGTTTGTTTATTTATTTATGACAGAGTCTCAATCTGTTGCCCAGGCTGGAGTGCAGTGGTGTGATCTCAGCTTACTGCAACCTCTGCCTCCCAGGTTCAAGCAATTCTCTGCCTCAGCCTCCTGAGTAGCTGGGATTATAGGTGCCCGCCACCATGTCTGACTAATTTTTGTATTTTTTTTTTTTTTGAGATGGAGTCTCGCACTGTCGCCTGGGCTGGAGTGCGATGGTACGATCTTGGCTAACTGAAACCTTCACTTCCTGGGTTCACGGGATTCTCCTGCCTCAGCCTCCCCAGTAGCTGGGATTATAGGCGCACACCACCACATCCAGCTAATTTTTTGTATTTTTAGTAGAGACGGGGTTTCACTATGTTGGCCACACTGGTCTCGAACTTCTGACCTTGTGATTCACCCACCTCGGCCTCCCAAAGTGCTGGGATTACAGGCATGAGCCACCGCGCCCGGCCAATTTTTGTAATTTTAGTAGAGACAGGGTTTTGCCATGTTGGCCAGGCTGGTCTCAAACTTCCAGCCTTAAGTGATCCGCCTGCCTTGGCTTCCCAAAGTGCTGGGATTACAGGCATTAGCCACCACACCTGGTGCAAATATTCTTAACAAAATTTTAGAAAACTGAATCCGACAGCATATAAAAATGGTAATACATCATAATGAAGTAGGGTTCACTCCAGGAATGCAAGATTTGTTTATATTTGAAAATTAATAGAAGTAACTCGCCATATTAACAGAATAAAAAGGAAAAACTATGAACATCTCAATAGATGCAGAAAAAGCATTTAACAAAATCCAATATCCATTAATGGTAATAACAGGATGGGCACGGTGGCTCAGGCCTGTAATCCCAGCACTTTGGGAGGTCGAGGCGTGTGGATCACCTGAGGTCGGGAGCTTGAGACCAGCCTGGCCAACGTTTTAGTCTCTACTAAAAAAACAAAATTAGCCGGGTGTGGTGGCACATGCCTGTAATCCCAGCTATTCGGGAGGCAGAGGCAGGAGAATCGCTTGAACCTGGTAGGCAGAGGTTGCGGTGAGCCAAGATCTCGCCATTGCACTCCAGCCTGGGCAACAAGAGCAAAACTCTGTCTCAAAAAAAAAAAAAAAAAAAAGAAATAATAAACAATGAAACACTTAGTAATCTAGAAATAGAGAGAAATTCCTCATCTTGATAAAAGGCACCTAGGAGATCACTGTAAGAAACATCATACTAAGTGGTGACCCACCAAATGTTTTCTCCCAGTTGGGAATAAGGCAAGGACGTCCACCACTTTCATTCAACATTATAGTAGTGGTGTTAGCCAGTACAAAAATGCAAGAAAAAGAAATAAAAAGTTTACAGATTGAAAAGGAAGAAGTAACAATGTATTTGTAGACAGAATGATTGTTTATGAAGAACATTCTAAGAAATCTGTAAAAAAAATCTACTTGAACTAAAAAGTGAATTTAGCGGCCGGGCGCGGTGGCTCACGCCTGTAATCCCAGCACTTTGGGAGGCCGAGGCGGGTGGATCATGAGGTCAGGAGATCGAGACCATCCTGGCTAACAAGGTGAAACCCCGTCTCTACTAAAAATACAAAAAATTAGCCGGGCGCGGTGGCGGGCGCCTGTAGTCCCAGCTACTCGGGAGGCTGAGGCAGGAGAATGGCGTGAACCCGGGAAGCGGAGCTTGCAGTGAGCCGAGATTGCGCCACTGCAGTCCGCAGTCCGGCCTGGGCGACAGAGTGAGACTCCGTCTCAAAAAAAAAAAAAAAAAAAAAAAAAGTGAATTTAGCAAGGTAACAAGATATAAACTCAACATATAAAAGTCAACTGTGTTTACAAGTATTAGCAATGAACAACTGGAAGTTGAGATTTTAAAATACTATTTACAATAGCATCAAAAATTAAAATAATTCAAGCTGGGTGCTGTAGCTCAGATCTGTAATTCCAGCACTCTGAGAGGCTGAGGTGGTCAAATCACATGAGCTCAGGATTTTGAGACCAGCCTGGGCAACACAGGAAAACCTCGTCTCAACAAAAAATACAAAAATTAGCTGGGCATGGCGGCATGCACCTGTAGTCCCAGCTACTCGGGAGGCTGAGGTGGGAGGATGATTTCAGCCCACGAGGTAGAGGCTGCAATGAGCCAAAACGGCATCATTGCACTCCATCCTGGGCGACGGAGACTCCATCTCCCAAAACAAACAAACAAACAAACAAACAAACAACGCCAGGCCTGATGGCTCAAACCTGTAATCCTAGCACTTTGGGGGGCTGAGGCGAGCGGATCACTTGAGGTCATGAGTTCAAGACCAGCCTGGCCAACATGGTGAAACCCCATCTCTACCAAAAAAATACAAAAATTAGGCCTGGCGCGGTGGCTCATGCCTGTAATCCCAGCGCTTTGGGAAGCTGAGGTGGGTGGATCATGAGGTCAGGATATCGAGACCATTCTGGCTAACACAGTGAAACCCCATCTCTACTAAAAAATACAAAAAATTAGCCGGGCATAGTGGTGGGCGCCTGTAGTCCCAGCTACTCGGGAGGCTGAGGCAGGAGAATGGTGTGAACCCAGGAGGCGGAGCTTGCAGTGAGCGGAGATCGTGCCACTGCACTCCAGCCTGTGTGACAGAGCGAGACTCCATTTCAAAAAAAAAAAAAAAAAATTAGCTGGGCGTGGTGGTGCACGTCTGTAATCCCAGCTACTCAGGAGGCTGAGGCAGGAGAATTGCTTAAACCCAGGAGGCAGAGGTTGCAGTAAGCCAAGATTGTGCCACTGCACTCCAGCCTGGGTGACACAGTGAGACTCTGTCTCCCAGAAAAATAAAATAAAATAAAATAAATAATTAATTCAGTATAAATTTAATAAAATATGTGCAAGACCTGTACGTAAAGCAATAAAATACTGCTGATAAAATGAACAAGACCTAAATTGCCCATTGACTAGAAGACTTAATATTGTTAAGACATCACTTATCCCTAAATTTTTTGTTTTCTTTAAGATGGAAGCTTACTCTGTTGCCCAGGCTGGAGTGCAGTGGCACGATCTTGGTTCATTGCAACCTCAGCCTCGCGGGTTCAAGTGATTCTCCTGTCTCAGCCTCCTGAGTAGCTGGGATTACAGGTACCCACTACCACACCTGGCTAATTTTTGTATTTTTAGTAGAGACAGGGTTTCCCATGTTGCCCAGGCTGGTCTCGAACACCTGACCTTAAGTGATCCACCCGCCTCGGCCTCCCAAAGTGCTGGAATTACAGGTGTGAGCCACCATGCCTGGCCCCTAAATTGATGGGAATCTGATTCAATGTGGATGTGAAATAGATTCCCATTGTGAATCTATGTGAAACAGATTCAATGTGATCCCAATTAAAATCCAAGCAGGGATTTTAATAGAAATTGTCAGGTTCATTCCAAAGTTTATATGTAAAAGCAAAGGACCTAGAATAGCTAAAACAATTTTTTACAGGTTGGAGATCTTGGCTGGGCACGGTGGCTCATGCCTGTAATCCCAGCACTTTGGGAGGCTGAGGCGGGTGGATCATGAGGTCGGGAGATCCAGACCATCCTGGCTAACACGGTGAAACCCCGTCTCTACTAAAAATACAAAAAATTAGCAGGGCATGGTGGCAGGCACCTGTAGTCCCAGCTATTTAGGAGGCTGAGGCAGGAGAATGGCGTGAACCCGGGAGGTGGAGCTGGCAGCGAGCCAGATTGAGCCACCACACCCTAGCCTGGGTGACAGAGTGAGACTCTGTCTCAAAAAAAAAAAAAAAAAAAAAAAGTTGGAGATCTTATGCTATGTAATTTAAAGACACTGTGGTATTGGCATAAGGGTGGACATATTAATGAGGGTAACAGAGTACAGTCCAGACATAGATCCCATAGATACAGTCAATTGATTTTTTTTTCTTGAGGCAAGGTCTCTCTCTGTTGCCCAGGTTGGAGTGCAGTGGCCAGATCTTGGCTCACTGCCGCCTGGACATCCTGGGCTCAAGTGATCTGCCCACCTCAGCCTCCTGAGTAGCTGGGACTACATGTGTGTGTCATCACATCTGGCAATTCTTAAAATTTTTTTGTAGAGACAAAGTCTCCCTGTACTGCCTAGGCTGGTTTCAAAATCCTGGGCTCAAGCGATCCGCCTGCCTTGGCTTCCCAATGTGCTGGAATTATAGGTGCGAGCCACCACCCACATTGAGTGTCAAAAATCACTCAATGGATTTTTGACAACATTATTAAGGTAATTCAACGGAGGTACAATAATTTTTTAATAAATGGTGCTGGAGCAACTGGATGCACATATGTAAAAATACTAATCTTCATCCTTACTTCATATGACACAAAAATGAACTCAAAACAGATCACAGAATGTAAGAAGAACTATAAAAGCTTCTAAAAGAAAGCATAGAAGATAATCTTAGGGTGCAAAAAGGATACATTGTAAAATTTAAAAATTGCTAAATTGTGAATTCATCAAAATTTAAAACTCTCTGAAAGACATTATTCAGAAAATAAAAAGATAAGCCACACTGTGAGAAAAAACATTTGCAAACCTTAAAAAAAATTGTTTTAAATCCTTGCACAGGGCCATACTAACTTCTCTGTATTACAATTTTAGTATATATGTTTCTGAAGCAAGCACCACAAAACTTTTATCTGATAAAGGACTTACACTCAAAACAGGTGAATTTTACTATATATAAACGATAGCTCAATAAAGTCGATTTTAAAATTTTAATGTGGCTAGGTGTAGCGGCTCATGCCTGTAATTTTAACACTTTGGGAGGCCAAGGTGGGCAGATCACTTCACCTCAGGAATTTGAGACTAGCCCGGGCAACATGGCAAAACCCTGTCTCTACTAACAATATAAAAATTAGCTGGGCATGGTGGCCCATGCCTGTAGTCTCAGCTACTAGGGAGGCTGGAGTGGGAGGATTGCTTAAGCCTGGGAGATGGAGGTTGCTGTGAGCGCACCACTGCACTCCAGTCTGGGTGACAGAGTGAGACCCTGTCTCAAAACAAACCAAAAACTTTTAAAGTAGCCAGGCGTGGTGGCTCATGCCTGTAATCCCAGCACTTCGGGAGGCTGAGGCAGGTGGATCACGAGGTCAGGAGATCGAGACTATCTTGGCCAACATGGTGAAACCCCGTCTCTACTAAAAACACAAAAAGTAGCTGGGCTTGGTGGCGCGTGCCTGTAATCCCAGCTGCTTGGGAGGCTGAGGCAAGAGAATCACTTGAACCCGGGTGGCGGAGGCTGCAGTGAGCTGAGATCGCGCCACTGCACTCCAGCCTGGCAACACAGCAAGACACCGTCTCAAAAACAAAACAAAAACCAAAAAAAACCCTTTAAAGTAAAAAGCCATTTTTCATGATTCTCTAAGGAGAATACATTGAAAAGCAACATAGACACTTGATTCTCTAGGATACATTCTATCTAAATTACTTAATTCATCTTACCGGCCCCATGGATCCCTTAGCCCTTTTGCAGCCAGCTTCTTCTGGATAGTTTCTAATGGTGTCCCTTCTATCTTCCATTGTCTATAATCTGGAAGTTCCATTTTATGATGTCCATGCTCATGTCCATGTTCATGGGCCATGTCTGTAAGGAAAAGATTAACACAAGTGAGAAATATGCAAATTGTAGATATCAAATACCCAAATTTATTGTTTATGTTTTAAGGTAAAGCATTTAATATTAAAAAAAAAAGCCAATATAAATACTTGAAAATTCCAGTTAAAGGATTTTATAAAAGTGTCTTATTCTACAACCATGTTCACAGTTAGGAAATACACATACACAAAATATAAAAAAGAAAAATAATTGGCAATCTCATCACTCAGAGATAACCATTTACTATCTGGTTCTTTTCTTCATTATAATAATAGTAAACATTTGCTAAAATGCTTTATGTGTATTAACTCCAATACCTCTAAAACAACTCTTTATAAATAGTAAACATATGCTAAAATGCTTTATGTGTATTAACTCCATTACCTCTAAAACAACTCTTTGAACTTAAATAATGAGTATCCCCATTTTACAGATGAGGACAATGAGACTCCAAGCAATTAAGTAACTTTCCAAAGGTAACAAAAATAGTAATGGTACAGCTGGGATTAGAACCTTGCAGTTTGGTTTTAGAACCCTGCTCCTAACTTCTTCTTCTTCTTATTTTTTGAGACGGCGTCTCGCTCTGTCGCTCAGGCTGGAGTGCAGTGGTGCAATCTTGGCTCACTGCAAGCTCCGCCTCCCGGGTTCACGCCATTCTCCTGCCTCAGCCTGGCGAGTAGCTGGGACTACAGGTGCCCGCCACCACGCCCGGCTAATTTTTTGTAATTTTAGTGGAGACGGGGTTTCACCATGTTAGCCAGGATGGTCTGAATCTCCTGACCTCGTGATCCACCCACCTCAGCCTCCCAAAGTGCTGGGATTACAAGTGTGAGCCACCGCACCCGGCCCCCTGCTCCTAACTTCTAAGCAATATTGTTTTCCTTTTGAATCCTTTCATAATGCATAAATATGTATAATAAAAAGGTTATACATCCTGTTTTAAAAATTTTCTTTAGATGATTCTTTTAAAATGCAATGCTTTTAAATACATATGATTACATGAAAGGTTTCTTTAAAGAGGCAGATCGTAAATATTTTAGGCTTTGTGGGTAAAAGAGGTAAAATTGAGGCAATTATGTAGGTACATTTATAGGAAGAGAAAACACACTACCGCAAATACCTTATTGATAAAATTCAAAATGTAGTAAGTAACTGACTACAAATTTTTTTGTAATACAGGTCTACTGACGAAAAAAATGGAACTCCCCTTTTGGGGGTAACATTCTACTTAACTGGAGCTCAAAGTTAGTGATCCTTAGCATCAAAGTCATTACAAATGTTCATTTGTAAAAACCATTCTTAGCTCATGGACCTTACAAAAACAGGCACTGGGCTGGATTTGGTCCACAGGCTGCAGTTTGCCGATCCCTGAACTGGGCCAACAGATACCTTAGGACTCCTTTTTAATCAATAAATTTGCTTCCTTAATTAAAACATGTCCTCAATGGTTATATAAATACTTTGGTTTTACTAGTGTTATTTTAATATATAATATAAAAATAAACCAGCTCAGTCCTCATTTAAATTGCTAATTCAAATTAAGGGGTATGGCTTAGTAACACTATACTATAATTTGTGTAAGGTTGGCAGTAGCAATCCTTTTATTTTTTTTTACATTTTTATTTTTCTAATTACTTGGCAAGCAGTAGCAATTCTATAATCACTGCTTTTCCGGAAGTAAAATCAAGTAAATATTACCATTATGTCCATATTTATAACTATGAACAGGCCCAATAAGGTAGGATTTCTTTTCTTTTCTTTTGTTTTTGAGATGGAGTTTTGCTTTTTGCCCAGGCTGGAGTGCAATGGTGTGCAATCTCGGCTCACTGCAACCTCCGCCTCCTGGGTTCAAGCGATTCTCCTGCCTCAGCCTCCTGAGTGGCTGGGATTACAGGCATGCGCCACCATGCCCGGCTAATTTTGCATTTTTAGTAGAGATGGAGTTTCCCCATGTTGGTCAGGCTGGTCTCGAACTCCTGACCTCAGGTGATCTGCCCGCCTCCGCCTCCCAAAGTGCTGGGATTACAGGCGTGAGCCACTGTGCCTGGCCTGGTAGGAATTCTTACATTGCATCTCAGAAGAGAGAGGTAATTATTAAAAAGTGTATATTAAAGACACATTATTGGGAGGCTGAGGGATGAGAATCGCTTGAACCCAGAAGGCAGAGGTTACAGTGAGCCAAGATGGTGCCACTGCACTCCAGCCTGGGCGACAGAGTGAGACTCTCTCAAAAAATAAGTAGTTCCAAGATATGAGAAAAAAATTGTACATACTAACTGTGAAAAACCAACACTTATTATTTGTAAACATGTTAAGATACTAAAAAACATTATGTTGATGATTTTCACATTTAATTATATATATATATATATATATATATATATTTAAAGATAGAGGGTCTTGCTCTGGATCATAGCTCACTGCAGCCTCAAACTCCTGGGCTCAAGTGATTGTCCTGCCTCAGCCTCCTGAGTAGCTAGGACTGGAGTGTGCACAACGCCTGGCTAGTTTTTAAATGTTTTATAGCGATGGACCCTCCCTATGTTGTGCAGGCTGGTCTCAAACTCCTGGCCTCAAGTGATCCTTGATCCTCTGGCATAGGCCTCCCAAAATGCTGGGATTACAGTGGGATTACAGCCACACCCAGGAGGATTTTCACATTTAAATGAAAATGAAAATGAAAACCGATACTCTCAAACACAAGTTAAAATTACAACACAACTCTGAATGAAACATTTAACCCATTATTACTTGGTAGATTCAATAAAATGAAGGAAAAAAATTATGGTGTCAGACTTCAGACTGACTTTTGAGACTGAATACATTTATTACAAACGAAGACCATTACAAGTGTTTATTTAGAATGATAATGTCTTGGCTTCTGCATACCATGTTTTCAAAAAATCTTTTTTAAAATAAGGCTTCATTTTAAAAACACTTAAAACAAGACAAACCCTTATTTTGGCAAATGTCAATTCTAGAATATCAACCTGAGTATCAGTGTATTTGGAAGAGAGTATAAAACAAAGGGTCAAGAATTTTGATAGAATAGTTTTTGAAAATAAAACTTGAAACATTACCATGGTATAAAGACTATTTCAAAATTACAATACTACTGTGCTTAAACAAGTAATTTGAAAGATAAATCTTTGAAAGAAAACATGAAAGCGTACATACCCTCATTTCTCCTATACAAGTTTATTTAAATACATTCAATGTATTTTCTCTTCTACCTAATTATTTCAGAAGTATCCTTTTCATAGGAATTTACTAAATATACCTTTTTTTTTTTTTTTTTTTTTTGAGACAGAGTCTCGCTCTGTCGCCCAGGCTGTAGTACAGTGGCGCAATCTTGGCTCACTGCAACCTGTGACTCCCAGGTTCAAGCAATTCTCCTGCCTCAGCCTCCCGAGTAGCTGGGACTACAGGAACCCCCCACCACGCCTGGCTAATTTTTTGCATTTTGTAGTAGAGATGGGGTTTCACCGTGTTAGCTAGGATGGTCTCGATCTCCTGACCTTGTGATCCGCCCACCTGGGTCTCCCAAAGTGCTGGGATTACAGGCATGAGCCACGGTGCCCGGCTAAATATAACATATAAATGACTTTTCAAAAAGAGCAGAAAGTTGAAAACACTTTCTCTAGGAAACCTTTCATTTTCTTTTTTCTTTTTCTTTTTTTTTTTTTTTTCAGACAGGATCTTCCTATGTTGCCCAGGCTGCTGTTGAACTCCTGGCCTCAAGCATTCCTCCCTCCTTGGCCTCCTAAAATATTGGGACTACAGGCGTGAGCCATGGCACCTGGCCCATTTTTCTTTTTAAACTTATTTCTATTTCCAAATAGCCATAAATCAAACAATGATATCGTGACCTGTAAAGTAAGAGCTTGAAATTCTCCTACTTTGCACTAGTAAAAGTAAAATCCAAGGCAAATCACTTAATTTCCCTGAACTTCAGTTTCTTCATATAACATGAAGATAAAACCTACCTTGCAAGATCGTGAGAGCTGAGGAAAACACATTGTGATGTGCCTTCTACTTTCATACTTAGGTGGTGAGAATGTAACTAAGCACAACCATTCTGAAAAACTGGCAAGACCTAGAAAGGCTGAACATGGCTGGGCGCAGTGGCACACGCCTGTAATCCCAGCAATTTGGGAGGCCAAGGCAGGTGGATCACTTGAGGCCAGGAGTTGAGACCAGCCTGGCCAACATGGGGAAACCCTGTCTCTACTAAAAATACAAAAATTAGCCAGGTGTGGTAGCACACACCTGTAGTCCCAGCTACTCAGGAGGCTGAGGAATGAGAATCACTTGAACCCAGGAGGTGGAGGTTGCAGTGAGCCGAGATTGCGCCACTGCACTCCAGCCTGGGTGACAGAGTGAGATTCTATCTCAAAAAAAAAAAAAAAAAAAAGCTGAACATATGAATACCTTATGGCCATCAATTCCACTCCTAGTACATATATTCTAGATAGACACTGTCCAATATGGTAGCCACTAGCACTTGAAATGTGGCTGGTGCAGTTGGGAACTGGGAATTTTAATTTAATTTTAATTAACTTAATCTCAAAACAGATGATCAAATCGTTATTAGAAAATATTAATGTGTCTTTGGAGGCCAGGAGCGGTGGCTCACGCCTGTAATCCCAGCACTTTGGGAGGCTGAGGCAGGTGGAACACCTGAGGTCAGGAGTTCAAGAAAAGCCTAACCAACATGGCAAAATCCCGTCTCTACTAAAAATAAAAAAATTAGCTGGGCATGGTAGCACATGCCTGTAGTTCCAGCTATTAGGGAGGGTGAGACAGAAGAATCACTTGAACCTGGGAGGTGAAGATTGCACTAAGCCGAGATCGCGCCACTGCACTCCAGCCTGGGCGACAGAGCGAGACTCTGTCTCAAAAAATATACAAATAAAATAAATAAATAAAAGTGTCTTTGGAACAATTTGGATATATGAATCTACTTTATCAACTGTAAATCTTATAAACATAATCACAGATCAAAGGTTTATATTTATGGAATATAAAAAATATATTTAAAATATTTTCTTAGAGACATCAAGCCTCTAGTCTTTAAAAAAAAACAAATTTTTTTTTTGAGATGGAGTATCACTCTGTCGCCAGGCTGGAGTGCAGTGGGTGGTGCAATGTCGGCTCACTGCAACCTCCGCCTCCCAGGTTCTAGTGATTCTCCTGCCTCAGCCTACCGAGTAGCTGGGATTACAGGCGTGCACCACCACACCCGGCTAATTTTTTGTACTTTTAGTAGAGACTGGGTTTCACCATGTTGGTCAGAATGGTCTCGATCTCTGGACCTCATTATCCGCCTGCCTCGGCCACCCAAAGTGTTGGGATTACAGGCGTGAGCCACCGTGCCCAGCCTAAGAAATATGTTTTTAAAAGAACCTTTATAGCCACATTGTTTATTCTCTCTCCCAACTGTAAACAACCCAAATGTCCAATAACAATAGAAGGGATTATGGTATAGTCACACTGTAGAATATTATACAACAAAAAACTACATGCAAAAGTGTGATTGAATCTCCACAAATATGGATAATGAGCAAGGGGTGAGTCAGAAAAAAATACACATGCACTCTGAACCCATTTATATAGATTGAAATGCCTAACAATTCATTTTTTAGGAATTCATCATAGACGGAAAAATTAAAGTAAAACAAGTGAGTGCTTAGCACAAGTCAGGATAATGGTTACCTCTTGGTGGAGGAGATGGAATCACAGAAACATACTGGGAGATTCTAAGGCAGTGTTTTTCAACCAATTTTTAACTATTGTCCCTGTAAGGAACCTTTCTAGACATTTTATTCCTAATCACACCCCCCGCCATGAAAATTTAACACTACATATATACTGTATAACTGTTTATATACTGTGGCCCTTTGGAGGGACACAAATCATTGTAGTAACTAAGATTCCGACCCCGGCCCCACCAATTTTCAACCCCTTGAAATGTAAAATCACCCCTGTTAAGACTGCATGTTCTAAGTTATTGGCAATGCTTTATTTTCTAATCTAAGAGGTGGATACAGGAGTGTCTGCTTCTGTTAGTTATAATTTTTTAAAATGTATGTTTTATACACCCTTCTGTATATATACTTGACAATAAAAAATAAAAATAGAAAAATTGACTTAAATTGTGCTGAGGACTGAAAAATGGTGGTTATTTCCGTTTCAGAGCAGCTCAAATAATAACAGTAAGGAAATTAGTTAAATAAAGAAAAAACATGCAACCAAAAATTTTAAAAGCTATCTATGTCTGAAGTGAATCTAAAAGTCTCATGAAGATCAACCTCCACTAAAGGAAGCTGGCTCTAAGAAAATGTGCTGGTATCCTTTCCCTAAGAAAGAAATAAGAAGATAATGCTACTTCCACTACATGCAATTTTAGTTTACCGAAGACTATCAAGTATATATCTTAACTTCCTCGTATTAAAAACTGTGATTATATGAATATTAGAACATAAAAAACAAATGAACTGTTATTACTTTTAGTGATGCTGTTCTTCTGCCTTTGCGATCCAAAGGCAAACAAAGACAATTTTGCGTGTGGCAGAAGCGGGAACAAGCACCTGGATTTAACAACTACAGTAATGATCACTGAATCCTCCAACCACCTCTTCCTACCCCAACTCTAAACTAGGACTTCATTAGTTCTCGCCTGCTAGTTCTTTGATCTCCCTCCCAGCCTCCCATCCTTCTCCATTTAGTCTCTCCTTTTCTGCACTCCCCAGAATAGAGTCTAGCTCTTAATCCTAATCAACGGGCCTCCCACCAACTCCCTAATTTACCTGACAGCAATCTGACCTCTCAGGACACTCAACTCTGCAACCGGAGCCAACCGGAAACGGAGGTTGTCACCTCGAGTTTCTCACGGCAGGAAAGCGGAGAAGCCGCTTAACGTTCCGATACTGGGTTAGAGATTCCTGAATCAGGTAGAGACTACATGAGGGACGCTGGAAGTCGATTATTTTCCCAGTATATGTGCATCCTCAATCTGACTGAGGTAACAGATACTGTAGAAAAGAGAAGGGCGGGGAAGATAATATGTTGTCCTTGCTTGGGGACGGAATCCTTAGACACCGCACACAGGGCGGGGCTGCCGGCATACTGCAGCCAATAAGGGAGGCTGTTGTTGAGAGCGTGTTCTCACCCAATGAGAGGGTTGGTTGTTGCGCTGCAGTTGGCAGGCTGCTGCGGGAGGCGGCGGCGGTAGGAAGCCGGAGACAGCAGGGTGACAGGTAGGCGGCGGTGCTGTCTTTGGGGGAGGCAAAGTGCTAGATGAAGAGGGGTTTTCTTCTCCTTCGGCCGCGGAAACTACAGACGGGAGCTGGCGAGGGTGGTCTGGAAAGGCGGTAGCCGGTGTGTTGGTGGTCCCGGAACCTCTCGTAAACCAGGTAGCATCTTGGGAGGGTCGTGAGGAGGAGAAGGCGGCAGCCGAGGCGGGTGGAAGCCGAGCCTTGTGGGGCGACGTGGGGGCCCACCTAGGGCGTGGGGGCTGCGGTGGCGCCAGCAGAGAGGGAGGAGAGGCGGGAGCAAGGCGGTGTCGTGAGGGCTGAAGGGATTCTTTGCACAAAGCCCCAGGCGAGAAAAGGACACGGCATTGAAGACAGTTAAGAGAAATCCCAGTGATTGCTTCTTAGGGCCATTTCCTGGGGGTGGTGAGGGGGAGCGGAGAAGAAAAATATTTACTGGCGGTCAGATTCTGAACACTCATTATTGCTGTACATTATGTAATCTTTGGCTGTTATTTACCCAAACAACTAGGTTGTCCCTCCTGGGAGAGGAGGTCTTGCAACCTATTAATGTGTTAGAACACTTTTTTCATTGGCTTGAGTGCCATTTACATTGGCAGGTTCTCTAGGCGAAGGGTGGTAGCATGGAGGATAGAGTAGTCACGAAGAGCTTATCCCAATTATGGACTTGACAGATACTAGTTTGCGATGAATGTGGCCAGGTTCATGTTTTGTAGTTCGTGAATTTATTTGAGGGTCAAGGCTGACAACATTTTTTAAAGATCTTCAGAAAAGTGGGGAATCCTTTAAAAATGTACAGTAGGAGCTCAGTGTAAGTTGGAAAATGACTAGAAAATTAGTTGGTAGATCCCTTCCTCCCCCCAGGATATTGTGGAAGTTAGGGACTGTGCAAATAAGGTGGTGGTCTGAATATGGGGAAAAAAATAAACTTTTTTTTTTTTTGAGACGGAGTTTCGCTGTTGTTGCCCAGGCTGGAGTGCAATGGCGCGATCTCGGCTCACAGCAACCTTCGCCTCCCGGGTTCAAGCCATTCTCCTGCCCCAGCCTCCGGAGTAGCTGGGATTACAGGCATGCGCCACCACGCCCGACTAATTTTGTATTTTTAGTAGATACGGGGTTTCTCCATGTTGGTCAGGCTGGTCTCGAACTCCGGACGTCAGATGATCCGCCCGCCTCGGCCTCCCAAAGTGCTGGGATTACAGGCGTGAGCCACCGTGCCCGGCAGAAAAAAGTCAACTTTTAAGTAGTTTGTTCTGTAAGCAAGTCTGAGAAGCTACTTATGAATTATTTATTAGGTTTAAAAAGTGGACTCTGAACCTCTCGGACAGAGGCAAAATATATTTATAGATATAATTAACTAAATTATCTTATTTAAAAAAATTTTATAATTCATTGTTTCCACAATAAAATGTAGAATTAAAATAGGAATTCTATTCAGTATGTGTTATGGAAGGGCAAACGACATAAAAACTTGATTTTGTAGGTCATTGAAAAACAATTTTGAGAGCAGCACTGGAAAATGATTTTAAAAGAAGTGTTATAAATTTCTAAAATGTAAGGTGTTTGAAATATTGCCTTTAGCTTAGGAGATAAGGTCTAATGTAGTGTCAGCAACTCTACAATTTTCCTAAATTTATTTCGGTACTGCATGTCAGAAAAACTTTATAAGATGTGATTTTTTTCTATTAATGGTAATTTATATTCCTATATATGAACCTAAATCAAAATTTCATTTTTTCTCAAAAATTTAATTGGGAAAGAGGTGCATCATTAAAGTTGTTTGTTCCCAGATGTTCTCAGTACTGAGACATTTGTCAGTGCTTTAGATAAAAATTTTTATTGATGTTTGGTGTTTTGTTCTTTGTCTTTTCTCCTTTTCCAAGAATAATGCAATCTCAGTCACAAAGAAAATTTCTGGTTCTATTTTAGGTGGAATTCTGTAGTGTTTTGAGTACCAGTTAAATCTTTGCTTTTATGCGTGTGTGTGTGTGTGTTGCTTTTATGCGTGTGTGTGTGTGTGTGTGTGTGTGTGTGTGTGTGTGTGTGTGTGTTTCTTCTTATGTAACCAGCCTACTAGAGCTGTCTTAGAGAACTAATGGCTGATTTTGAATGGCCAGTAGGTGTCATTGTAGAATGCAGTAAGTTGAGTATCGAGTAGGAAATTACCAAGTAGCTAAAGAAACACTAGTCCAAATTAGCATATAGTGTGGTTAGATGATCGTTTATACGTTATAGAAGTTCTCTCTGATGAAACATTTCAGTATTGGAGCTGTTTATAAGGAATTTGAAACAATGATTGTAAAGGAGTTTAATTGTTTGCCCTAAAATAGACCTTGAAAGTGTGTTTTTTAGCCCGGCCCTTTAACTGTCTTGACATGCAATTCAGATTTAAGTTTGATTATTTGCAATACAGTTTTGGCATCTTGTAGTAGTTTATTAAGTTCTAGAATGATTGAAATTTTCAGCTTGACTGAGTCTTATAGAAAAACCAATGCTACATAGTGAAAAACTGATAAAATATGGGCAGAAGTTTCAAAACTAGTTATCATACCAGTACTTTGTATTGTTCTTTTTTTTTCCCCTTAGAGATCCTTGTTCCGAGTTACTGTTCTTTTAAAGCCAGAACAGAAGATTTTTTTGTCTGTCATCGTCTGTGGCTTATTATCTTTTTTTTGATTTCCAGAATTGCTTCTTTTTACACTTTATCTGGTCAGTAGCCTATGTTCTTTTCTTGGGATGTGGAACTGAACATTTATCACTGACTAAAATGTAGTGGATTCTGGAGGGAGCCAGCACAGAAAGCTCTGAAAGTAGCTTACATCTGTTCCGAGTACAGCTCCTTACCTTCCTAGCCTTCTGTTGAGCCCTTGTCACTTTGTAGCTCTGCTCCTTAAGCCTGTGATAGATACAGTGTTTTGAAAAAGTTTGGACCTAATTTAAGAATTCTTCATGGAGTTGGAAATAGATACCTCAAAACAATTTAGGAGTTTTTAAAAAGGCATACACATATCACTTATATCATCTCCACTTCCCTTCAGAATTTTACGGATGGGAGGAGTGTGAAGGGGGTAGATGTATTTTGGAAACAAATTCCCTTGATTAATTTGGTTCACCACTGGCTTCCACTTCAGAGTGGAAGTGCCTTGGTCTAATTCAAGGCTCTAGCACTTGTGGTATGAAGCAGTAACAGTAGTTTCAGCTTTAGAGAAAGGGCTGCCAAATCTACTAATTTACTAATACTTTTATAGCTCAATAAATTGTCACCATTTCATGTCATAGCTAGGATAGCTTTTTTTTTTCTTTTTTTGAGACGTAGTTTCACTTTTGTTGCCCTGGCTGGAGTGCAGTGGCGCGATCTGGGCTCACAGCAACCTCTGCCTCCCGGGTTCAAGCCATTTTCCTGCCCCAGCCTCCGGAGTAGCTGGGATTACAGGCATGTGCCACCACGCCCGGCTAATTTTGCATTTTTTTTAGTAGAGACGGGATTTCTCCAAGTTGGTCAGGCTGGTCTCGAACTCCGGACGTCAGGTGATCCGCCTGCCTCGGCCTCCATAAGTGCTGGGATTACAGGTGTGAGCCACTGCACCCAGCCTGTCATAGCTAGGATAGTTTTTCTAGCCGGGAGCTGGAGTTGCCAGAAATGAAAATTGTGCTGAATGTTTTGGTTTGGATTAGTTCTTACTTGGCACTTAGCTGCTTTCCATAAATCAAACTAATTTATTTCATGATTCAGACCTGTGCTAATTTGTATAGACATTTATATCCTATTCTCTTACTGTCCCTGAAAGCTATCTAGTTCTAGAATTAAACTAAAATTGGAAAATAAGAGTTGGAGTAATTCAAGGTCCTTTTCTGATAATGCTATATGATGAATATATGCATTAATCTTTGCATTAACATTCACTCAGTAATATATACTAAAAGTTGGCATTGCAAATATGTTTACCTTGACTTGGGTCCAGTTTAGAAACTTACGGTTCATCTTTGTGAATTCTAGACTTTCTGTTTGGGTATCTGGCTGCCATGGAGACAAATCTGAGAAAAAGTATGAGTAGATTTTAATTTTAGAGAAAAGCATAAAAACTCAATTATGTAATATATTAAGAGGTGTGACTTTGATTATTTATAGAATTATAGTACTTTCTAGGTTTGAAATATAACTGCCAAAAAAGTGGTCATAAAATATGGTAAGTGGCATCAATTTATTGAATGGCAAAGCATGGTTTACAGAATATCTGTTTTGTCCTATTTTGACACATGAAACTTCAAACAGTGTTAGAATCAAATTTATCCATCACCTTTGTCATTTTGAATACTTAACTGTTGATAGTGCTTGATTCTTTTTTTTTTTCTGGTGAGAAGATACTAATATATATACTTAGAATTAGCCAGCCGAACTCAGTTTAGATGATCCCAATTTTGTTGACAACCTCCAAAGCATCATAATCAGGAGCCAGTCAAACATAAGCCTTCTTCTCTTCATCAGGTCTGATCAGGGTCTTGATCTTGGCTCATCAATGTTATGGAGCTTCTTTGTAGCCTATTTGACCTGGTGCTTGTTGGCTTTAACATCCACAATGAACACAAATATGTTGTCTTCTATCTTCTTCATGGTGAACTCTGGTCAGCAGGAACTTGATGATGGTATAGTGGTCAAGCTTCTTTCTCCTTGTATCCTGCTATCTTACAAGGATATTTGGGCTGCCTATGGGGCTGCAGTGCCTTGGGCCACCGGGACGTGGGTGACTTGCGGATCTTCTTTTTTTGTGTATGTGTTTGATGCCACTTACCATATTTTATGACTACTTTCAGCCTTTCAGCACTGCTTTCTTGGCCTTCAAAGCCTTTGCTTTGGCTTCTGCTTTAAGATGGGTAGGAGCTTCCTTTTTCGCCTTCGGCACTATCTTGTGAAAACAGTCTCCCTGATTCTTAATTAATATAGACTTGTTAGCTACTAAGACTTGCCAATTAACCTCCTTAAATTCCTTTCCATATTATATATAAAATGGATGAGAGAGGCAAGTTAGATACTGAGCAGGTACTGAAAGTTATAATTTTTCCATATTCTTTTGTATTGGGGCTTTTTAATCTGTGTATTCGTTCTTTATTTATTTATTAGTTTATACTTTTTAAATGAAAAAAGGTGTGGGGATGGGAGAGAGTATACTACTGTCCTTTCTACATTATAGGGTGACTGTAAGACTCAAATAGAAAACATAGTGGCTGGGCACAGTGGCTCACGCCTGTAATCCCAGCATCTCGGGAGGCCGAGGTGAGCAGATCACTTGAGGTCAGGATTTCGAGACCAGCCTGGCCAACATGGTGAAACCCTGTCTCTACTAAAAATACAAAAGTTAGCTGGGCACGGTGGTGCACACCTGTAGTGCTAGCTACTGGAATGGCTGAGGCAGGAAAATTGCTTGAACCTAGGAAGTGGAGGTTGCAGTGAGCCAAGATTGTGTGCACTCCAGCCTGGGCGATGAAGTGAGACTCTGTCTCCAAAGAAAAAAAAAAAAGAAAAGAAAACATGAAGGGCTTTTATAAAATCTAAAGTTAATTTGAATTTGCAGTATTTTACAGTATCTGCTATTTATGGAAAATACTAGGGGAAATGAATATAAAACTTAAGACTCAAATGTTTCTGTTCCTTAAGGTTCTGAATCTTCTCTCATTTTATGCTTTGTTACTCTGTGATTTTTTTATTTAATTAGCATCCAAATATGATGGTTCTCAATCTGTGTCTCTAATCCAGAGCTTTCCCTTTAACTTTAGTTCCTATTCTATACATGTAATTGCCTGCTAGATGAAGATGAGCTACAGGTCCTTCAACTATAATATGTTTAAAAGTGAATTCATGTTTTCCCTTTTGTCATCTTTCTAACCTGCTGGAGCTGGAACCCTGATGTTATCTATCTTTAACCCTTACGCTTCATCTGAGCAATGCTAGGTTCTGTTGACTTTACCTTCTTACTCTTTCTTTGATTCCATTTACTTCTCTCAATTTCTGTAGCTGCTAGAAATATTATGAAGAATTAGGGCCTAGAGGCAACTATCTAGATTAGAATCCTAGCTCCGCTATTTACATCTCAGTGTCCTTATCTTTAGAAATAGAGTTATACAAGCCAACAATTGCAGTCTTGGGCATTTGTTCCAGAGAAACTGAAACTTACATTCATATAAAAACCTGTGTGAATTCTCATAGCATCTTTATTCCTAATAGCCAAAAACTGGAAACCTAAATGTTCTTCAACAGGTTAAATAGACTATAGTGCATCTATATCATGGACTGCTATGCAGCAATAAAAAGGAATGGACTGTTAATAAAATGTAACAACTTGAATGGGTCTCAAGTGAAAAAAATCTCAAAATTGCATATTCCATGATTCCATTTATATAACATTCTTGAAATACTAAAAATAAAGAGATAGAGAACAGATTCGTGGTTGCCATGGTTTAGGTATCAAGGAGAGGGGAGTGGGTGGGACTACAAGAGTGTCTTGGTGACAGAACAGTTCTGTATCTTGATTGTGATGGTAATTACATGAGTCTACCTATGTGATAAAATTGCATAGAGCTATACACACACGTATACATGAGTGCTTGTAAAACTGGTTAGATCTGAGTAAACTTTGTAGACTGTAGCAATGTCAATTTCCTGGTCTTGATATTTTACTGTAGTTATTCAAGGTGTTCCCATTGAGGGAAAATGGGCAAAGGGTACATGAGACCTGTTGGCAGTTTTTTTTGCAACTTCCTGTGAGTCTATAATTTCAAAATTAAAAGTTTTTAAGAAGAATTGTTAGGATTAAATGAGCAGATACACAGAAGATTTTTTTCCAGAGAATTAAATCGTTTATTGATTACACATGATAATGGATGATACACAAGCTTCATTCCCATCTATAATTTTATCTGGTACCATTATTCAATTTAGATATATTGCATAGGATGTGCCAACAATCACTTTTATAACCAATAATTCCATGATTTTGCTTGGGTAATCCCTTTTAATGGTGAACTTCAGGTCACAACAGTAACTATCAGTTCAACTACACCAAGGTTTCCGAAGACAATAGCTTCTCCACCCAAGCAGGTTGTATATAAATTCCAAATAGAACCTGGCATCACCCTGAAGGAATTCTAACTTCACACTGTTGGGGAAATTTACCAAGATGGCTTCAGAGTAGACTAACTTTACACAGCACATTAAAAAAAAAGACATTTATTCAGCGTCACGATCAGACTATTACATTTAGCAATCAACAGCATGGGTGCAAAAAAAAAAATCTACATTAAAACCCTTTGTTGGAATGCTTTACACTTTCCACAGAACAGAAACTAAAATAACCTGTTATACAATTAGTCACAAATACAGTCCTCGAGTTTTTTGCCCATACACATGAGTATTTGTCTAAAACATGTCTTCTTTGTAGCAGCTAGGCCCTGCCACCACTGTGCTTGGCTGAGTTCACAAATCTGTTGTAACCTGTAGCTTCCCTGTCACTTCTCTGGCTCTCCTCTCCTGCTAAGCTTTGTTTCCTAATTAAAATCTTCTGCCACTGCCATAGCTACTGCTACTGCTGGAACCGCCATAGCCACCTTAGTTTCGTGGTTTTGCAAAGTATTGGCCTCCACCGCCATAGGGGCCAGAGCTTCTGCCTCCAAAATTTCCTCCCTTCACGGGTCCAAAATTTGAAGACTGATTTTTGTAATTGCCAAAATCATTGTAGCTTCCACCACCTCCAAAATGGCTTCCATCATTACCAAATCCATTATAGCCATCCCCACTGCCATCATATCCACCACCACCACGGCTGCCACCAAAGCCACCATGACCACTGAAGTTTCTTCCATGACCAAAGT
Source organism: Homo sapiens (assembly GCF_000001405.40). NCBI lineage: Eukaryota > Metazoa > Chordata > Mammalia > Primates > Hominidae > Homo > Homo sapiens. The sequence goes on along the minus strand of NC_000002.12, from coordinate 201,063,731 downwards.
TGTCATTCCCACTGAAACCACCTCCACGACCACCACCAAAGTTTCCAGAACCACTTCGACCTCTTTGGCTAGATGAAGCACTAGTCATCTCTTGCTTTGACAGGGCTTTTCTAACTTCACAGTTGTGGCCATTCACAGTGTGGTATTTCTGAATGACAATCTTATCCACGGAGTCATGGTCATCAAAGGTTACAAAGGCAAAGCCCCTTTTCTTCCCACTGCCTCGGTCAGTCATGATTTCAATCACTTCAATTTTTCCATACTGTTCAAAATAATCTCTTAGGTGATGTTCTTCAGTGTCTTCTTTAATGCCACCAACAAATATCTTTTTCACAGTTAAGTGGGCACCTGGTCTTTGAGAATCTTCTCTCGAGACAGCTCTCTTTGGTTCCACGACTCTTCCATCCACCTTCTGTGGCCTTGCATTCATAGCTGCCTCCACCTCCTTCACAGTGGCATATGTGACAAACCCAAAGCCCGTGGAGCACTTGGTGTTTGGATCTCTCATTACCACACAGTCTGTGAGCGTTCCCCGTTGCTCAAAATGGCTCCTCAGGCTCTCATCGGTTGTTTCAAAGCTCAACCCTCCAATGAAGAGCTTCCTCAGCTGTTCGGGCTCTTTAGGAGACTCTGACTTAGACATGACGGCAGGGTGAAGAGAGACTTTAACGATGCTTCTTCGGCGGCGTCCACGGGCAGAAAGGAGAAGATTTTTATTATAGTACTTGATGCATAATAAATGTTAGCTGCTATTAATAGTAATAGCAGCAGCAGCAGCAGTAGTAGTTGTTCAGGCCTCTAACCTCTCAGTAGGCCTCTCACTAGGACCATTTCAACAGTTGCCGTATATATATGTTTATATATATTATATATATAAATCTAATTAATATATTTAATAATTATTATTATTTTTGGAGACAGGGTCTCACTCTGTTGCCCAGGCTGGAGTGCAGTGGTGCGATTATAGCTCACTGCAGCCTCAACCTCCTGAACTCAAATGATCCTCCCATCTCTGCCTCTTGAGTAGCTGGGATTACAGGCGCTTGCTACCACTCCTGGCTAATGTTTTTTTTTTTTTTGTGAGACAGAGTCTCGCTCTGTTGCCCAGGCTGGAGTGCAGTGGCGCGATCTCAGCTCACTGCAAGCTCTGCCTCCCAGGTTCATGCCATACTCCTGCCTCAGCCTCCCAAGTAGCTGGGACTACAGGTGCCCGCCACCACCACGCCTGGCTAATTTTTTGTATTTTTATTAAAGACGGGGTTTCACCATGTTAGCCAGGATGCTCTCGATCTCCTGACCTTGTGATCTGCCTGCCTCGGCCTCCCAAAGTGCTGGGATTACAGGTGTGAGCCACCGCGCCCGGCCTCATTTTTGTATTTTTAATAGAGACAGGATATGTTGGCCAGGCTGGTCTTGAATTCCTGACCTCAAGTGATCCACCCTTTTCAGCCTCCCAAAGTGCCAGGATTACAGGCTGGAGCCACCATGTCTGGCCAGATTTCTATTATAATATAGTAATTTCCTCCCACCAGTTTTGCCAGTTGATCTTTTATTAAAGATAGTATACCTTTGTATTTGTATTCCATAATATTACAATATGTGCTTTTACTTTATTTTATAATTTTTTGAGACAGGGTCTTGCTTTGTTGCTCAGACTGGAGTGCAGTTGTGTGATCGTGGTTCACTGCAGCCTCGACCTCCCAGGCTCAAGCAGTCCTCCCTCCTCAGCCTCCCAAGTATTTGGGACCACAGGCATGCACCACCATGCCCAGTTGATTTTGTCCTTTTTATAGAGACGAAGTCTTGCTTTGTTGCTCAGGCTGGTCTCAAACTTCTGGGCTCAAGTGATCTGCCTGCCTTGGCCTCCCAAAGTGCTGTGATTACAGGTGTAAGCCACTGCACCTGGCCAGAATGTGTACTGTTTTATGCAAGTCTGTTGGGTAGGCCACAGAGAGATCAGTTTATTTTCCGTTTTCTTTAAGAATGAAAAACAGTCTAAAAAATGACAGTCAGTAAAATAATTTGTGAAAAGATTTTTCTGAATTAAATTTTAAATTTAAAAATTTAAAAATTTTCTTATTCAATAAAAATAAAAAAAAAAAAACTATAAGTATGAAAGACTTCAAGTGGCAGCCAGGAAGAACTGGTTCAAAGTATTTATGAAGTATAAATAGAAAAGTCTGTATAATATGCAGGAAAATCAGCCTTAATTGATTATGATTGTTGTGCTACAGCAGTGTTTTTTTAAAACTTGAAGGAGGTTAATCTGTAGAAGAGTCAACTATTTTATTTTATTTTTTTTTTCAGATGGAGTTTCGCTCTCCCAGGCTGGAGTGCAATGCTGCAGTCTCTGCTTACTGCAACCTCCACCTCCCGGGTTCAAGCGATTCTTCTGCCTCAGCCTCCCAAGTAGCTGGGGTTAAAGGCATGTGCCACCATGCTTGGCTAATTATTAGTATTTAGTAGAGACAGGGTTTCACTATGTTAGGCTGGTTTCGAACTCCTGACCTCAGGTGATCCACCCACCTTGGCCTCCCAAAGTGCTGGGATTACGGGCATGAGCCACCACCACACCCAGCCAACTTTTTTTTTTTTTAATTTGAACAAGTTTTAAACAGCTAGTTGAACATCTTCCATTAAAATGTTCCTTTTTTTTTTTGATAAACTATTTATTTTCTTAACCCATTATTTTCATGTAATTTGGCTTTTCCAGTTACAGTTTTGTAAGCCACATTGCCTTTTTAGAACATAACTACCAACTGTTGGCAAAAAATTACAGTACTGTAGTATGAAATTTGTTAGTGTACTAAAGTACTCTAAACATCCATCCATATGTTGTACTCTCCAAGAGTAGAATCTCTTTTTTCAGTCTTGCTTCCTACTCTACCCCTCCCATTTCAGTAGAAATATCTTATACTTTATGAACATTAAGTTGAGGCATAGCTGAGATGGCTGTTGGTGTTTTAGAATACAAATTTGTTGCTGGAGTCTCTTTTTTGCTTTATCAGTTAGGAATTGTGTTTGGCTGCCGGAAACAGAGATAAGAAATAACCATTGCTTAAAGTAGTTAATTTGGTAAAAAAAATTCAGACGTAGGAGATCTAGGGCCTATATGGCAACTCTGTGGAGTTGTCAAGGGCACAGGCTGCTTCTGTCTTCTTCTTTCGCCATCTTTAGCATGTGTCTTCTACTTTCAAGATTACCTAATGGTTGCTGGACCTCCAGCCATCACATTTATGTTCTAGGCAGAAGAAAGGAGGAAGAAAGGCATAGACAAAAGGGCTATATCTCTCATCTTTTAAAAAAACCTCTCTAGAATTTCCTACACAACACTTCTTCTGATCTCATTGACTGAAACATAGTCATTTGGCTATACTTAGCTACAGGTAAGGTTCAGAAATGGCTTTTAGCTGGTCATACAAACTAGATTAGTGAGAGTGGAGTAAGGATCTATATTGGATGGAAACTAGTAATCTTTGACATACTTGCTCCTTATCTTCTATACTGTATCTGCTGCTGACCGCCTAGTAGTGCTGTTAAGCTCTTCATTCAATAGACATGAATTAAGTGCTAACTATGTACTAGGTCCTGTTAAGAACCGGAAATGCAAATGCAAGTGAGGCATACTCCCTGCCCCAGAAAAGTTGTGGTTTAGTAAGAAGAACCCCCCCCCCCCCGCTTTTTTTTTAGACAGAGTTTTGCTGTTGTTGCCTAGGCTGGAGAGCAGTGGCGCAATCTCGGCTCACTGCAACCTCCGCCTCCCGGGTTCAAGTGATTCTCCACCTCAGCCTCCCAAGTAGCTGGGATTACAGGCATGTGCCACTACGCTGGCTAATTTTTGTATTTTTAGTAGAGACGGGGTTTCACCATGTTGGCCAGGCTGGTCTTCAACTTTTGACCTCAGGTGATCCACCCGCCTCGGCCTCCCAAAGTGCGAGGATTACAGGCATGAGCCACTGCACCCAGTCAATAAGAGGGCTCTTCAACCTGCACACAGGTCTTTGACAACATAAGATGTTGAGTACTATGGGCTGTTGTGACTATGATTCTGCCCACCCCATCAATTTATGAGGCTTAAGAGGGAGAAGGGGAGAGGCCTTCTTTGGAAGGGGAGTATTAATGGAAAGAAACTATTCCCTGCTCTGTGAGGGGAAAGGAAAGGGTTTTTTCCTTCCCAAAAGTCAAGATAAGGAGGTCCTGAAAGAGTCACTCTCTGTCATTAAGAAGAGAGATTTACATTTGCTCTTTGGTTGGGTATCTGCCTAGCCACCAATCTCACTTATATGCCCCTGTTCTACTGAAGAAGACATGGTAATGGAATGCCTGATACCAGGGCCAGGCATTCCCATCTATAACTTGGATTCCTGTTCTGAGAGGTATAAGAGATGGATTCTGCATATATCCTTAGGTCATTCTGAACAAGTCAGGAACTATATTCATCAGGGTTTTCCAGAGAAACAGAACCAATAAGGTTGTGTGTGATTTATTATAAGGTTTATTATAGGAATTGGCTTACACAATTTAGGAGGCTGACAAGTCCCGAGATCTGCAGGGTAGTTGGCAAGCTGGAGACTCAGGAGACCTGACTGTATAGTTCCAGTCAGACACAGTCCAAAGTCCTGAGAACCAGAGATAACATAGTAGCAGTCACTCAGGCTTGAGACTCTGAAGAGCTAATGTTTCAGTTTGAGTTTGAAGGCTGGAGAAAGCCAATGTCCTTAGGCAGGAGGAACTGACTCTCTACTTGGGGGAGGCTTAGCCTTTTTGTCTGTTCAGGCTTTCCACTGATTAAATGACATCCACCACATTAGGAAAGGCAGTCTGCTTTACTCAGTCTATAGATTTAAATGTTAATCTCATATGGAAACACCCAGAAAAATGTTTAGCTAAATATATGGAGATGAGATTGGAAACATTTTTATCCAGGGTAGAATGGAAGCTCTCTGACCAGAGAAAAGTGTCATGACATAGTGATAAGAAACAAATGTAATTCGATATGAAAATTTCTGTGATTTCTTTTTTTTTCTTGAGATGGGGTCTGGCCCTGTTTCCCAGGCTGGAGGCCAATGGTGCAATCTTGGATTACTGCAACCTCCACCTCCCAGGTTCAGGTGATTCTCATGCTTCACCTTCCTGGGTAGCTGGGACTACAGGCATGCGCCACGATGCCTGGCTAATTTTGTATTTTTAGTAGAGACGGGGTTTCACCATGTTGGCCAGGCTGGTCTCCTGACCTCAAGCGATCCACCCGCCTTGGCTTCCCAAAGTGCTGGGATTACAGGCGTGAGCCGCTGTGCTGGGCCTAATACCTGTGATTTCTATTGGTGACCAAATCACAAAAATATTATGGCTGGTTGTTTTATTGTTTTGCCTATACTCACAATCTAATGACATTATAAATGTTAGTTAGAGATTGGTAAAAAGTGATACAATTTTCTTCTTATCAAAGTTTATGAGTTTTATTATAGATCCCTGGGGGTCTGTGGACGCTATGTTGAGAACTTCTGTGTGAAGAGGAAGGAGAGGGCTTTGAATTGATGCAGGGTTGTATGCTATGGAAAAGATTCATAGAGGAGGCAACTGTTGGTCTGAGTGTTGGAAGAAGGGGAGGGTAGTTAGGATAGAGGGTAGTTGAAAGGCATTCCAGAGAGGAATGTAGCATAAGAAAATGTGTGAGGTGTGAGACAGCCTGGCATATTGTGAAATTGTAGATCAGCATTGGTGAGGGGAAGTCTGTGTTGAGCCAGGGTATAATTTCTATTCTTGCTGACAAGACCATTTTGTTCACGTGCCTGTTGAGCAAATACTGGTTACAAAGGCCATTTAGCCAAACCGATAGATCCATATCTTTGGTCTCTTCAGGTATAGTGAACAACGAGATACTGTTTGAAGTTTTGCCTACTGGGAGTTCCCTTTCTCCTGTCCTGTAGGGCTACTTCTCTGTAAGGTCAATGCCAGCAGACTGTATGCAACCATGTATAAACCAGGCCTAAGTTTTTTTTTTTCCTTCTTTCCTTTGATCTTAGGGAACTCTACAAGGCCATAGATTAAGGAAGAGTTGATTAGTAGAAGTAAGTGCCATGGGTGTCTCAGCCATTTGTTCTTCTAGCTTATTTGTGCTTTTGGAGCCTGCTCTAACCTCATTACAACCATTGTAGTCAGGATTACTTGGTTATGTAGTGGTAACAACCAACCTTCAAATAAAGGCTTAAAATTTGAAAAAGAGAGATTTGTTTCCTCTCATGTAAAATCTGGTGCAAGCTGGGTGATTCCAGGCAGCTGTTCTTCATTTGATGGGTCAGCATTGCATATCTATATTTATCTCTGCTTCTATTATCATAGTGACGAGAAGAACAGGCTGGAGAATTGCATACTGGCACATAAATGTTTCTACAGAAATGATTTCTGCTCTTTGGTCAAAGAAAGTCATAAGGTCACATTTGACTTAAAGAGGATAGACAAATATAGTCCTCCCTTGTTCCCTTGAAAGTTCATATCTGACACACTATCACTTCCATTTCATCATGGAATGCTGCCAGCACATATAGCTTTATGGCTTGGAGGATCGGAACACTCACTTCTTGAAAGTATGTCAGGTCACATGGTCAGTCTCTGCTGGTGCTCAAAAGCCAAGCAAGGAGCTATTTCTCAAAAGAAGAGCAATCATCTGCAGAGAGGGCATAGCTCTCTTCAGAAGCAGTAGTTCTCATGCAGGGGCACACTTGACAATGTTTAGAGACATTTTGTTGGTCCAATTCAGGGCATTGCTATTGGCATGTAATAGGAAGAGGGCAGGGATGCTGCTAAACATCCTACCATGTAAAAGACAGCCTTTCACAATGTCAAGGGTGACCAAAATGCCAATAGTGCCAAGGTTAAGAAATCCTGCTTTAGATGGACTTAAGTGCCTGGTGGTCTGTGTTGTGATTCTTCTAGCAGGGCCTACTGGTAGCTTTATACAGCTACTTTATCATCTACCACAGACGCTTTGAATACCACCGAATTTGCTGGATATTAAGGCCCAAATGGCAGAGCATCTTTTTTTTTTTTTTTTTTTGAGATGGAGTTTCACTCTTGTTACCCAGGCTGGAGTGCAATGGCATGATCTTTGCTCACCGCAACCTCCGCCTCCCGGGTTCAAGCAATTCTCCTGCCTCAGCCTCCGGAGTAGCTGGGATTATAGGCATGCACCACCACGCCTGGCTAATTTTGTATTTTTAGTAGAGATGGGGTTTCTTCATGTTGGTCAGGCTGGTCTCGAACTCCCAACCTCAGGTGATCCGTCTGCCTCAGCCTCGCAAAGTGCTAGGATTACAGGCGTAAGCCACTGCGCCCGGCTGGCAGAGCATCTTATACTGCTACCTTGACCTCTTGCCTTCTCATGTCCTAGGCCCCATTTAAAACTGGCAGCTATTAATGAATTATTCAGGAAATGGGCAGAGCATCACACTAAATATGGTTTATGTTATTTCTAGAATTTAAAGAGTTCCACTGTGCACAGTGCTTCATTTTATTTTATTTTATTTATTTTTTTTTTTGAGACGGAGTCTCGCACTCTTGCCCAGGTTGGAGTGCAGTGGCGCCATCTCGGCTCACTGCAAGCTCCACCTCCCAGGTTCATGCCATTCTCCTGCCTCAGCCTCCTGAGTAGCTGGGACTACAGGCTACAGGCGCCTGCCACCACCCCGGCTAATTTTTTGTATTTTTAGTAGAGACGGGGTTTCACCGTGTTAGCCAGGATGGTCTCGATCTCCTGACCTTGTGATCCACCCGCCTCGGCCTCCCAAAGTGCTGGGATTACAGGTGTGAGCCACCGTGCCCAGCTATTTTTATTTTAGAGATAGGGTCTTTCTATGTTGCCCAAGCTGGTCTTGAACTACTGGCCTCAAATGATCCTCCCACATCAGCCACCCGAGTAGCTAGGATTACAGGCATAAGCCACTGCTCCCAGCATTGTGCTTCTTTCTAAGTGGTGGTGGCAGGCTGAGCTATGATAACTTGTCCTTCATTTTTATTTTTATGTTTTTATTTTTAGAGACAGGGTTTCACTCTGTCACCCATGCTGGGGTGCAGTGGCATGATTGTAGCTCAATGTAACCTCAAACTCTGGGCTTAAGTGATCCTCTCACCTCAGTCCCTGGAGTAGCTGGAACTATAGGTGCTCACTACCATGGCCTGTTAATTTTTGTATTTTTTATTGAGACAGGGTTTTGCCATGTTGCCCAGGCTGGTCTCAAACTCCTGGGCTCAAATGATTTGGCTTCCTCGGCCTCCCAAAGTGCTGGGATTACAGGTGTGAGCCCCTACGCCTAGCCTAGAATTTTAGTGTTTGTTTTTTTTTTTTTTTTCGAGATGGAATTTCGCTCTTGTTGCCCAGGCTGTAGTGCAATGGTGCGATCTCGGCTCACCGTGAGTTTTAGTTTTACAAGATGAAAAGAGTATGGTGATGGTTGGACAACATTATGAATGTATTTAATACTACTGAAATGTACATTAAAAATGGTTAAGATGGTAAATTTTTTTACCACAATAAAAAAAATTGAGGAAAAAACACAAAAGAAAAAAAGATGCCAATATTTCAAATATTTTTGCCTTTAGGAAGAACTTATTATGAACTGTGTCAGTTAACTAAGTAAGGAATACTTTTAGAGGTTAAAAATGCCACGAAATCCAGACACTGCATTTCTTGACTCAACTCTTTGAATACCAACCGCTTTAAACATTTATTTATTCAGTATTTGAAAGGTTTATTCTAAAATTCAACATAGGCTAGGTACAGTGGCTCATGCCTGTAATCCCAGCACTTTGGGAGGCCAAGTCAGGAGGATTGCTTGATGCCCAGAGTTTAAGACCAGCCTGGGCAACACAGCAAGAACTCATCTCTGAAAATTAAAATTAAAAAAATTCGACATGTTTTCTTGGAATTTATTTTTGACTTTAATTTTGTGCCTACATACCTAAATAGGTTATATATCCAATATGTTTTTAGGTTCTTTGGTGTTGGATACTACTTTTTATGGGGGAAAATTTTTTTTTTACTTGAAATACAAGGAATGGATCCTTTCCTCCCTCCACCCCTATGTCACTAAATGGGAGTAAATTGTACTTAAGATATGCCCAAGCTTTAGCACCCAGAATGTAGTCTTTAAAATATTATTTCCTACTAAAAGGGGTTCCTTGGAGAAATGTCTGGTTCTAGGCCTAAGGCAGGATTTGTAGAAGGTAAGTCTGGAACTTCTTGTCCTAGCAGGAAGCTAGGAGGTTATCTTCATTTACTAGGTTTATGTCAAAAGGGCTTAGGAGCTTTGTAGAGGGTCCCTCAAGACCATTCCCACATTTCATGATTTCCAAGATTGACTCTCAGGACTCAAGTCATTTTATTCACAGTTATAGTTTATTGCAATGAGATGATACAAGGCAAAATCAGCAAAGCGAAAGGCATATGGAATGAAGTCTGGAAGAAACCAAGCTCAAGCTTGCAAGAATCCTCTCCCAGTAGAATTGGAAAAGATGCCATTAATTCTCCAGTAATGAGTTGTGTGCACAGCCTCAGATTAGCCCCTAATGAGATTTTAAGGGCTTCTCCGATTATTCCTGAGCATGCGTATAGCACTGGGTACACATCCCTTTGCATAAATATGACCTTCTGGATTCCCAGGAAGTTGTTGGAGCTTTTCAGAGTCTTTTATGGACATCTCATTCCCCAGCTTTTCTTTTCTGGGTTTTTTGTTTGTTTGTTTTTGAGGTAAGGTTTGTTTGTTTGTTTTTGAGATGGAGTCTCGCTCTGTCATCCAGGATCAAGTACAGTGGTGCAATCTCAGCTCACTGCAACCTCTGCCTCCTGGGTTCAAACGATTCTCCTACTTCAGCCTCCCAAGTAGCTGGGATTACAGGTGCTCGCCACCATGCCCGGCGAATTTTTTGTATTTTTAGTAGAGACAGGGTTTCACCATGTTAGCCAGGATGGTCTTGATCTCCTGACCTCGTGATCCACCCGCCTCAGCCTCCCAAAGTGCTGGGATTACAGGTGTGAGCCACCACGCCCGGCTTGGGCAGTTCTTTTTCTGATCTTCCCTGAGATTACTCATGTCATTTGATTGGGACTGTTATTTAAGATGGCTTCACTCACACATTTGTTGGGTAGTGCTGGCTGTTGGCTGGCCTATGTCTATTCATTAGGCTAGCTTTGGCTTCTTCACATGGCTGCTAGATTTTAAAAGTAGAAAGAAGGGCAAGCTCCAGTATGCAAGCACTTTTCAAACCTTTGCATTACGTGGGATAGTTTCGCATTCCTATAAATGTTTTTGAGCTCTGCTCTGGGATGCAGTTACATTTATTTGAAAATAGTTCCAGATTTTGATTTTACAGATCACCTGAGTTCAGGAGTTCGAGACCAGCCTGGCCAATATGGTGAAACCCCGCTTCTACTAAAAATACAAAAATTAGCTGGGCGTGGTGGTGGGCACCTATAATCCCAGCTACTTGAGAGGCCGAGGCTGGAGAATCACTTGAACCCAGGAGGCGGAGGTTGCAGTGACTGGAGATTGCGCCATTGTGCTCCAGCCTGGTTGACAAGAGCGAAATTCCGTCTCAAAAAAAAAAAAATTTTAAGATTTAATAGATAGTACTGGATCTGTGTTCACTGTAGGGGTAGTAAGTCCCCATTACTTAGGAAGAACTCTTATGTGTACTTGACCCCATCCTCAATGGAATTGGTGAGAAGCGGCACTATTTCTGGCCCTGTGTAAGTTCTGGACACTGCTACCTCTAATCTTTCTGGTGCTTCTTTTCCTGGCTTCTGGTAGTTTCCTCACACACACAGTGTGCTGATCAGTTTTCGTTTGACTACTAGAGAGGGATCCTTTGCAGATCTTCAGAGTTCGTTTTCAGTACAGCTCTCCACATTACGCTGTCCTCTAACACTTTGGTCTACCTGTACTCTTAGCTCTGCCTCCTTAACTCAGAGAGTCTACCAGGTTTCACTTGCCTTTCTCTTCCTTACCCTGCAGCCTGGAAAGTCTTGAGGAAGGAAGTTGAGGCAACTTCATTGTTCTTTACTGTCTGTGCCCAGTGTAATGAAAACTGTGTTTCATGTACTTTCTTTCTTTCTTTTTTCTTTTTCTTTTGAGACAGAGTCTCACTCTTGTCTAGGCTGCAGTGCAGTGGCACAGTCACGGCTCACTGCAGCCTCAACCTCCCAGGTTCAAGTGATCTTCCCACCTCAGCCTCCTGAGTAGCTGGGACTACAGGCTTGTGCCACCATGCCCGGCTAATTTTTAAAATTTTTTTTGCAGAGACGAGGTCTCACGGTGTTGGCCAAGGTGGTCTCAAACTCTTGGGCTCAAGCAGTCCTCCTGCCTTGGCCTCCCAGAGTGCTGGGATAACAAGCGTGAGCCACTGTGACCTGCCTTTGTTTCATATTTTCTTCCGTGTTTTTTTCTTCCCCCCCTCCTGTTGCCCAGGCTGGAGTGCAGTGGCGTGATCTCGGCTCACTGCAGCCTCGCCTCCTGGGCTCAAGTGATTCTCCTGCCTCTGCCTCCTGAATAGCTGGCACTACAGGTGCGTACCACTGCACTGGGCTAGTTTTTGTATTTTTAATAGGGATGGGGTTTCACTATGTCGCACAAGTTAGCCTCGAACTCCTGAGTTCAAGTGGTCCACCCGCCTTGCCCTCCAAAAGTGCTAGGATTACAGGCATGAGCCACCACATCGGGCCCTCTTCCATGTCTTAAATTCAGGCAAGAAGGTAAATTCACTTTCTGTCACTCCATCTTGTTGAGAAATAGAAGGCCCTTCTCTCCTCACACTTTTCTCCTTCCTTAGTATTAGGCTCATGATTGAGGATTGGGGTGTTCTCTATGGTCTTGGTACAATCTCAGTTTTGGGCTGGTTTTTGTGCCAGGACCTTACAGTTTTCCTGCCCCCACCCCACACAATGACAGATTAGGCAATACATATGCTTAATACCAAGGTAGTGATTAATTGAGGGAGAACTGACATCTTTATGAGTCTTCCCAACTCATGAACATGGTATATCCTCCGCTTTATTTACACCATCTTTATTTTCTCTCGAAAATGTTTTCTTGTTTTCATTGTAGAGGTCTTATACATCTTTTGTTAGATTTATTTCTAGTCTTATTTTTTAATGCTGTTGTAAGATGCATTTTTAAAAATTTGTGGCTGGTTTATAGAAACAATTGATTTTTTGTATATTAACCTTATATTCAGAAACTTAGATAAATTCACTTATTTTAATAATCTATAGAGTCTTTTGGGTTTTCTTGGTGTATAATTATATCATCTGTGAGTAATAGCATTTCTTCCTTTCCAGTCCTTATTCTTTTTGTTTTTCTTGCTTTACTGTACTAGCTAGGCCTTCCAGTACAATGTTGAATAGAAGTGGTGATAATGGTCATCTCTGTCTTGTTTTCAACCTCAGAGGGTAAAGTTTTCAATATTTTACCATTGTGATACTTGCTATAGGCTTTTTACGGATATTCTTTATGAATTTTTCAATAGGTTATATCATAACTGAATATTGAATGTGTCATGCTTTTCCTGTACCTATTTGGATGATCACATGAATTTTCTCCTGAACTGCCGTTATATGCCTGGAGTAAATTCCTTTTTATATATGGTATTCTTTATATATAGTACTAGATTTAATTTGCTAATTCATTGATATTTTTGCCTCTGTGTTCATAAGAGAAATTAGTGTGTGATTTTCCTTCCTTGTAATGTCTGTGTTAATTTTTGTTATAGCTATACTGGGTTTGTTTGTTTGTTTGTTTGTTTTGAGACGGAGTCTTGCTCTGTCCCCCCAGGCTGGAGTGCAGTGGTGCGATCTCAGCTCACTGCAACCTCCGCCTCCTGGGTTCAAGCGATTCTCCTGCCTCAGCCTCCCAAACAGCTGGGATTACAGGCACCCACCACCACACCTGGCTAATTTTTATATTTTTAGTAGAGACGGGGTTTCACCATGTTTGGCCAGGCTGGTCTCGAACTCCTGACCTTAAGTGATCTGCCTGCCTCAGCCTCCCAAAGTACTGGGATTATAGACATGAGCCACTGTGTCTGGCTATTATAATGGTTCTTAAAAATAGGAAGTCTTTATTCCTTTTTTTTTTTTTTTCTTTTTTTGAGACAGGGTCTTGCTGTGTCACCCAGGCTGGAGTGCAGTGGCGTGATCTCGGCCCACTGTAACCTCTGCCTACTGGGTTCAAGAGATTCTCCCTCCTCAGCATATTTATTATTTTCTGTTCTCTGGAAGACTTTAATAAGCTTGGTGTGGTTTCTCCCGTAATTGAAAGAATTCACTAGTGAAACCATCTTTACTTGAGATTTTCTTTAAGGAAAGATTTTTAATAATACATTCCATTTCTTTATTTGCTTTGGGGCTATTTGGATATTCTGTTTCTTTCAGCATTAGTAATTTAATTTATATTTTTTAAGAAATGTGTCCGTTTTATACTGACATGGTTTTTTTTGTTTGTTTTGGGGGGAATTTTTTTTTTTTTTGAGACAGGGTGTCACTCTGTTGCCCAGGCTAGAGTGTTGTGGCACAGTTATGGCTCACTACAGCCTTAAACTCGTGGGCTCAAGCAATCCTCCCACCTCACAGGCTCTTGAGTAGCTGGGACCACAGGTGTGTGTCACCACACCCAGCTTATTTTTTTTATTTTTTGTAGAGATTTCTTCTTTGACCTATAGATAATTTAGGAATGTAGTTTTAGGCCAGGTGCAGTGGCTCACGCCTGTAATCCCAGCACTTTGGCAGGCTGAGGCAGGAGGATTGCCTGAGCCCAGGAGTTCAAGACCTGCCTGGGCAATATGGTGAGACGCTATCTCTATTTAATTTTAAATTTAAAAAATAAAAAAGAAATGTAATTTTAATTTTCCAGGTAGTTGGTGTTTTTCTAGGTTTTTCTTTATTATTTTTGTTATTGTTGTTAATGATTTGTAGCTTATTTTTGTTGTGGTTAGAAACCATACTTTGCATGCCATCATCTTTTTTGAAGTATGTTGAAACTTCTCTTGTGGCTGACTATGCAGGGAGTCTTTGAAAAGAATTCAAATTTTTGCCAGGTGCGGTGGCTTACGCCTGTAATCTCAGCACTTTGGAAGGCCAAGGCGGGTGGATCACGAGGTCAGAGGATCGAGACCACCCTGGCCAACGTGGTGAAACCCCGTCTCTACTAAAAATTAAAAAAAAAAAAAAACCGGGGTGGTGGCACGCGCCTGTATTCCCAGCTACTCGGGGGGCTGAGGCAGGAGAATCTTTTGAACCCCGGGAGGCGGAGGTTGCAGTGAGCCAAGATCGCGCCAGTGCACTCCAGCCTGGGCGATAGAGCGAGACTCCGTCTCAAAAAAAAAGAAAAGAAAAAAGAAAAGAATTCAAATTGTGTAGTTGCTAGTTACAGTGTTCTGTATTAGTCATTTTGGTTGGTTGTTAATTGCACCATTCAGATCTTACTGATTTTTGGTTGCTTTTTCTGTCAATTTGCTGAGAGAGATGTGGGTCTCCAACTATTATTATGGCTTTATCTTTTTCTCCTTTTAATTCTGCAAATTTTTGCTTTATGTTTTTGTTTTCTTTTTTTTTTTTTTTAAGACAGAGTCTTACTCAGTTGCCAAGGTGGGAGTGCAGTGGTATGATCATGGCCTACTGCAGCCTTGACCTCCTGGGCTCAAGTGATCCTCCCAGCCTCCCAAGTAGCTGGGACTACAGGCACACACCACCACACCCTGGTTGTTGTTTTTTTGTTTGTTTGTTTGTTTGTTTTGTAGATAATGGGTTTCGCCATGTTGCCCAGACTGGTCTTGAACTCCTGAGCTCAAGCCTCCCAAAATGCTGTAATCATAGGCTTGAGCCGCCATGCCCTGCTGCTTTATGTATTTTGAGGTTACTGGGTACATATAAGTTTATGATTGTGGTACCTTCCTGTTGGATTGATCCCTTCATTAATATTACTTTAATCTCTAATAATCATCCTTGCCATAAATTCTAAATCTTTCTCTGAAATTAGTGTGTCTTTTTTAAGGACTGTGCTTCTTGTTTAATCCAGTCTGACAAAATTCGTCTTTTACTAGAAGAATTTTTTCTACATCGGGGTATCTACTCTTTTGGCTTCCCTGGGTCATACTGGAAGCAGAAGAATTGTCTTGGGCCATACATAAAATACACTAACACGAATGATAGCTGATGAGCTTAAAAAAAAAAAAAAATTGCAAAAAAAATTGCAAAAAAAAAATCTCATCATGTTTTAAGAAAGTTTACAAATTTGTGTCGGGCCATATTCAAAGCCCTCCCTGGGCTGTGAGTTGGACAAGCTTGGTCTATATACTGTAATATAATTATTAATATAGTTGGGTTTATATGTATAATCTTACTGTCATTTGCTATTTGTCCCATCTGGTTTTTTTTCCTATTTCTTGCCTGCTTTTAGATTAAATATTATATTTTCCTTCTAACTTGTTTGATATATGTATATAATTTTGTTGTAATGGTTATCCTAGAAATTACAACTTCCTTCTTTAACTTTTTACAGTATAATACAAACTATTACTATTACTAGTGTCACACAACTGCTAAAATCTTAGAACCTTTAAACCTTATAAGGCATTTCAGTTACTGTTTTGAACTGTCACTATTAACATTTCCTTATACTGTTTACCCCGATATATATATTTTTTATGCCCCAGAACTGAGCGGATGATATTGTTTATTTCTTCCTACATTTCCATGTTTATGATTTAGGATAATTTCCTTCTGTCTGAATAATTCCTTTTAAGTTTCTTTTAGTACAGGCTTGAAGGTGAGATTTTTTTTTTTTTTTTTTTTGCAAATTTTAAAATTTCACCTTTATTTTTGAAGGATAGTTTTGCTGGGCATAGTATTCTAGATTAGCAGTTATTTTCTCTTTGGCCCTTTAACAGTGTTATTCTATTATATTTTGGCTTCTGTTGTTTCTGTTGAGAAATTTGTGAGTCTTACTGTTTTTTGAAGAGCAACTCTTTTTTTTTTCCTATGGCTGCTTTTTTATGATTTTTTTCTCCATCCTTACTTCTTCCCTTCCTTCTCTAGTTTACGGCATCCTGGGTAGAATTTTCTTTTAATATGTCCTGCTTGGTGTTGGCAGAGCGTTCTGAATTTCTAGATTGATTTCTGTCATCAGTTTTTGAAAACTCCCAGTTATTCTTTCTTAGAATATTGCATTTATCAATTTATCTACTTTTCTAGGACTTCTGTTTTATATGTGTGTGTGTATATATATATATATATATATGAGAACTGTGACACACACACACACATTAGACATTGTGAGTGTGCATCACATTTCTCTTAAACCTCTCCCTCTCCTCCTTTCACTACTTTCCCTTTCCCCTTCCTCTCTCTTCCATTCTTTTCCCTTTATGCTTCAGTTTGGGTATTTTTTTATTGATTTGTCTTCTAGTTTACTCATCCTGTATTCTGCTGTGTCTCATTTGCTCTAAGACCAATATATTAAATTCTTCAGATTATGAGACTGATGTGCTGCCGGCTGCACTGAGAGGGCTCTATATTGAGTTCTTAATTTCACATATTGTATTTTTCGGTTCTAGAGTGCTTATTTAATTATTTTTGTAGTTCCTAATCCATTAGTGAAATGTTGCATCTTCAGCAGTTTTGTACATTTCCCCTTCTATTTTCTATTAATCAGGATTACTTTAAATAATTGTCCTTGTGTGTTAACTTCATTTTACAATTATCTGTGAGTCTGATTCTCTTGTCTAGTTTTCTCTTAATTATTGGTCACTTTTTTTATCCCTTTGTATTTTTAGTAATTTTTAAATTGTGTGCCAGACTTTGTATATGAAAGAACCATAGAGGTGCTATGCAGTGTTCCCAGTAGGGATCACATTTTTCTCTGTTGCACAAATTGGTAAGGACCTAATTACCTTCAACCAGACAGGGATTGAGCTATTTTAGGGTTGTCTTAAAGTTTAATAAACTCATTGTTCTTGTCATTTGGCCTTTTTCTTTGTCACTTTTTAAACTGAGAGTCTACTGAGTATCTATCTCCTTGGCCCTGAAGTCTGTGGGAGATTTGTCTCTGTAGAGATTCCCCACATAGCCATTCTGCCTATAGACTGCTTCAAAAATTTGGCAGTCATCTTGGTGGTTGTGGTTCAAAATTCCCAAGGTACAAAAAGAGAGTCTTTCCCACCCTATTTCCATGATATCAAGTGCCCCTTCTCAAAGTACTACCAGTCTCTTTTGTGTCTTTCCAGAGATACTCCCTTAGCCCTTTTCAAGTTCTTCCCCCCCACTGCAGAACCTTCTCATAAAACAAAACTCACATGTGAAAGCCCAGTGTATGAGATAAAGTGTCAGCTGCTGTGGTGGAGTAGGGGGTCCTGACACATCTTCAGTTAAAATAATTCTAAGAGAATTTTATCACAGTATTCTTTGTATCAAAGAAAGGTAGAGCATAATGTAGTCAGCAAACACATGAAAATAGTTATTACTTTCTAAGAAAAGTCTCCATTTTAGCAATTTGAAAATGATTCTGACAAAATCTTTTAATGTGTTTTTCTGCCAAAAATTCAGTAAGAGCATTTTTTGTGTTCTTTTCTAAAAAAGATAAGTTTTTCAGTTATGTGAAACCCATCCAAAATAATTTTGTAGCTTATGATACTTATTATTTAAGCTTGGTTTTATACTGCATATTACGATTTTAATGAGGGTATTTTTAAAATGATTGTGTGTTTGTGTGTCTGTGTATGAGAGAGAGAGAAAGAAAAATCACTGTAACATGTTTCAAAAGAGTCATAGAATTTTTGTCTGGAAGGGACTTAATTTTACAAATAATGCAAGTGAGGCTCCAGATAATTTAAGTAATCTACTCAAGGTCTTATAGATAATTAATGGCAAATTTGAAATTAAAATTCAGACTTTCTGTCTTCAAAATAATGCTTTTTAATTAGGTTTGATAAAGGTATACAAGTATGCTAGTTATTACAGAAATGTTTTGGATCTATAATTATTTCTTAAAATTAGATAAGCTATATTGTAAATGCCTATCAAAACTGTTCTTTGTATTACATTCTTGAGAATATTACCTCAATATTTCAGTTTTCTATTTTTATTTTTTATAGAATTGGAAAATATTTAACTCTTAACAAATGAATTCCCCACTTGAACTCTGCCGAATTCCTGTGCCACCTCCTCCTTTAGAAAACTGATCTTAATACAGGTAAAATTAAGACTTTAACTTTTTAAAGGATAAAGAATAAATTTTCTATATCATTAGACATGTTAGCATTTTTGGTAATCTTTGCTGGATAGCTTCTATTTATTGAGCAGTTTTACCTAACATAATGACATCTTAATTATTGCCTTTGAATTCTATTTTGAAAGTTTTTCCCTTTTATAAATGTGTTTTTTAAAAACCTTTCTGTTATCTAAACTTTATTGAAGAATTGAATTTACTCAGCATAATTGCATTATCCGGCTACATCTAGATCGATGCTGTCCAATAGAACTTCTTTGATGATGGCTATATTCTATATCTGTGCCGTCCAATATAGGAGACTCTAGCCACAAGTAGCTTCCTATTTTAGTCAGTGCAGCTCTGGGCTTTGCCTTAGGAAATTTGGTAATTATACTAATAGTATGTCTTAAATGCCTAAGTTTTAGACTTACACCTTGAAATATCTTCATAGTTGTTGGTCAAGTTTGAAAATTAGCAGTAGCAAAACCATCACTGGCTATTTCATATGTTGTCCTGATAATTGTATAGCTTGGTTTATCCCATAATTTTGATCCACAAGAAACCTTTGAGAGCACTTACCACAGTTAGTTTTGCTCACTGTTGTATCTTTAACATTTTACTTGGTACCTAGCATGTAATTGGTATTCACAGTGCATATTAGTTGAAAGAATGGATGAATAATCTCTGTACTATAAAGGAAAAAAATGCCTCCTAAATTGTTCAAACCATTAAATAATTATATTGATAATATTTCTATAATAATAATAGTAGCAAGCATCCATTGAAGACTTATGTTGTACAGTCACTGTTCTAAGTAAGACCTTACGTGTGTTGATTTATCAGATCTTTAAAAATAAACCTTTGTCATAGCGACATGCATTATTCTCATTTTATAAGTAAGGAATTTGAAGACAGAGATTACTTAAGTAGCTTTCCCAAGGACACATATTATTGTACTTAGAGAGCTTGGACAAAAACTGTGAGTTTTCTTCCCTGCAAGTAGTTCTTTACCTTCTTCAGATCACATTCCAGCAGCTTATTATTTTGTTCATTATGTTGTAGTTAGGGCTTGCTAATAAAGGTTGCCATTACCATCTCTGGTACAGTGGTGCACACTTGTAATCCTAGCTCTAATCCCAAGGCGGGAGGATTGCTTGGGGCCAGGAGTTCAAAACCAGCCTGGGCAATGTAGCAAGAACTCATCTCTAAATAATGGTAATACTATTAATAATAAAAAGGTCATCATTGTCATAGTTATCATAAAGATAGTCATTTTCTGTGATAGCCTCTTTGTTATACATTCTGGAACTAAGGCAGTATGGATCTGAATTAAGCTGCATGCTGGAATATCAGCTTGAGTTCTTTTAAGTATAGTTTTTACCAGGTGATGTAATATACAGTAGGAGAAATGATCTTCAGAATTTTATATTTTATGGTTAGATAAACAGAAAGGTTGCAAGTCCAGGCACTGTAGCGTATGCTGTAATCTCAGCTATTCAGGAGGCTGAGGTGGGAGGATTGTTTGAGCCCAGGAGTTCAAGACCAGCTGGGGCAAGATAGCGAGACCCCATCTCAAAAAATAAAAGATAGCTTGCAGTCTATTTGTAGCTGTGCTCTGTAGATATCTCTATGTACTAAGAGTGCTGTGCCTGGTTAGAAAATACATGTTTGGCCAGGCGCGGTGGCTCACACCTGTAATCCCAGCACTTTGGGAGGCTGAGGCGGGTGGATCACGAGGTCAGGAGATCGAGACCATCCTGGCTAGCACAGTGAATCCCTGTCTCTACTAAAAATACAAAAAATTAGCCAGGCATGGTGGCAGGCGCCTGTAGTCCCAGGTACTCGGGAGGCTGAGGCAGGAGAATGGCGTGAACCTGGGAGACGGAGCTTGCAGTGAGCTGAGATCACGCCACTGCACTCTAGCCTAGGCAACAGAGTGAGACTCTGTCTCAAAAAAAAAAAAAAGAAAAAAAGAAAATATATGTTTACAGAATTTCTCTGTAACCAGTACTATTCTATTTTTCTTTCTTTTTTTTTTTTTTTTTAGTATTTATTGATCATTCTTGGGTGTTTCTCGGAGAGGAGGATTTGGCAGGGTCATAGGACAATAGTGGAGGGAAGGTCAGCAGATAAACATGTGAACAAAGGTCTCTGGTTTTCCTAGGCAGAGGGCCCTGCCACCTTCCGCAGTGTTTGTGTCCCTGGGTAGTTGAGATTAGGGAGTGGTGATGACTCTTAAGGAGTATTCTGCCTTCAAGCATCTGTTTAACAAAGCACAACTTGCACCGCCCTTAATCCATTTAACCCTTAGTGGACACAGCTCATGTTTCAGAGAGCACGGGGTTGGGGGTAAGGTTATAGATTAACAGCATCCCAAGGCAGAAGAATTTTTCCTAGTACAGAACGAAATGGAGTCTCCTATGTCTACTTCTTTCTACACAGACACAATAACAGTCTGATCTCTCTTTTCCCCACATTTCCCCCTTTTCTATTCCACAAAACCGCCATTGTCATCATGGCCCATTCTCAATGAGCTGTTGGGTACACCTCCCAGACGGGGTGGCGGCCGGGCAGAGGGGCTCCTCACTTCCCAGACGGGGCGGCCGGGCAGAGGGGCCCCCCCACCTCCCAGACGGGGTGGCGGCCGGGCAGAGGGGCTCCCCACTTCCCAGACTGGGTGGCTGGGCAGAGGCGCCCCCCACCTCCCAGACGGGGCGGCGGGCGGGGGCTGCCCCCCACCTCCCGGACGGGGCGGCTGGCCGGGCGGGGGCTGCCCCCCAGCTCCCGGACTGGGCGGCTGCCGGGCGGAGACGCTCCTCACTTCCCGGATGGGGCGGCTGCCAGGCGGAGGGGCTCCCCCAGACGGGGCGGCTGCTGGGCGGATGGGCTCCTCACTTCTCAGACGGGGCGGCTGGTCAGAGACGCTCCTCACCTCCCAGACGGGGTGGCGGCGGGGCAGAGACACTCCTCAGTTCCCAGACGGGGTCGCGGCGGGGCAGAGGCACTCTTCACATCTCAGACGGGGCGGTGGGGCAGAGGTGCTCCCCACATCCCAGATGATGGGCGGCCGGGCAGAGACGCTCCTCACTTCCTAGATGGGGTGGCGGCCGGGCAGAGGCTGCAATCTCAGCACTTTGGGAGGCCAAGGCAGGCGGCTGGGAGGTGTAGGTTGTAGCGATCCGAGATCACGCCACTGCACTCCAGCCTGGGCAACATTGAGCATTGAGTGAGCGAGACTCCGTCTGCAATCCCGGCACCTCGGGAGGCCGAGGCTGGCAGACCACTCGCGGTCAGGAGCTGGAGACCAGCCCGGCCAACACGGCGAAACCCTGTCTCCACCAAAAAATACG
The DNA here is from genome assembly GCF_000001405.40 of Homo sapiens. Lineage (NCBI taxonomy): Eukaryota > Metazoa > Chordata > Mammalia > Primates > Hominidae > Homo > Homo sapiens. The sequence continues at coordinate 201,042,127 of NC_000002.12, read as the reverse complement.
AAAACCAGTCAGGTGTGGCGGCATGTGCCTGCAATCCCAGGCACTTGGCAGTCTGAGGCAGGAGAATCAGGCAGGGAGGCTGCAGTGAGCCGAGATGGCGGCAGTACAGTCCAGCCTCGGCTCGGCATCAGAGGGAGACTGTGCAAAGGGGAGAGGAGGACCGTGCAAAGGGGAGGGGGAGGGGGAGAGAGACTATTCTATTTTTCAAATGAAGGTACTAAAATATATTTTTAGGATTTTAGAGTTGGAAAATAACTAATCATTGTAGGAAACTGAAGCCCAAAGGGTTTAAATGAGTTGTCTGAGGACATATAAACAGTATGGTTCATTGACTATATATATGTTTTTTAAGTACCCGTCTTACATCCAGAAATCATAGTATCTTTGTTAGCTTTGAATGCATAGTAGTGAGCAATGCAAAAATGTACCCTGTTCTCTTGGAATTTACAATCCAGTGGGGAGATGGACAATTAGTAAGTAATGAGGTCTGATAAAGAAGTTACAAACCCCGAAGTTCTAGGCAGGAAATAAATCTTGTGTTGGAATGGAAAATACTGGGGAATGGAAGAAGAGCTGCTATTTACATAAAGTGGTTCAGAAAGGCTGCTGAGACTTACAAGATCAGAAGGAGCCAGCCACTTAAGTAGCAGGAGCAGGACAGCATTCTAGGCTGGAACAGCCTGCACAGATGTGCTGGAGTTAAGGTGCACGTAAAGCTGTAGAGAAACTCAAAGGAGAGTATGGCCAGAACATAGAAAGCTGTGGGGAGAGTAGTATGAACCATAAGACAGGGACCAGATTGCATAGTGCCTTTTTCAATCATAGATTTCAAAATTATGGCATTAGATTCAAATCTGAGTTCTGCCACTTAAACTGTGTTACCTTGTATAGGTCACACACCCATTTACACTTTAATTTTCTTATCTATTAGATGAGAATAACAAGCTACTTCATAGGACATAGTATCATGGAGATTATATAATGCTTATAGCAAACACTTATGTAATGTTTATCTTGTGATAAGAACTGTTCTAAGTATACAAAAACTATATGAAGTAGGTACCGCTATTCCCAGTTTTGAAATGAGGGACAGCGGGTTTGAGTATAGCTAGTAAGAGGGTACAAGGGTTTAAACATAGCTAGTAAGTGACCTTAACCTTAGGCAACCTTGCTCCAGGGTTTGTGATCAAAATGTGATCCTCAGGATCCTTTAAGGGGGTCCATAAGGTCAAAACTATTTTTCATATTAATATAAAGACAGTATTTGCCATCTTCACTGTCATTCTGTCATAAATATACAGTGAGGTTTTTCTGCAACAGATTGAATGCAGAAGCAATTATGAGGCTGGGCACAGTGGCTCACGCCTGTAATCACAGCGTTTTGGGAGGCTGAGGCAGGTGGATCACTTGAGGTCAGGAGTCCGAGACCAGCCTGGCCAACATGGTGAAACCCCATCTGTACTAAAAATAAAAAAATTAGCCGGATATGGTGGTGCATGCCTGTGATCCCAGCTACTCGGAGGCTGAGGCAGAATTGCTTGAATCTGGGAGGTGGAGGTTGCAGTGAGCTGAGATTTTGCCACTGCACTCCAGCCTGGGCAACAGAGACTTTGTCTCAAAAAAATGAACAAACAAAAAAAAATTATGAGATTCACAAAAAAAAAAAAACAAAAGCAATAACAACAAAATGCTATTCTCAATTTGTTTTTGTTTTAGAAGAACATAATTTTCACCTTAAAATGTTAACATGTAATAGGCTTATTTTCAAATGAATTAATAAATGAACTTTTTTAATGAAAGAAATTCTGAGGCCAAAAAAAGCTGAGAACTGCTGCTGTACACCACTACATTGTGCCACCTGTTGTTAAATCAGATAAAATATAGGAAACACCTGGTACCATGTTTATACTTAATAGGCTCGCTAGTAATTTATTTCCTCACTTTTTTTTTTTTTTTGAGACAGAGTCTCACTCTGTCGCCAGGCTAGAGTGCAGTGGCGCGGTCTCGGCTCACTGCAACCTCTGCCTCCTGGGTTCAAGCAATTCTCTGCCCCAGCCTCCCAAGTAGCTGGGATTACAGGCATCCACCACCACGCCTGGCTAATTGTTTGTATTTTTAGTAGAGACGGGGTTTCACCGTGTTGGCCAGGATGGTCTCGATCTCCTGACCTTGTGATCTGCCCACCTCGGCCTCCCAAAGTGCTGGGATTACAGGCGTGAGCCACTGTGCCCAGCCTATTTCCTCACTTTTAAGACACATTTTTTTTTCACATTTTGATATTTTTAGAAATTGAGGTGTGACTTGTCTGAAGAAACTTTTCAGCGACCAGCCAAGTAAATTGTGAAGTAGTAGTAGTCATCTATACTTGGTATTTCTAGAATTTAACTTTATGTATTCTTTTATTCAGTTAGTTGGTATTAGCGGCACCATGTGGGGTTGAAATATTAATTGGATTTGTGTCCCTAATTGTTGTTTAAAATATCTGCTGTATATCACTGTATGATACAGCTTTGAAATGAACAATTATCTCAGTAGAAGATTGCCTGACCGAAAAAAAGACAACAAAATTGCCAAATCATTCAGTCTCTTATATCAAACCTTGGCAAGGTTAGTGTTACTAATTCATGCATCTGGGACAACATCTACTTGTCAAAAATTTCTGGACGATATTTGAAGAAGGTATTTAACTTCCATTTGGTATTTAGTTTTCCAAGTAAAATTATAAAGTTTAACTTAGAAAACAGAAATCTCAGGTTTTGTTATGGCCAGAAATAACACTGTCAGTGCTGAAGGTGCTCAAAATCAACAGATGATTGGATGCCTGCTATATGCCTGTCACTTGGGATACAGTGCCTGTCCCTGTAAAGTACAGATTCCAGTAGAAAAGACAGACATTAAGTAAACAAATAACGTTAATTACAGATTATGCTAAATGCTATGAAGAAAATGGGCAGAGTAATGGGGTTGGAGGGAGGAGGAAGGTAGAGGTAGCTGATTAAAGTATATAGGGAAAGGTTCTATAAGGAGGTGATACATGAACTGAGTCTATTCCAGCCATATACAGAGCTGGGAGAGAATGCCAGGTGTCAGGTACAAAGACCAAAGGTGGCCAGAAACATAAAGGATAATTTTTAAAAAGTGGCATGTGGTTCTGTGGAAGACCTTATACGCTTGTCTTTTAGTTAAGCTTTTTTTTTTTAATCAACAATTTGCAAGTCTTTTTCTTTTTTTTAATTATACTTTAAGTTTTAGAGTACATGTGCACAACATGCAGGTTTGTTACGTATGTATACATGTGCCATGTTGGTGTACTGCACCCACTAACTCATCATTTAACATTAGGTATATCTCCTAATGCTATCCCTCCCCTCTCCCCCTACCCCACAACAGGCCCCGGTGTGTGATGTTCCCCTTCCTGTGTCGATGTGTTTTCATTGTTCCAATTCCCACCTATGAGTGAGAACATGTGGTGTTTGGTTTTTTGTCCTTGCGATAGTTTGCTGAGAATGATGGTTTCCAGCTTCTTCCATGTCCCTACAAAGGACATGAACTCATCCTTTTTTATGGCTGCATAGTATTCCATAGTGTATATGTGCCACATTTTCTTAATCTAGTCTATCATTGATGGACATTTGGGTTGGTTCCAAGTCTTTGCTGTTGTGAATAGTGCCGCAGTAAACATACATGTGAATGTGTCTTTATAGCAGCATGGTTTATATTCCTTTGGGTATATACCCAGCAATAGGATGGCTGGGTCAAATGGTATTTCTAGTTCTAGATCCCTGAGGAATCGCCACACTGACTTCCACAATGGTTGAACTAGTTTACAGTCCCACCAACAGTGTAAAAGTGTTCCTATTTCTCCACATCCTCTCCAGTACCTGTTGTTTCCTGACTTTGTAATGATCGCCATTCTAACTGGTGTAAGATGGTATCTCATTGTGGTTTTGATTTGCATTACTCTGATGGCCAGTGATGATGAGCATTTTTTCATGTGTCTTTTGGCTGCATAAATGTCTTCTTTTGAGAAGTGTCTGTTCATATTCTTTGCCCACTTTTTGATGGGGTTGTTTGTTTTTTTCTTGTAAATTTGTTTGAGTTCATTGTAGATTCTGGATATTAGCCCTTTGTCAGATGGGAAGATTGCAAAAATTTTCTCTCATTCTGTAGGTTGCCTGTTCACTCTGATGGTAGTTTCTTTTGCTGTGCAGAAGCTCTTTAGTTTAATTAGATCCCATTTGTCAATTTTGGCTTTTGTTGCCATTACTTTTGGTGTTTTAGACATGAAGTCCTTGCCCATGCCTATGTCCTGAATGGTATTGCCTAGGTTTTCTTCTAGGGTTTTTATGGTTTTAGGTCTAACATTTAAGTCTTTAATCCATCTTGAATTAATTTTTGTATAAGGTATAAGGAAGGCATCCAGATTCAGCTTTCTACTTATGGCTAGCCAGTTTTCCCAGCACCATTTATTAAATAAAGAATCCTTTCCCCATTTCTTGTTTTTGTCAGGTTTGTCAAAGATCAGATAGTTGTAGATATGTGGCATTATTTCTGAGGGCTCTGTTCTGTTCCATTGGTCTATATCTCTCTTTTGGTACCAGTACCATGCTGTTTTGGTTACTGTAGCCTTGTAGTATAGTTTGAAGTCAGGTAGTGTGATGCCTCCAGCTTTGTTCTTTTGGCTTAGGATTGACTTGGCAATGCGGGCTCTTTTTTGGTTCCATGTGAACTTTAAAGTAGTTTTTTCCAATTCTGTGAAGAAGGTCATTGGTAGCTTGATGGGGATGGCAATGAATGTATAAATTACCTTGGGCAGTATGGCCATTTTCACGATATTGATTCTTCCTACCCATGAGCATGGAATGTTCTTCCATTTTTTTATGCCCTCTTTTATTTCATTGAGCAGTGGTTTGTAGTTCTTGAAGAAGTCCTTCACATGTCTTGTAAGTTGGATTCCTAGATATTTTATTCTCTTTGAAGCAATTGTGAATGGGAGTTCACTCATGATTTGGCTCTGTTTGTCTGTTATTGGTGTATAAGAATGCTTGTGATTTTTGCACATTGATTTTGTATCCTGAGACTTTGCTGAAGTTGCTTATCAGCTTAAGGAGATTTTGGGCAGAGACGATGGGGTTTTCTAGATATACAATCATGTCATCTGCAAACAGGGACAATTTGACTTCCTCTTTTCCTAGTTGAATACCCTTTATTTCTTTCTCTTGCCTGATTGCCCTGGCCAGAACTTCCAACACTATGTTGAATAGGAGTGGTGAGAGAGGGCATCCCTATCTTGTGCCAGTTTTCAAAGGGAATGCTTCCAGTTTTTGTCCATTCAGTATGATATTGGCTGTGGGTTTGTCATAGATAGCTCTTATTATTTTGAGATATGTTCCATCAGTATCTAATTTATTGAGAGTTTTTAGCATGAAGGGTTGTTGAATTTTGTCAAAGGCCTTTTCTGCATCTATTGAGATAATCATGTGGTTTTTGTCTTTGGTTCTGTTTATATGCTGGATTACTTTTATTGATTTGCGTTTGTTGAACCAGCCTTGCATCCCAGGGATGAAGCCCACTTGATCATGGTGGATAAGCTTTTTGATGTGTTGCTGGATTCGGTTTGCCAGTATTTTATTGAGGATTTTTGCATTGATGTTCACATCAGGGATATTGGTCTAAAATTTTCTTTTTTTGTTGTGTCTCTGCCAGGCTTTGGTATCAGGATGATGCTGGCCTCATAAAATGAGTTAGGGAGGATTCCCTCTTTTTCTGTTGATTGGAATAGTTTTAGAAGGAATGGTACCAGCTCCTCCTTATACCTCTGGTAGAATTTGGCTGTGAATCCATTTAGTCCTGGACTCTTTTTGATTGGTAAGCTATTAATTATTGCCTCAATTTCAGAGCCTGTTATTGGTCAATTCAGAGATTCAGCTTCTTCCTGGTTTAGTCTTGGGAGGGTATATGTGTCCAGGAATTTATCCATTTCTTCTAGATTTTCTAGTTTGTTTGTGTAGAGGTGTTTATAATATTCTCTGATGGTAGTTTGTATTTCTGTGGGATCGGTGGTGATATCCCCTTTATCATTTTTTATTGCATCTATTTGGAGGCACCCCCCCAGTAGGGACAGACTGACACCTCACACGGCCGGGTACTCCTCTGAGACAAAACTTCCAGAGGAACGATCAGGCAGCAACATTTGCTGTTCACCAATATCCGCTGTTCTGCAGCCTCCACTGCTGATATCCAGGCAAACAGGGTCTGGAGTGGACCTCCGGCAAACTCCAACAGACCTGCAGCTGAGGGTCCTGACTATTAGAAGGAAAATTAACTAACAGAAAGGACATCCACACCAAAACCCCATCTGAACGTCACCATCATCAAAGACCAAAGGTAGATAAAACCACAAAGATGGGGAAAAAACAGAGCAGAAAAACTGAAAATTCTAAAAATCAGAGCACCTCTCCTCCTCCAAAGGAACGCAGCTCCTCACCAGCAATGGAACAAAGCTGGACGGAGAATGACTTTGATGAGTTGAGAGAAGAAGGCTTCAGACGATCAGACTACTCCGAGCTAAAGGAGGAAGTTCGAACCCGTGGCAAAGAAGTTAAAAACCTTGAAAAAAGATTAGATGAATGGCTAACTAGAATAACCAATGCAGAGAAGTCCTTAAAGGACCTGATGGAGCTGAAAACCACGGCACGAGAACGACGTGACGAATGCACAAGCCTCAGTAGCCGATTCAATCAACTGGAAGAAAGGGTATCAGTGATGGAAGATGAAATGAATGAAATGAAGCGAAAAGAGAAGTTTAGAGAAAAAAGAATAAAAAGAAACGAACAAAGCCTCCAAGAAATATGGGACTATATGAAAAGACCAAATCTACGTCTGATTGGTGTACCTGAAAGTGACGGGGAGAATGGAACCAAGTTGGAAAACACTCTGCAGGAGATTATCCAGGAGAACTTCCCCAATCTAGCAAGGCAGGCCAACATTCAAATTCAGGAAATACAGAGAACGCCACAAAGATACTCCTCAAGAGGAGCAACTCCAAGACACATAATTGTCAGATTCACCAAAGTTGAAATGAAGGAAAAAATGTGAAGGACAGCCAGAGAGAAAGGTCGGGTTGCCCACAAAGGGAAGCCCATCAGACTAACAGCGGATCTCTCAGCAGAAACTCTACAAGCCAGAAGAGAGTGGGGGCCAATATTCAACATTCTTAAAGAAAAGAATTTTCAACCCAGAATTTCATATCCAGCCAAACTAAGCTTCATAAGTGAAGGAGAAATAAAATACAGACAAGCGAATGCTGAGAGATTTTGTCACCACCAGGCCTGCCCTAAAAGAGCTCCTGAAGGAAGCAGTAAACATGGAAAGGAACAACCGGTACCAGCCACTGCAAAAACATGCCAAATTGTAAAGACCATTGAGGCTAGGAAGAAACTGCATCAACTAACGAGCAAAATAACCAGCTAACATCATAATGACAGGATCAAATTCACACATAACAATATTAACCTTAAATGTAAATGGGCTAAATCCTCCAATTAAAAGACATAGACTGGCAAATTGGATAAAGAGTCAAGACCCATCAGTGTGCTGTATTCAGGAGACCCATCTCATGTGCAGAGACACACATAGGCTCAAAATAAAGGGATGGAGGAAGATCTACCCAGCAAATGGAAAACAAAAAAAAGCAGGGGTTGCAATCCTAGTTTCTGATAAAACAGACTTTAAACCAACAAAGATCAGAAGAGACAAAGAAGGCCATTACATAATGGTAAAGGGATCAATTCAACAAGAAGAGCTAACTATCCTAAATATATATGCACCCAAAACAGAAGCACCCAGATTTAGTTAAGCTTTTTGTTTTCTTTTTCATAAAATATTATTTCATATTGTCTTTTAAAGTACTTAATAAATTACTGTCTTAAAACTAGTAGTATTTTTATAGAGTTGGGAAATATGTGTTATGATTATAATTAATACCACTATATTTCTCTATTTAAAGGTATTTCATTTTTAGTCATTTTTTTAAGTGGTATGGGTGGAAACTATAGATATTTAATGTGCTAAATTTGTGGTTATAGGAAAGATCAAATAGGAATTTAAAATAGTAATTTAGCCTGGAGATGGTACTTTTTTTTTTTTTTTAAACTAGAGGATGGTCATCAGGATTACTTGAGGGACTTTTCCAAAATAAATATTCTGGACCCTATATCAGACAGGGATTCTGATAAAGTATATATCAAATTAAAAGATTTGTGTTGCTTTTTAAAAAGTATTTGGCTTGGCTGGGTGCAGTGGCTCATGCCTGTAATTTCAGCACTTTGAGAGGCCGAGATGGGAAGAGTGCTTGAGCCCAGGAGTGAGACCAATCTGGGCAACATAGGAAAACCCGCTCTCTATATACAACAAAAAAAATTGGGCTGGGTGCCGTCGCTTACACCTGTAATCCCAGCACTTTGGGAGGCCGAGGCGGGCAGATCACGAGGTCAGGAGATCGAGACCATACCGGCTAACATGGTGAAACCCCATCTCTACTAAAAATACAAAAAAATTAGCCGGGCGTGGTGGCGGGCGCCTGTAGTCCCAGCTACTTGGGAGGCTGAGGCAGGAGAATGGCGTGAACCCGGGAGGCGGAGCTTGCAGTGAGCCGAGATCGCGCCACTGCACTCCAGTCTGGGCGATAGAGGGAGACTCCGTCTCAAAAAATAAAATAAAATAAAATAAAATAAAATAAAATAAAATAAAATAAATTAGCCAAGCATGGTGGCACATGCCTATAGTACCAGCTACTTAGGGGGCTGAGGTGTGAAGATTGCTTGAGCCTGGAAAGTCAAGGCTGTGAGGCTGCAGTGAGCCCTGATTGTGTCACTGCATTCCAGCCTGGGAAACAGAGAGAGATCTCATCTCTCTCTCTCTCTCTCTCTCACACACACACACACACACACACACACACACACACACATACACACACATACAAATAGCTTTTTGATTTCTAAAGGCAGTTTATGTTCTTTAGAGAACATTTGAAAAAAAATGGACCAATTGTAGTTTTTTCTTGCCCTTTTCAGTAAAGTAGTAATATACATTTAAAAAAAAAACAAATGCCTTGTAGTTAGCTAAAAGATGACTTGTTTATACATTTCTCCTAAAACATAGACTTCTTGATTTAAACCATTTAAAATGTTTTGAATAATTATAATTATCTAAAAAACTTTTAATTTTGATGTTTAAAAAATGTTTTTGTAGCCTGGGCAACATAGTAAGACCCTGTCTCTACAAAAAACAAAATTATAAAAAATTAGCCAGGCGTAGTGGCACACGTGTATAATCTCAGCTACTCAGGAGGCTGAGGCAGGAGGATCAACTGAGCCAAGGAGTTTGAGACTACAGTGAGCTATGATTGCACCACTGCAGTCCAGCTGAGGTGACAGAGACCTGTCTCTAAAAAAAAAGTTCTTAATTTTTGTGTAACAATAACTAGTTAGAAAAGATAATGGAAGCGAATCTCAATCGTAATTGCATCAAAATATAAAAACCACGTAGGAATTAATTGGAAATTGTGTTGACCTCTATGAAGAAAATACAAAATTTATACTAAGACATATGAAAGAAGATTTTTAAGAAAGAGCAGTGCTGTGCTTCTCTGTGGGATAACTCAGTATTGTGAAGATGTAATTTGGAATTAATTTATAAATTCTCCTGAGGATAGGATGTGGGGAAGGAATTTATTATCAAAAGTCTAATATTCATCTTCAAGAATAAGGCAGGCAATAATGATGAAATATATTTTTAGAAAAAATGAATTAGGATAAAGCTTGTACTGTTATATATTAAAGTATATTATAAAATGACAGTAAATAGGCTGGGCGTGGTGGCTGACACCTGTAATCCCAGGACTGTGGGAGGCCAAGGCAGACTGATCACTTGAAGTCAGGAGTTCGAGACCAGCTTGGGCAACATGGTGAAACCCCATCTCTACCAAAAATACAAAAAATTAGCCGGGCATGGTGGCACATGCCTGTAATCCCAGATACTCGGGAGGCTGAGGCGGGAGAATTGCTTGAATCCGGGAGGTGGAGGTTGCAGTGATCGAGATTGTGCCACTACACTCCAGCCTGGGCAACAGAGCGAGACTCTGTCTCAAAAAATAAAATAAAATAAAATAAAATGGTAGTAAATAAATGATTGCAGTCCTTGTGCAAAACTAGTGGGAAAAGTAGCTGGGAAATATTTTCAAATATATGTAAGACTTTAGTAGTATTTCAAGTCTCTGCAGAAACAGAAACAAGAAAAGGCATGCAAACAATGTATTAGAACAATTGGAAGAAAAAATTGTTAGATTTTAATCTAATATCATATTCTAAAATAACCTCCAGATTGTTTAAAGAGTAAACCATGAATGTGGTTTTTAATTTTAGAAGAGTCAAGCCTTAACTAAGCAAGCAAGGTGATTTTTTGTTTGTTTGTTTTTTGAGACAGAGTTTTGCTTGTCGCCCACGCTAGAGTGCAATGGCGCTGTCTCGGCTCACCGCAACCTCCGCTTCCCAGGTTGAAGTGACTCTCCTGCCTCAGCATCCTGAGTAGCTGGGATTACAGGCATGTGCCATCATACCTGGTTAATTTTGTATTTGTATTAGAGATGGGGTTTCTCCATGTTGATGAGGCTGGTCTTGAACTTCCAACCTCAGGTGATCCACCTGACTCGGCCTCCCAAAATGCTGGGGTTATAGGCATGAGCCACTGTGCCCGGCCGATTTTTAAAATACAGTAATATATATTGTGATTTCTTTTTTGTTACAGAGTGTTCTGATTCCAATTTTCATTGTGCTAGTTTTAAAAGTCTTATATATTAATAAATGCAGGCAAATTGATGGTTTTATATTTAGATTAATTTAGGTTTCTATGCTATGGTAGTAGCTTTATAAACAGAGCAGGAAGAAATTATTCTGTACATGTAACAGCCATATGCTTCTTAAAAATCTGAAAGATTATAGTTTTGAGAGTAGATTTGGATATGCTATCAATAATGTTTATATCTTATAACCTTAAAATTTCAAGTACAATTTTTAGAATTTATACTGTGGAAGACAACAACACAAATGCACAAATATGTATAAGGGTGTTGATTGCAACAATGTTGTGGTAATATAAGAAAATTGAAAACAATCTGTGTCCATCAGTAAGTTATTGGACAGATAAGGGTTTGTGCTTACAGTTTTATGGCTGTTAAAAAGGATGAGATAAGCTGGGCGCAGTGGCTCACACCTGTAATCCCAGCACTTTAGGAGGCCAACGTGGGCAGATCACCTGAGGTCAGGAGTTTGAGACCAGCCTGGCCAATGTGGTGAAATCCTGTCTCTACTAAAAATACAAAAATTAGCTGGGTGTGGTGGTGCACTCCTGGAATCCCAGCTACTTGGGAGGCCGAGGCAGGAGAATCACTTGAACCCAGGAGGCGGAGGTTGCAGTGAGCCAAGATCTCGCCACTGTGTTTCAGTCTGGGCGATAGGGTGAGACTCCAACTCAAAAAAAAAAAAAAGGAATGAGATAGATCTATAGATCTTTGATGTGTTTTTAACAAATGTAAAAAGCACACTGTAGAACACTATATATGATGTGAACATATGACTACATTTAAATAACATATTTACCTACATACATGTTATAAATATATATATAAATACAGATCTGGAAGAATGGTTGACAGTGTTTGTGGATGGAATGAGTGGTTGGGCTAAGTTCCATTTTTTTTTTACGGGCATCTATTTATGATATTTTAAAATTATTTCAAAATTTATTATCAACTAACTGTATTTATAGATAGATATTTTTGTAAAACTATAGAGGTAATAGTTGAGATACAGAGCAGGTATGGCTTTTTAATTTTCCAGTAAATAAAAATCAAAGGTCAGTAATTTAATATCCAGCAATAGAGATAAGGGAGTTGTTTAAAGTTCCAATTTTGTTTATTTTGGAAAGTATGTCCTTTTTGTCACCATTACAATGAAATTTCCGGACTTTTTGTTTTTGTTTTTGAGACGGGGTCTCACTGTGTTGCTCAGGCTGGAGTACACTGGCATGGTCATAGCTCACTGGAGCCTTGAAGTCTTGAGATCAAGCGTTCTTCCCACCTCAGCCTCCTCAGTAACTGGGACTACCGGTGTGCATGACTATATCCAGCTAATTTTTTTTTATATGCTTTAAGTTCTAGGGTACATGTGCACAACGTGCAGGTTTGTTACATAGGTATACATGTGCCATGTTGGTTTGCTGCACCCATTAACTCGTCATTTACATTAGGTATTTCTCCTAATGGCTATCCTTCCCCCATCCCCCCACCTCATGACAGGCCCTGGTGAATGATGTTCCCCACCCTGTGTCCAAGTGTTCTCATTGTTCAATTCCCACCTATGAGTGAGAACATGTGGTGTTTGGCTTTCTGTCCTTGTGATAGTTTGCTCAGAATGATTGTTTCCAGCTTCATCCTTGTCCCTACAAAAGACATGAACTCATCCTTTTTTATGGCTGCATAGTATTCCATGGTATATATGTGCCACATTTTCTTAATCTAGTCTATCATTGATGGACATTTGGGTTGGTTCCAAGTCTTTGCTATTGTGAATAGTGCTGCAATAAACATACGTGTGCATGTGTCTTTATAGTAGCATGATTTATAATCTTTTGGGTATATACCCAGTAATAGAATCGCTGGGTCAAATGGTATTTCTAGTTCTAGATCCTTGAGGAATCGCTGCACTGTCTTCCACAATGGTTGAACTAGTTTACACTCCCACCAATAATGTAAAAGCATCTGTTGTTTCCTGATTTTCTGATGGTCGCCATTCTAACTGGTGTAAGATGTTATCTCACTGTGGTTTTGATTTGCATTTCTCTGATAACCAGTGATGATGAGCATTTTTTCATGTGTCTGTTGGCTGCATAAATGTTTTCTTTTGAGAAGTGTCTGTTCATATGCTTTGCCCGCTTTTTGATGGGGTTGTTTGATTTTTTCTTGTAAATCTGTTTAAGTTCTTTGTAGATTCTGGATATTAGCCCTTTGTTAGATGGGTAGATTGCAAAAATTTTCTCCCATTCTGTAGGTTGCCTGTTCACTCTGACAGTAGTTTCTTTTGCTGTGCAGAAGCTCTTTAGTTTAATTAGATCCCATTTGTCTATTTTGGCTTATGTTGCCTGGTGTTTTAGTCATGAAGTCCTTGCCCATGCCTATGTCCTGAATGGTATTGCCTAGGTTTTCTTCTAGGGTTTTTATGGTTTTAGGTCTAACATTTAAGTCTTTAATCCATCTTGAATTAATTTTTGTATAAGGTGTAAGGAAGGGATCCAGTTTCAGCTTTCTACATTTGGCTATCCAGATTTCCCAGCATCATTTATTAAATAGGGAATCCTTTCCCCGTTTCTTGTTTTTGTCAGGTTTGTCAAAGATCAGATGGTTGTAGATGTGTGGTGTTATTTCTGAGGGCTCTGTTCTGTTCCATTGGTCTATATCTCTGTTTTGGTACCAGTACCATGCTGTTTTGGTTACTGTAGCCTTGTAGTATAGTTTGAAGTCAGGTAGTGTGATGCCTCCAGCTTTGTTCTTTTGGCTTAGGATTGTCTTGGCAATATGGGCTCATTTTTGGTTCCATATGAACTTTAAAGTAGTTTTTTTCCAATTCTGTGAAGAAAGTCATTGGTAGCTTGTTGGGGATGGCATTGAATCTATAAATTACCTTGGGTAGTATGGCCATTTTCACAATATTGACTCTTCCTGTCCATGAACATGGAATGTTCTTCCATTTTTTTGTGCCCTCTTTTATTTCATTGAGCAGTGGTTTGTAGTTCTTGAAGAAGTCCTTCACATGTCTTGTAAGTTGGATTCCTAGGTATTTTATTCTCTTTGAAGCAATTGTGAATGGGAGTTCACTCATGATTTGGCTCTTTGTTTGTTTGTTATTGGTGTACAGGAATGCTTATGATTTTTGCACATTGGTTTTGTCTCCTGAGACTTTGCTGAAGTTGCTTATCAGCTTAAGGAGATTTTTGGGCTGAGATGATGGGGTTTTCTAGATATACAATAATGTCATCTGCAAAGAGGGACAATTTGACTTCTTCTTTTCCTAATTGAATACGCTTTATTTCTTTCTCTTGCCTGATTGCCCTGGCCAGAACTTCCAACACTATGTTGAATAGGAGTGGTGAGAGAGGGCATCCCTATCTTGTGCCAGTTTTCAAAGGGAATGCTTCCAGTTTTTGTCCATTCAGTATGATATTGGCTGTAGGTTGTCATAAATAGCTGTTATTATTTTGAGTTATGTTCCATCAATACCTAGTTTATTGAGAGTTTTTAGCATGAAGGGTTGTTGAATTTTGTCAGAGGCCTTTTCTGCATCTATTGAGATAATCATGTGGTTTTTGTCTTTGGTTCTCTTTATGTGATGGGTTACGTTTATTGATTTGCGTATGTTGAACCAGCCTTGCATCCCAGGGATGAAGCTGACTTGATCTTGGTGGATAAGCTTTTTGATGTGCTGCTGGATTCAGTTTGCCAGTATTTTATTGAGGATTTTTGCATCGATGTTCATCAGGGATGTTGGTCTAAAATTCTCTTTTTTTGTTGTGTCTCTGCCAGGCTTTGGTATCAGGATGATGCTGGCCTCATAAAATGAGTTAGGGAGGATTCCCTCTTTTTCTATTGATTGGAATAGTTTTAGAAGGAATGGTGCCAGCTCCTCTTTGTACCTCTGGTAGAATTCAGCTGTGAATCCGTCTGGTCCTGGGCTTTTTTTGGTTGGTAGGCTATTAATTATTACCTCAGTTTCAGAACCTGTTATTGGTCTATTCAGAGATTCAACTTCTTCCTGGTTTAGTCTCAGGAGGGTGTATGTGTCCAGGAATTTATCCATTTCTTCTAGATTTTCTAGTTTATTTGCGTAGAATTGTTTATAGTATTCTCTGATGGTAGCTTGTATTTCTGTGGGATCAGTGGTGATATCCCCCTTATCATTTTTTATTGCATCTATTTGATTCTTCTCTCTTTTCTTCTTTATTGGTCGTGCTAGCAGTCTATCAATTTTGTTGATCCTTTCAAAAAACCAGCTCCTGGATTCATGGATTTTTTGAAGGGTTTTTTGTGTCTCTATCTCCTCAGTTCTGCTCTGATCTTAGTTATTTCTTGCCTTCTGCTAGCTTTTGAATGTATTTGCTCTTGCTTCTCTAATTCTTTTAATTGTGATGTTAGGGTGTCAATTTTAGGTCTTTCCTACTTTCTCTTGTGGGCATTTAGTGCTATAAATTTCCCTCTACACACTGCTTTAAATGTGTCCCAGAGATTCTAGTATGTTGTGTCTTTGTTCTCATTGGTTTCAAAGAACATCTTTATTTCTGCCTTCATTTCCTTATTTACCCAGTAGTCATTCAGGAGCAGGTTATTCACTTTCCATGTAGTTGTGTGGTTTTGAGTGAGTTTCTTAATCCTGAGTTCTAATTTGATTGCACTGTGGTCTGAAAGACAGTTTGTTGTGATTTCTGTTCTTTTACATTTGCTGAGGAGAGCTTTACTTCCAACTATGTGGTCAATTTTGGAATAAGTGTGATGTAGTGCTGAGAAGCATGTATATTCTGTTGATTTGGGGTGGAGAGTTCTGTAGATGTCTATTAGGTGTGCTTGGTGCAGAGCTGAGTTCAATTCCTGGATATCCTTGTTAACCTTCTGTCTCATTGATCTGTCTAATATTGACAGTGGGGTATTAAAGTCTCCCATTATTACTGTTTGGGAGTCTAAATCTCTTTGTAGGCCTCTAAGGACTTGCTTTATGAATCTGGCTGCTCCTGTATTGGGTGCATATATATTTAGGATAGTTAGCTCTTCTTGTTGCATTGATCCCTTTACCATCATGTAATGGCCTTCTTTGTCTCTTTTGATCTTTGTTGGTTTAAAGTCTGTTTTATCAGAGACTAGGTTTGCAACCCCTGCTTTTTTTGTTTTCCATTTGCTTGGTAGCTCTTCCTCCATCCCTTTATTTTGAGCCTATGCATGTCTTTGCATGTGAGATGGGTCTCCTGAATACAGCATACTTATGGGCCTTGACTCTTTATCCAATTTGCCAGTCTGTGTCTTTTAATTGGAGCATTTAGCCCATTTACATTTAAGGTTAATATTGTTATGTGTGAACTTGATCCTATCATGATATTAGCGCACCCAGCTAATTTTTGAAAATTTTTTTGTAGAGATGGGAATCTCGTGCTGTGTTTCCCAGGCATGTCTCAAGCTCCTGGCCTCAAGCAATCCTCTTACCTCAGCCTCCCAAAGTGCTAGAACTGCAGGTGTGAACCACCATGCCTGGCCTTCTAACTTCCTATACCATCAGACCATGCCTTCCTGTCCACCCTCAACTCTTGCCCATTGTGCCCTGTACTCCAAACCACTTGGATCTTCGTTTAGATTCTGTAACTTTCTGTGCTTTTTCTTACCACAGGACCTTTTATATAAGTGGTTCCCTCTTCCTAGAATGTTCTCTTTCTACTCCCCTTAATTCTATAGATCTTTGATATCTCAACTTAAGCAGCACCTCAGAGAAGCTCTTTTGATTCCTTAGTCAATATTGGCTCCTTTGTTTTGTACTTCTGTGTCTTTCTTTCTCTCCTTCTTTTCTTTTCTTTTCTTTCTTTCTTTTTTCTTTCTTTCCCTTCATCTCTTTGAAAAAATATGTTTGGTCTCCTCCACTATATAAGTGGTTCATTAAAGTGGGTGTACATCTGGATTTGTTTATTATTATATTTCCAGATCCTAGCAAATGGTTGCCGTATAGTTGATGCTTAAGAAATATTTATGGAATGAACCAATTAATTCTTACGGAATCCCTTTTTAGCTTTTCGGCAGCTGCCTACTTGGGTGCTGATAAACTTCCAGGGTTGACCTTAGCATTTAAATGGAATTACAGTTTACATCCTACAGCTTGCTTTTTCTACTTGGGCATTTTCCTAGTGCATTTATTTATTTATTTATTTTTGAGACAGAGTCTCACTCTGTTGCCTAGGCTAGAGTGCAGTGGTGTGAACATGGCTCAGTGCAGCCTTGACCTCCTGGGCTCAAGGGATCTTCCTGCCTCAGCCTCCTGAGTAGCTGAGATTACAGGTGCACACCACTACACCTGGCTAAGTTTTTTTTTTATTTTTTATAGATATTGGGTCTCACCATGTTGCCCAGGCTGGTCTGGAACCCTTGGGCTCAGTCCTGCCTCAGCCTCCCAAAGTGCTGGGATTGCAGGCATGAGCCACTGTGCCCAGCTGTTTTTCCATTTTAGAAAATTTATGGATCTGTTTTCTTCAGAGGCCTTATTGTGTATGGTGCATATATGTTTATATTCAGTTTGCTGAATATGTAACCTTTGGTTTCTAGTTTATCTAGCTTTGTCATTTATACTCTCTTGGTTCATTTTATGATGTGTAGTTTGTTCTGGTTATGTATTTGGTAAAACTGTAGACTGCATTTGTCTGGATAATGTGCAACTTGATTTTACTCAGGACACTTGTCTTTGCCAGTTTGAAGTATTTACTGGAGAAAATATGAAAGCATTAGGATAATAGGTTTCAAGTGTATCATTAAACATAAAACTTATTTTTATTTTATTTTTGAGACAGGGTCTGGCTCTGTCGCCCAGGCCAGAATGCAGTGGCACGATCATAGCTCACTGCAGCCTCTATCTCCGGTGGTCAAGTTATGCTCTGACCTTTGGGTACCAAGTAACTAGGACTGGATGTGCACGCCACCATGCCCAGCTAATTTTCTTGATTTTTAGTAGAGACAAGGTCTCACTGTGTTGCCAGGCTGGTCTTGAACTCCGAGCTCAAGTGATTCTCCTACCTCGGCTTCCCAAAGTGTTGAGATTCAGGTGTGAGCCACCACGCCCAGCCAGAACTTACTTCTGAAAAATTTTCTTTTAATTGTGCTCCAAACTAAGACAAGTCACCTTATCTAAAATGTATAGTAGATTAATTTTCCTTGGTGAAAGGCACATATCATTTATTTCTAGTTGTTCCTATAAGTACTACTGTCCTCAGCTTCAATACTTTTTTCTTTTAGAGATAAAAGAGGAGTAGAAGGTAAAAGAAAATGCTGGGAACTGACCGTTGTGTTGTGGAAGAATGGTTATCAGAATTCAAGGTAAATTGGATTGGAGATCAGAATGTATTATATTTTTCTATACATCAGTAATTCAAACTGAATATGTGCTCTATGGAGAAACATTATGTGCTCTATGGAGAAACATAAAAATATGGTAGGAAGTGGAAATGGCAAAATACAAAATAACGTGTTTCTGTAATTGCAGTTCTTAAAAATGGTACTAATATGAATAATGGCTAGAAGGTGATACATAAAGATGAAAATAGTTGTTAGGATTGATGAGACGATATTTTAAAATATATTCAGTAAAAGAGAAGATCCATCAAGCTTTAATAAGGCACAAAAATAGGATTTATGCCTACGTTTTTCTGTCCTATAATTAAAAATCAAATAGTTTTTATGGAAAACTATGTAATTTATGAATACTATGGAATTGTAAATGTTTTGGCAAAACATAAATGCAAGAATTGAAACATCCTACATTTTTTTAAAGATTAGATTAATTTAAGATGGCCCATTTCAGGAAATGTTGGTATAATGTGTGATTTCTAATCAGTATTTATGGTTGAGTAGTTAGAAGAATTGTGTACTATAACATCCTAACTTAATTTGTTTGAACTCTGATGCTTCTTTCTTTCTTTTTTTTTTTGAGATGGAGTCTCGCTCTGTCACCCAGGCTGGAGTGCAGTGGCACGATCTCGGCTCACTGCAACCTCCACCTCCCAGGTTCAAGCAATTCTTCTGCCTCAGCCTCCTGAGTAGCTGGGATTACAGGCACCCGCCACCACGCCTGGCTAATTTTTGGTATTTTTAGTAGAGACAGGTTTCACCATGTTGGCCAGGCTGGTCTTGAACTCCTGACCACAAGTGATACGCTTGCCTTGACCTCCCAAACTGCTGGGATTCCAGACGTGAGCCACTGTGCCCAGCCTATTTCTTTATATTAATTATTTTTACTTTTCTCACTTGAGTTTGTTATAAATCTGTTCAAGAACTATTTGTGTAAAATAAAGTTCCTTGCTTCTCAAATGTTCACTTTTGTTTTCCTTTGGTGGTTTCTTTTAGGCATTACCTGACACTCAGATCACCAGTTATGCAGCAACTTTACACCGGAAAAAAACACTTGTACCAGCCCTCTATAAAGTTATTCAAGATTCAAATAATGAGGTAGGAGACCTCAAGAAAAATAATTTCTACATAGTGAAATGAAATATGTATACCAAAACACATAAATTTAAGTTTTATAATTTTCTTTCCTTGTGGATCTGGAAAATTTTCTTTCTGCTGTTTTTCATTCTGATAGTTGCTTTGGCTTTCCCTATTCCCTGCCTTTCCATATTTTGAAATGTTTTGGTCAAATTTTTTCCTGTTGAGTGTGCAGTATGTTTTGATTGTTAATTTTATTGACCATCATCTCAGTGGATTATTTATTTGAAACTTTTCTGTTTCCTGTTCTGGAATGTTTCCTGCTCTGGAAGCCATATTTTAACTGTATACTGATCCAGCTTTATTTATCTTAAGTATTTTTACAATTATTTTACTGATAATATATAACTAGGTATAATCACTCTAGTCAGTGAAATCAAACTGATAACACAAAATGATGCTGCTAGTAAATTTAGCCTGAAAAGGATCAGAGGAAGCACTTTTTAGTCTAAGTAGTCAAGATCAATAAACTTAGAATGAGAGTTTTGTATTATTTAGCCTTGTGATAGAAGGAAAAAGTACAGTTATTGAATCTGTATATTAATTTATGCAAAATACACACATTATCTTTCCATTAACACAGTAGTATGACATACAGTTTTATCACCACTGGATTCATGTATGCTTAAAATGAAAATGAAAGGAACACACAGGAAAGTAGCTTCTTATCTTCCCAGATACAGCCTCCAAGAGTGCCTCTGCTGTGTACTGGAGTGAGTTTGAAGAAGTTCAGGTAATCCTCTCCTAACCAGCAGCTTAACTTAAAGTGCATCTTCATTTTTGTCCTACCACTAAAAGCTTGCTTATTGACCTCCTTCTTTCCTGTCTCCTAAATTGTGACTGGCTCTCAGTTAGACTTGCATCTGTTGCTATTTGTAGCAGCAATTGCAGGATTCATTTGCTTTTTCTCTTGCAGTGTATTTCTGAATGTTTTATAACTCTGGGTATGCATAATGTACGTATATGCATATCCATATGGTCAAGAGTTTTCAGAATTCTTTGTTTGAATAATGAATGTGTGTATTCCCTACCCCTTGTTTTGCTCTGTCTTAACATTTAAGCTTTGCTTATTAAAATGTATTTGTTTTAATGCTTTCTCTTTAGATTGTAAGCTCTTCATGGGCAGTGGTCAGATATTCTGTATTTGTAACTTCCCGAGAATCTAGTATTTTATCATGTACATAATGAACATAGAATAGTATTGATTGGAAGGACAGTGAAGTACAAAATGAGATTCTAAAATGACATTTTCATTAGGGCTCACAAGTGTATAAGAAGTATCCCTTTCCTATTTTTTTGTTTAATACTTTAGAAGCTATTACATTAAAAAAGCTATTCTCATTACTTTCTGTTGTCATATTTCGTAATATTAATGTGTGGGACTTTGGGGGTTTCATGGCTAGAAATGGAAAAATTACAGCTTGAGGGATGCGAGCTCAAGGTCCAGCATTCATTATAATCAATCAGTTGCTAGAGGAGGTCTGAATTTCTCTCCTGTCTCCTGTCAGGTTAGAAGGCTCTAACCATGTGTTCAGACTTCAGAAAAATAGAATGATAAATTCTATAGAATTTCAAAACAATTCTGGACTTTAGTCATAGAAGGAGGTCCCTTTTAATCCTGATTTTGTTATATTCTGAAAGAAACAAACATACTATTTAGGTTACAAGAAATTATTTTAGAAAATTGTCATGTGCCATATTTAGTATGAATTAAACTTAAAATAGTTGCCGGCGCAGTGTCTCACGCCTGTAATCTCAGCACTTTGGGAGGCGGAGCGGAGTGGATCATGAGGTCAAGAGATTGAGACCATCCTGGCCAACATGATGAAACCCCGTCTCTACTAAAAATACCAAAAATTAGCTGGGTGTGGTGGTGCACGCCTGTAGTCCCAGTTACTCAGGAGGCTAAGGCAGGAGAATCGCTTGAACTTGGGAGGCGGAGGTTGCAGTGAGCCGAGATTGCATCACTGCACTCCAGCCTGGCAACAAAGCCAAGACTCCATCTCAGAGAAAAAAGAAAATATTTGGAAACTTTCATATTTTCAGATTCAAATCTACCATTCTACAGCACTCTCTTGCCTTTTCTGGTGTTTAGTGGGTGAAATATCTCAGGTTGTATGAAAAGCCATCTGTTCTACTTAGGCCTGGATTCTGTCTTCTCTAGCTACCTTAAGGACTCTGGTCCTGCAATTATTCCTTCTCTCTTCCATCACTGATCTTTTTTTCTTTCCCTGATGAGTGGAATATGATAAACAACCATATTCTATTCTCTAAAAACTTTATTTCAGCTTACCTCCTATTATATTATCTACCCCATTTCTCTGTCCCTATTCACAGATGAACTTCATAAAATATTGCTTATTCATAGCCTCTGTCTACTTGTCTCCATTTCTTCACCTCACATTCTTTAACCCACTCAAGTTAGGCTTGTTCATTATTCCATCCAAATACTCTCAGTGTGTTCATCAAATATCATGTCTCTTAGTAATTATCATGTCAAAACAGTGTTTGCTAAATTTGGGAATGGTGTCAGTTATGATTTTTTCTAACCCAAGGATGATGATTTTTAATACTTTTTGATGTGGGTGGTGGTGCCATTTAAGGGAGGTCAGAATCATTTATATTAAGAATTTGAGAACATGGTGCTTGCTATGAGACATATGCTTCAAATTAAAGTTTTTTTATTGTTTGTTTGTTTGTTTTTTTCTGAGCCAGGGTCTCACTCTCTCTCCCATGCTGGAGTACAGTGGCACCATTATAGCTCACTGTAACCTCAAACTCCTGGACTCATGTGATCCTCCAAACTCACCTTCTCAATTAGCTACAGGCACATGCTACCACACCCTGCTAATTTTATTTTTTATTTTCTAAAGACAGAGTCTCACGGTGTTCAAGGCTGGCCTTGAACTCCTGGGCTCAAGCGATCCTCCCACCTTGGCTTCCCAAAGTGCTGGGATTACAGGCATGAGCTATTGAGCCTGGCCACAATTAAAGATTTTAACACATAGCATTGGCAATTTTTCTTTTTTTTTTTTAAGACAGGGCCTCACTTTGTCACCCAGGCTGGAGTGCGGTGACTTGAACACAGCTCACTGTAGACTGAACCTCCTGGGCTCAAGCAATTCTTCTGCCTCAGCCCCCCAAAAATAGCTGGGACTACCCAGGTGCGTGCCACCACACCTGGCTAATTTTTGTATTTTTTGTAGAGGTGAGGTTTTGCCACATTGTGCAGGCTGGTCTGAAACTCCTGGTCTCGAGCCATCAGCCTGCCTTGGCCTCCCAAAGTGCCGGAATTACAGGCGTGAGCTACCACACCTGACCAGCGAGTTTTTAACGGTCTTACTTTGTAGTAGTATCTGATTAAAACTTACTGGATTGCCAACATCTACCCCCCATTCGCTTACAAAAAACACAGAGTAATAATGCTGGTAACCCTGTATTTCTTCACTGTGCTTAGTTAAAATATAGTGTCCCACATGCCAGTGTACCTGTTGCTACTGAGAAAGAGGAGTTTAAGGTCTTCATAGAAGAAATTCATCATAATTGTACCATGGCCCATAAAGTTTAGAGAAGGCAATCTTTGGAGAGTTTTTTACTAAAGAGGAGATTGAGTTTGAAACATGAGTATAAATTTTTAGTAAACAAAATTTGTGAGAGCAACAGTTTTTTACTTCTAAAGAACTGAATATTGCTCTCAATATTTAAGAAAGATGCCAGCAACTGACAGTTTCCAAAAGTTTATTACTTGTTCATTATTGGCACTACATAGAATACACTGTTTTGTGATTAAACAATCTATACCTCCATTCTAATATAAGAAGTGCGGTAGAGTGGAAACATCAACTTGATGTCAGAAGACCTGAATTTAGTGTCTTATTTCACCATTAACTTCACCAACCTTTGACAAATTGTCTGACTGGTCTAGACTTCAATGTAAGGGAAGAGTTGGAATATTTTTCTTTTGTGTCAGTCTTGCTCTGTTACCCAGGCTGGAGTGCAGTGATGCTGTCATGGTTCAATGCAGCCTCAAACTCCTGGGCTCAAGCTATCCACCCTCTTCAACCTTGTGAATAGCTGGATGTGTACCTCCACACCCAGCCTCTGGAAAATTTTTTAAGATTTTAAAAACTGTTCTGATAGTGATTTCACATAAAGGGCTTAGTATTTACTAGACTAGGATGTATATGTATGTAAATTTTTTAAGCTTTAGAATTCTTCCAGAGCTAAGCCTAACTCTTCTAAATATGTTAACTGTATAATTGACATGGATTTGTTAACTTTTTATAATCATGACAGTGACTTTTTATTGTAGAGTGTTAGATTATTACAGATGTATGTAACTATATTCAAACAGATTTCCAAATGTATATGCATTATTTTAATCATTTAGAATAGAGGAAAGTACATGAAATTACTGAACTATTATTCTTTTTTTTTAAAGAGTTAGTATTAAACTTTAAAAATTACTTTATAGTTTCTTGTCAATATTTTATATGAATTTTAAAGTCATAGCCAGTTTTCTGCAGCCTACGGTTACTCCAGCAAACCCATTCTAAATTGGCAGTACATATTTAGGGAAAAGTGGGAAAGTTTATTTTAACTGCTCATTTTCTTCAGTTTTCTAGGTCATGAAGTTCCTCATAAGTCATATTGTGTGATATCGTATGAAAAATTAGCCAATTGAACACTGAAAAAGCTATTTCTGGATACTTTTCTCCTTTATAAAATCTTTCACATAAATACAATAAGAAAAATTTAAGTCAGTTTTAAAATAGTTTGCCTCACTTGTATGTATTTTAAATATTAGCTAGAATTTTGGATGCACAAATATGTATTGCAAAATCCCTTCTTCTACTGAGTGGTATATAAGTTTTTTTAAAATGGAATGTGGATGCTTTAATAAATTTCATATTGCAGTGAAGACACTGAGCACTTAGAGACAATGACATCAATACAATGAAAACTGATTCCACAGAACACTTACAAATGCATACATTTTCCTCCAAAGAAACATGTTTTTCACAGATTTAAGTAACAAATGATTTACATAGGATTCTTCTGATTCCAAAATATGTACAGAATTTTTGACTGTCAGAAACTGATTAGCAGTGGTTGAAAAACAGAGTTGCTTTGCCCAACAGCATGACTCTTAGAAAATTCTGTATCAACACACATTTTTCAGTAAGAGTGGTATATAATTTGCTTAAATCATAGTCTCAGTTGAGATTTTAAGTTTATTCCCAGCAATATTATGCAAAATTATTTTATTTCAATGGAAAGTTTTTGAAATGGAAGATAGAGTTGATAAGAATAGAAAGGAAAATTCTTCTCAAATATAAATGTAGTACATTGGCTAAAGGACTAATAATCTAGTAAATTTAGTAGTACAGTATACTGAAAGGTACATTGATGTATGGGCACAAAATACTTCTTATAGTTAGTGGATTGGTCAGTTTAATATGTGGTCTCTTTACACAAAGGTTTTGGTTAAATTAAAATGTGGAGAAATTAATATTAAGACTTTTAAAAATATTATACAGATATAGGTGCCTTAAAAAAAAAAAAACAACAGTTACAACCAAAAGAATTGAAATGACCAGTGCACTTTATTTTCCTTTTAGCTCCTGGAGCCTGTCTGCCATCAGCTGTTTGAGCTCTATCGTAGCTCAGAGGTTCGACTTAAGAGGTTCACACTGCAGTTCTTGCCAGAATTGATGTGGGTTTATTTACGGCTTACAGTTAGCCGAGACAGACAGAGTAATGGTTGCATTGAAGCACTTCTGTTAGGAATTTACAATTTGGTAAGTTGAAGATGACAGTTTGGGAAATTTTAAGTATTTTTTAAGGTCCTCTGAAATAATACTTAAGGAATGTTTAGAGAAAAATAAATTGGCCAGGCGCAGTGGCTCATGCCTGTAATCCCAGCATTTTTGGGAGGCCAAGGCAGGCATATCACTTGAGGTCAGGAGTTCGAGACCAGCCTGGCCAACATGGTGAGACTCCGTCTCTACTAAAAATACAGAAATTAGCTGAGCATGGTGGTGTGTTCCTGTAATCCCAGCTACCTGGGAGGCTGAGGCAGGAGAATTGCTGGAACTGAGGAGTTAGAGGTTGCAGTGAGCCAAGATTGTACCACTGCACTCCAGCCTGGGTGAAAGAGTGAGACTCCGTCTCAAAAAAAAAAAAAAATTAAAAATAATAAATAAATTGAGGCCGGATGTAGTGACTCATGCCTGTAATTCCAGCACTTTAGGAGGCCAAGGTGGGAGGATCACTTGAGCCCAGGAGTTTGAGACCAGCCTGGGCAGCTTGGCCAAACCTCGTCTCTATAAAAAATTAGCTGGGCATGGTGGCATATGCCTGTAGTCCCAGCTACTGAGGATACTGAGATGGGAAGATCTCTGGAGCCGAGGACATCGAGGATGCAGTGAGCCATGATTGTGCCACTGTGCTCAAGCCTGGGCAAGAGAGCAAGACCCTGTCTCAAAAAAAGAAAAAACAATTCAAATGTCTATAAGTGTAACTTGTTTGAACTAATTAGGTTGAGTACAGGGGTAGATATTGATAATGCATTTTTTTGATAATGTATTTTATAAAGTATGTAAAACTACTATAATTGATTGTATTATTAATATTTTATTTATATCTTCAAATTGTTTTATTTGACCAATATTTATGAATGTTTTTGGATGTATGCCATTGAGTTGGACACTGAAAATATGGAGAATTACATGTGTGGCACCTGCTTTTAGGAAACTCCTGCTGTGTTCGAAAAGACATGTTTATAGATAACTAATAATGTGGTTTGTATAATAAGAGGATTTTAGAGAGAAACTCAGATGTTAGCTGAAGTTATCATGGCAGGCTTTATTGAGGTGATGCCATCTAAGCTGGGTCTTATGAAGAGGTATAGTTTTGGCCTGTTGAGATGAGGAGCCGGTGAGGTTTCTGGAAGCAGCTATCAATTGAACATAAGCAGAGAGGCAGGAGAGTCAAGTCACGTCCTGGAAATAGAAAGTAGTTCTGTTTGAAGCACAGAGTATATATGCAAGCTGGAAAAGACAATTTTGTGTCAGTTTTGGAGAATCTTTTTAAAGTGAAGAGTTTAGGTTTAGGTTCTCTTTAAAGCAATTAGAGGGTTTTGAACAGAAGAATTGTATTATATATTAGGAAAATGAATCTTATGGTGGTGTGCAGAGAGACTTTTGAATTATAAATTGAATTTAATCACCACTTCTTATATGTTAAAGGCTATATACATAATTGAGAAGAGTGAGGCAAATGGACATGAAATTTCTGTTTCTCTGAGGGGAGGACATCAGTTACAGGGAAAAAGTCCATATAGTATTATAGCATGTTAGGATTTTTAAAATCTTAGTAAGAACACAGTGGAAACTAGGGGGAGAAAAACCATAAACACTTCTGAGATACTAGGGGCTTTACATGGAACTTGAAGATTGAGACTTGATTACTTCTGCAAGATGGGGAGGGTATGCTAGAAAGGTTACAAAGACTGTAGGAAGCAAGGTAAAAAGGTGAGAGAGTTTAGGAACATGGGATCATCTGTGTTGCACCTTTCTGAAGACTTGGGCAGCACAAGGCACCTTTTCTTGCGCAGTGCAAGGAAGCAAAATAGCACAGCATCATATTTCCATTCTCATGTGCCTCTACAAAATTGGGCAGTTACCTGAACTCATCAATAAAGAATCGTGAATTTTATGAATGTATCTTGGAGTCGTTGAGTGGGGTAGCAATTGAGAAACCACAGTGTTATTTGTCATAAAAGTTGTAAATTTGTTAATAGTTATTTGATAATATATTATATATTTGATAGTACATTGTTTATGAAACTGTTTTCTTCTAAGGAATTAAGTACCATAAACATTATTATTCTATTTTTTTCTCATGATGTCCAGTTAAGGACCATTGGTATTGAAATTTCTTCACCTTGAAGTCTTATATTTTGTGTATTTAGTATACATTATAAACAAAATTCCACATAATAAAGTTTAGTTGTATAACTGAAAGGTAATAAGGTACAAGAAAATTGAATCTCATGATAAATATTCTTCTGTACCAGTGCTCACTCCTCTCTTAGTTACTTTAAAAAATCATTAGCAAACATTTCCATCTCTAGAAGTCTGAAGGAAGGAGCAAGGGCTTTAGAATGACTTGCATTCAGTTCAGAACCATGCCCTGCCACTTATTAGGTGTTTTAAATTTGGGCAAGTTACTTAATATCTTGACTTCAGTTGCCTCATCCATAAAAAAGAAAACATTGTTAGTAGGACTAAAAACAACTTGAAGAATTCATTATGTTGCATAAGGTGTTTATAAATGTCCATTATTATTACCATCAAAATTAAAAGTGGGTTTAAAAAAATGAAAATTGATCTAGGAATAAAATTCTCTACTTTCCTAACTTGCCTGATTGTTTTTTCTTTTCAAGTAGGAAATTTGTTATATATCACTGTGTTTCCTATAGTGCTTACCAGCAGATACTTAGTAAATGTTTGTTGATTTAATAATGGAATTTGGTGTTTTAGATTATGCTTAGCATTAAGCTATCATTTTTATTAATGTGTTTAGTGTAATAAAATTCAATAATGGGACACATGAAACAAACATTTTGCAAAGTGTCATGTTTGACAAGTTGTTGACATAACTTATTGGTGCTGTGGTTCAGTTATCTTTTGACAGTGCAAAATTAGTATACTATAGAAAAATGCTCAGTTATATGTCAGAAATGTAACCCTAGGCTTTGGACTCCTTTTGATTCCCTCGATGTCTGTGTTCTTCCTTTTCTGTGGTTCTCAGTTTTTCTTAATCACAGTGGGAGTCATCCATATATTCTTTTCTGTTTTTCCTTCTTTCCCTCCCCAGCACTTCGTTGTTTCAAATAGCCCCAGGGGGAGTTGTATATTTCTCTTAAACAAAATTTAGCATATCATTTTCACAAATACCTGCAAAGATAAATCAAAAGTACTTGGCTTAATTTGAAATTTAAGAATAAAATTAAAACATTTTTGCTTAACTTAAATCAGGCCCATTCATCTTAGCATAGGCTTTCTCTGAAGCACAGTGGCCCAGATGTGGTGGGACCTGGTTTAACTACAAAGAAGTTATACCCTCAAGGGACTTTTCAGACCTATTTTCCTACCATAATTAGAGGTATGGTCATTATTCACATGTAATTGGTATTCTTCTCTGACATAATAAACTCAGAAATGAGCCCTATACGGAAGTTCTTTGGGGTTTGTGTTTGGTGATGATGATTATTGCTGCTGTTCTTTCTTTTTTTTTTTTTTTTTTGAAATGGAGTGCAGTGGCACAGTCTCAGCTGTCGCCTAGGCTGAAGTGCAGTGGCAGTCTTAGCTCTCTGCAACGTTTACTTCCGGGGTTCAAGTGATTCTCCTGCCTTAGCCTCCCAAGTAGCTGGGATTACAGGCATGTGCCACCATGCCCAGCTAATTTCTGTATTTTTAGTAGAGATTGGGTTTTGCTTTGTTGGCCATGCTAGTCTCGAACTCCTGACCTCAAGTGATACTGCCTGCCTCAGCCTCCCAAAGTGCTGGGATTACAGGCGTGAGCCACTGTGCCCGGCCTGATGTTTCTTCTTTTTAGGCCATGCAGCTACTCAGTCTCTGACTACTTACCATATAGGTCTAGTAAGGGCAGTCTTCTTTCTATGGATTTTATGCCAGTGATGTATGCTAATATGAGTTGTAAGGGAAATAGACAAAAATAAGACAGTGGGGAAAAGGATTGCTGCAGTTTTCACTCCTCTGATTGTCGTCATCTGTAGGCGTGTGTGTGTGTGTGTGTGTGTGTGTGTGTGTATTTTTTGAAACGAAGTCTCGCTCTTGTCCCCCAGGCTAGAGTGCGATAGTGTGATCTCGGCTCACTGCAACCTCTGCCTCCTGGGTTCGAGCAATTCTCCTGCCTCAGCCTCCTGAGTAGCTGGGATTATAGGCGTCTGCCACCATGCCTGGCTAATTTTTGTATTTTTAGTAGAGACAGGGTTTCATCTTGTTGGCCAGGCTGGTCTCAAACTCCTGACCTCAGGTGATCTACCCGCCTCAGCCTCCCAAAGTGCTAGGATTACAGGCGTGAGCCACCACGCCTGACTGCACATATTTATTTATAACAGGAATATTGGAGGTGCCAGAGATGGAGAAATGAAGGATACCATTGTCCATTGTCTTTTTTATGAAAATAAAGTGTTTTCTAAAAAATCACAAGAACTGTCTTGTAGCTTAGTAAAAATTACCTAATAGGAATTTATTTTTAATGACTTAGACTAATAATCATTTTGTTTGTTTGTTTGTTTTTGAGACAGGGTGTCACTCTGTCACCCATGCTGGAGTGCAGTGGGTGATCTCAGCTCACTGCAACTTCCACCTCCAAGGCTCAAGGGATCCTCCCACCTCAGCCTCCTGAGTAGCTGGGACTACAGGCCTGCGATACCATGCCCAGCTAATTTTTGTATTTTTTTGTAGAGATGGGGTTTTGCCATGTTGCCTAGGCTGGTCTCAAACTTCTGAGCTGAAGCGATCCGACTGCCTTGGCCTCCCAAAGTGATGGGATTACAGGCCTCAGCCACCACACCTGGCCCAATAATTATTAATGTGGCTTATTTCAGGTCATTCGTTTATTGCGAATGATTGTAAGAGTTTCTTTTATTCAAGATTCATTCATAAAGGTTCTCACCATTTAAAAAAAAAGGGATAACTATGAGGTGTTGCATGTGTTAATTAGCTTGATTGTTTTAATCATTTCACAGTATATACATATATTAAAACATTGTGTTTTATGCCATAAATATATAATGTTCATTTGTCAATTATACCTCAGTAAAGCTGGAAAAAATTCATTCTGTATTAAATTAATGTGTTTTTCTTGTTTTCGTAAGTGTGGATCTCTTGGATAAGACTTTTAATTTTAATCTGTTTAGCATAGCCATGTTTTTACTAAAGGAGCTAATCACTTGTAATCTTCCCATCCTGTATGTAAATTTAACATCAAATTGATTCGTTTGCCTGCCTCATGTCTTTGCTGTCATATTGTATTTGATTTAGTATAATATTGTACTCAATGTCCATCTCTCTGTGGATTCTGTGGATTATAACTGTACTACCAAAGTGTACAAATTTGTTAATAAGTTAGAAAAGATAAACTAGGGTGGTAATGTTTTTATACATTACTGTTTCTGAAAAATCTTCCTACTGCCAATCATATATTCTGTAAATTAAGAAAGTAATTATTATTTCGTGTAGATCTGTGATTATTTCATTATCTTTGTATATTTTTTGACTATAGGAAATCGCTGATAAAGATGGGAACAATAAAGTTCTGTCTTTCACTATCCCCTCCTTATCCAAGCCTTCAATATACCATGAAGTAAGTAACATTGGAAAGGTGGAATTATTTTAAATTATATTGAGTAACAAATCAAAAAGTCAGTTTCTTATCAGAGATAAATATTCCTAAAATATCTTTACTGATTTGCTTCTTAAAAGTGGATGTTTGTTATTAGAAGACTGAGCTGTGACGAGAGAGGTAGAAAATAATGAAAATTTTCTTTAGTTCTTTTGTTTTTTTATTCTTCTATCAGTATCTTTTTTGTTTGTTTGTTTGTTTGTTTTTTGAGATGGAGTCTCGCTCTGTCCCTCAGGCTGGAGTGCAGTGGTGCGATCTTGGCTCACTGCAACCTCTGCCTCCTGGGTTCAAGCGATTCTCCTGCCTCGGCCTCCTGAGTAGCTGGGACTATAGACACGTGCCACCATGCCTGGCTAATTTTTTTATTTTTAGTAGAGATGGGGTTTCACCATGTTGGCCAGGCTGATCTTGAACACCTGACCTTGTGATCCGCCCGCCTAGGCCTCCCAAAGTGCTGGGATTACAGGTATGAGCCACCACGCCTGACTCTACCATCATTTTTTACTCTCATTAGTCTTTTATGAATTTTTAAAAAATTCTTTAATTTTTAAAATATTTTTATTTTTAATTTTTTAAATAATAAGCTTAAAAATATTCTTTAATTTTTAAAGTCTTCCATACTACTTAGAAATCACCTTAGATTGATTTGTTTTTGTTATTCTTTATTATTCTAGGAAAATAACTACTTAAAAGAATGTTGACACTCTAATTGTTGTATTTCAGTTTAAAGGAATCTAATTGCTGTATTCTAGGTGTTCAGTACATTATACTTTTTTGCTTATATTTATTTGGCTGAAGAATTTGAGAACACTGATAATCATGTAGGTAAATGATACCTGTTGAGCTGAACTTCTTCTACTTTCTGTCTTTAAGTAAAATCCAATAAGAAACTTATGAATCAAACTTGTGGTCTGCAGTGGCCTTTGTTGCCACTACACTAAGTCGTGAGGATAACATTTAAAGAAACTTTACTAGTAGTCTAAAAATTGTATTCTATTTTCCTGTCAACACACAGTATCCTGACCATCTCATAGCTCTTTGCACTATTAATTTGCTTAATTAATTCCGTGGGACTTTGTTTTGTGTTTAAAATAGAATGTCTCCCATTTAGCCAGGAATCATTTTAGCACAGTATATTTCTGAATAATAGATTTTAATTAAGTTGTGTGTATCATGAAATAAAATGGAGAGTAGTAAAGTATTAAAGAATGGATGGTTCTTCTTCTTCTTTTCTTTTTTTTTTTTTTTTGAGACAGAGTCTCGCTCTGTCACCCAGGATGGAGTGCAGTGGCGCGATCTCAGCTCACTGCCACCTCCACCTCCCGGGTTCAAGCGATTCTCCTGTCTCAGCCTTCCGAGTAGCTGGGACTACAGGTGCATGCCACCACGCCCGGCTAATTTTTTTGTATTTTTAGTGCAGATGGGGTTTCACTGTGTTAGCCAGGATGGTCTTGATATCCTGACCTCTTGATCTGCCCACCTTGGCCTCCCGAAGTGCTGGGATTACAGGCGTGAGCCACCGCGCCTGGCCTGGATGGTTCTTCTAACTTTAGAAACATGAACTCAATAATGTTAGTATTAAAGAGACATTTGGGCCAGTTATGGTGGCTCATGCTTGTAATCCCAGCACTTTGGGAGGCCGAGGTGGGTGGATCACTTGAGGTCAGAAGTTTGAGACCAGCCTGGCCAACATGGCGAAACCGCGTCTCTACTAAAAATACAAAAATTAGCTGGATGTGGTAGTGGGTACCTGTAATGCCAGCTACTCAGGTGTCTGAGGCACAGGAATCACTCAAACCCAAAAGGCGGAGGTTTCAGTGAGCAAAGATTGTGCCACTGCACTCCAACCTGGGAGACAGAGTGAGACTCTGTCTCAAAAAAAAAAGAGAGATATTTGATTATAGTCTTTAATATTGTTTGTATAATTATAAGCAGTTGTACTCATTCTGGAATATAGACATTAAAATGGATGTATTTTTAACCTTTAGTTTTTTCAGCAACTTTTCATACTCTCTTAAATATAGATTTATTACATGACTTTTAAAAAATGTTTTTAGTTTTATATTTTACAGGCAATTTCCAAAAGAAGCTATAGAATTTATATAATTGACAGTTGAAAGATTCTGAACCTTTTCCGTGAAGAATGAGAAGAATAAATGATCCAAAACTGCCTTTTATGGAAAAGAAAATTAAATATTATTACATGATACAGATTTTTACTTCATGGTAGAGACATTGTCTCATACTGTACCTTATTTTTGTAGCCTTCAACAATTGGATCCATGGCTTTGACAGAAGGGGCATTGTGTCAGCATGATCTCATCAGAGTTGTTTATAGTGATCTTCATCCTCAGAGGGAAACATTCACTGCACAGAACCGGTAATGGTCAAAACTGTATATAGTAACAACTTGTATGTATGTATGCATGAATATATATATGAATGAATGAATGACAGAGTCTCACTCTGTCACCCAGGCTGGAATGTAGTTTGTAGCCACAAACATGGCTCACTGCAGCCTTGACCTCCCAGGCTTAAGTGATCTTCCCACCTCAGCTTTCCAAGTAGCTAGGACTACAGGTGTACACCACCATGCCTGGCCAATTTTTTTTTTATTTTTTGTAGAGAAAAGGTCTTGCTATGTTGTCCAGGCTGGTCTCGAACTCCTGGCCTCAAGCACTTCTCCTGCCTCAGCCTCACAAAGTGCTGAGATTATAGGCATGAGCCACTGCACCTGGCCCATTTATTTATTTATTTAGAGACAGAGTCTAGTTATGTTGCCTAGGCTGGTCTTGATCTCCTGGCCTCAACGTGATCCTCCCACCTTAGATTCCTGAGTAGCTGGGATTACAGGCATGCACCACTGCACTCAGCTAACAATCATTAACTTACACTTAGTAGTTAACTATAATTACTTCAGTTCAAGTTTGGTATGAGAAGACTCCAAAAGGTAAATACATCATAGTTGTGAAATACCCATTGTCTAATGTTTGGTATTATGTTATGGTCATCTTGTATAAAGCAGTGTAAAAAGTGGATGTGCAGTCAGTCAAACCAGGATTCATATTCTAGTACTGCAATTTAGAAATTTTTCCCTCAGACAGTTTATCTACTCTGTACACCTTGCTTTCTTGGTTGCAGAATGGGATTCGTACCTGAAATTTTACAGTTTGAGGGACAGGTTGCAAAATTGCCCTCACTTCTGACTAATTGAAAGTTTTGGGAGTTCCCAAAACCAAACTCTTGTTTGATAATTTGCTAGAAGGACTCACAGGATTCACTGAAAGCCATTATACTCACAGTTATGGTTTATTACAGGGAAAGAATAGAGATTAAAATCAGCCAAAAGAGACACATATAGTAGAATATGAAGGGTTTCAAACACAAAGCATCTGTTGTCCTTTCCCCTGAAGTCAGGATACATTACCCTCCTGGCATCAATGCATGACAGTAAACACAAAGTATTGGTAATGGGAGAGGCTCATTTAAGCTCTGGTTTCCAGAGTTTTTTTTATTGAGGCATCATTATGTAGGCATGATTGATTAGGTTGATTGCCTACTTGGTTGATCTCAGCCTCCATGTGGACTGATGCAGTGTGACCCAGAGCTACCACCTTAAATCACACGGCAGTTCTTTCTGGCATGGCCAACTCCTACCTAAGAAAGTCAGATGTGGTCAGTCCGGCCTGAAGTTCTGGTGTTACCAGTCTCGGCCCTAAACAAAGACTCTTTATCAGATTAACTTCCTAGGAGCAAAGGCCAGATGTCTCTTTGGGCAAGGCCAGTTTATAGATGGCCCATGAATTATTATGGTTCAACTTAAGGTTTTTCAACTTTACAATGGTATCAAAGCAATATGCATTCAATAAAAACTGTACTTCAAGTACCTATGTAAACCTTCTCATTTTTACTTTCAGTACAGTATTCAGTAAATTACATGAGATACTCAATTTTATGATAAATATAAAATAGGCTTTGTGTTAGATGATTTTTGCCCAGCTGTAGGGCTAATGTAAGTGTTCTGAGCACATTTAAGGTAGGCTGGACTATGCTATGATGTTCAGTAGGGTAGATGTATTAAATGCTTTTTTGACTTATGATATTTTCGATTTACAATGGGTTTATTGGTATGCAATTCCATCATAGGTCGAGAAACACCTGTATTTATTATACAGGCTGTCCCCTGGTCTTTGGCCAAGGCTCAAAAATGATCATGTTTATCTGGGCATCTACATTTAGTATAGCATTTATATGACAGATACTATCATTATGAATATGCCTAACATTTGGAGGAGCCAGTGTAGGTTACAGATAGATTTAAAGAAATAACTAATTCATCCTTTAATGTTTGCATATATTTTCATATTTTTGCACAAATTTGATTACCTCACCCCTCTTCTTTATCTACCTTGTGGTAAACTTGTGCAGCACTATTTGTCATAGAAATTAGTTAATGATTAGCTAAATTTAGTTCCTCCTCAGGCAAGTCATGTTCCATTAGTATTCATTCTAAGGAGGCTTCAATTCAATTTCCAATACATATGACCAATATTATAACCTTACCAACAATGCCAATATTATACCATGTCACAGGATGGCAGTAAATGAAACCTGAAAAATAAGAGCCAAAGATACTGGCACATTCATAGAGTGCCAGTCAGTCATTAACAATTATCCCAGTTCATCATCATATATGACCAAAATATCTCCCAGAGAGAAGTCACTCAAGTTTACAGACTTCTGTTTAGCCTTATTAAGTTCTAAAAGCAGGAGTGGCCTCACAAACACTTGACTTTTACTCTTTCAGGCATCTAGTATAATTGAGCTAATAGTATCATCTCTTGCTCTGAGTGTCTTCCAAGGTGCTAATGTATTTCCCACATTGCAAAACTCATTTATTCATTTAAAAAAATCTCGCCAGGTGCGGCTCATGCCTGTAATCCCAGCACTTTGGGAGGCCGATGCAGGTGGATCACCTGAGGTCAGGAGTTCAAAACCAGCCTGGCCAATGTGGCAAAACCCTATCTCTGCTAAAAAATACAAAAAAAAAAAAAAAATTAACCAGGCGTGGTGGTGGGTGCCTGTAATCCCAGCTACTTGAGAGGCTGAGGGAGGGACAATCACCTGAACCAAGGAGGCAGAGGTTGCAGTGAGCTGAGATCACGCCAGTGCACTCCAGCCTGGGTGACAGAGCAAGACTCCGTCTCAAAAAAAAAAAAAAAGCCAGGCGCGATAGCTCACGCCTGTAATCTCAGCACTTTGGGAGGCTGAGGCAGGCGGATCACAAGGTCAGGAGTTCGAGACTAGCCTGGCCAACATGGTGAAACTCTGTCTCTACTGAAAACACAAAAGTTAGCCAGGCGTGGTGGCGCATGCCTGTAATCCCAGCTACTCAGGAGGCTGAGACAGGAGAATCGCTTGAACCCGGGGAGGCGGAGGTTGCAGTGAGCCAAGATCGTGCCATTGCACTCCAGCCTTGGCGACAGAGTGAAACTCCGTCTCAGAAAAAATAAATAAATAAATAAAAATAACAAAATAAAAAATAAAAAATCTCAGCTACTATTTCTCTCTCTCTTCATTTGTACTCCGACTTTTCTACCTTGGAGAGAGGTTAGGTTTGACCATCGTGTTGGTCTCTATTTCTGGCAGCAAAACTGGCTAGCAAGTGCCTCCCTATCAATTCACTCCCAAGGATGTAGGGTATATTTATATAAAGAACTAATGTGCTATCACAACTAGGCGATAAATATACATTCTCTGTCAATCCTAATTTTGCCAGATGGAATGAAGGCATAGCCTAGCCCATCAGGCCTTTAGGAATTCTGACATAAAGATTTGAAGGTGTAGTTCCGGTTTTTTTGCTTAGGAATCATCTCTGCTCCTTGCACCCACAGTTGCAGCACTGGTACTGGAACCACTGCCTTAGGTGGGAAAAAAAAATGTTGAGGTGATGTGGAAAAGACGGGAAAAAAGTGTAGTAATACCACCACCTTCTGTCACTATGAGAATAACAGAATAGTAATGATGACTATTCCAGCATCATCTCTCCACTGCCTAATCCCAAACCCCCCCAGAAAAACAGAGGAATCTCTCCAGTGATAATTGGCCCTCCCTTGGCCCCGCTCAGGTTAAGTACACAGTCATGAAGGCCTATAAGCCAACCCTTCATACCTGTATCTCACCCCCAGCCTTTTAGACCAAAAATATCTCATTTGATTGTTCCAATTATTTTCATTTTTCAATTGCTTTCATTCCACGCAATTGCTTGTTCCATTACCCTGAGGATGTCTCTTTGCCCACTGTTGGACTTTTGGTCTTTTTTTTTTTTTTTTTTTTGAGATGGAGTCTTGCACTGTTGCCCAGGCTGGAGTGCAGTGGCACGATCTCGGCTCAGTGCAAACTCCGCCTCCTGGGTTCACACCATTCTCCTGCCTCAGGCTCCCAAGTAGCTGGGACTACAGGCGCCCGCCACCATGCCTGGCTAATTTTTTGTACTTTTAGTAGAGACGGGGTTTCACTGTGTTAGCCAGGATGGTCTCGATCTCCTGACCTCGTGATCCACCTGCCTCGGCCTCCCAAAGTGCCGAGGGATTACAGGCGTGAGCCACTGCACCCGGCCATTGGACTTTTGGTCTTTAAAGTGTGTTTCTTGCTCCAAAAATGTAGCTAAGCAGTCCATATGGGTACAATATCTTCTGGTCCTTTTACAGTACTCTGAGCATTTGATCCACAATCTGATAAGCAAAACCTAATGCAGTGTCTGTTCCTGTCAGGACCCATTTGTGGCCTCCAGAGACTGCTGGCATCTGTTTGGCTTGCCAGCTATGTGCAGGACCTTCCCCCAGAGGAATCTGCCCCATAGCCATCTGCAGTCTTTGTCTGTTTTATTGGCATTTTATGCCTCAGAGGGTACAAAAAATATGTCTAAATTCAACCCATCTCTGCATTGCTGCAGTACCACCATGTCCACTCATTTCATGGACCCAAGTGATCACTCCAGGTGGCTACACAGGGATATTTGCCCATAGGTGCCAGTCACCTGATTCTAGAAGGGAGTTCTCCTGATGTGCATTGACATATCCTACTTATGCACGCTTCAAATTCCCATAGTGATTTCCATATGCCTGTTTTTTTCCATACAGGCACCCCTTTATTAGGCCAGTTTTATATTACCCTTCTGCCTGACCACATGGCCAGGCCACTGGCCACCACTCATAAGCTGATAAAAACCCAAACAGGCCAGGCATGGTGGCTCACGCCTGTAATCCCAGCACTTGGGGAGGCTGAGGCGGGTGGATCACCTGAGGTCAGGAGTTTGAGACCAGCCTGACCAAAACATGGTGAAACCCTGTCTCACTAAAAATACAAAAAATTAGTTGGGCGTGATGGTGGGCACCTGTAATCCTAGCTACTCGGGAGGCTGAGGCAGGAGAATCACTTGAACCCAGAAGGCAGAGGTTTTGCAGTGAGCCGAGATTGTGCCACTGTACTGCATCCTGGGCAACAAGGGTGAAATCCATCTCAAAAAAAAAAAAAAAAAAAAAAAAGCAACAACAACAACAAAAAACCCAAACATAGCGGCAAACTGCATGCAATTCAGCCAACCTGCTAAGCTGATATGTTTTCACTTTTTTTTTTTTTTTTAAGATGGAGTCTCGCTCTGTCGCCCAGGCTGGAGTGCAGTGGCGCGATCTCTGCTCACTGCAACCTCCGCCTCCCAGGTTCAAGCGATTCTCCTGTCTCAGCCTCCTGAGTAGCTGGGATTACAGGCGCACGCCACCATGCCTGGCTAATTTTTGTATTTTTAGTAGAGATGGGGTTTCACCATTTTGGTCGGGCTAGTCTTGAACCCCTGACCTTGTGATCCACCCACCTCAGCCTCCCAAAGTGCTGGGATTACAAGTGCAGTGGTGCGATCTCAGCTCACTGCAGCCTTCACCCCACTAGTTGAAGCTATTCTCCTGCCTCAGCTTCCCAGCCCAGCTTTTTAAAGAATAAGTCTTGGGCTGGACACATTGGTTCATGCCTATAATCCTAGTGCATGGATTGAGGTGGGAGGATCACTTGAGGCCAGGACTTCAAGAACAGCCTGGACAGTATAGCAAGACCCGATCTCTTAAAAAATAGCTGAGTGTGGTGATACATGCCTATGGTCCTAGGTACTCTGGAGGCCGAGGCTGGAGGACCAAGCCCAGGAGTTTGAGGCTGCAGTAAGCTATGATTGCACCACTGCACTCCAACCTGGGCAACAAAGCGAGACCCAATCTCTTAAAAAAATTTTGTATTTCTTTCTCTAGTGGCACATAGATATCTTATTCTTTTTAATGATGAGTTATTATTCCATTTTATGTATGTACCATCAATTTTTAGCCAGTCTCTTATTGAGTAAATTTAGATTGTTTTCAGTTTTTTGCTGCTATAAACAATATTACAGGGAACACATTTTTTGTACATACATTTGCGTGAGAGCACGAAAAGTATCTATAGGATAAATTCCTAGCAGTGAATTGTTACGCTAAATAATATCTGTGGCCGGGTGCAGTGGCTCACGCTTGTAATCCCAGCACTTTGGGAGGCCGAGGTGGGTGGATCACGAAGTTAGGAGTTCGAAACCAGCCTGGCCAACACAGTGAAACCCGTCTCTACTAAAAATACAAAAATTAGCTGGGCGTGGTGGCAGGTGCCTGTAATCCCAGCTACTCGGGAGGCTGAGGCAGGAGAATCGCTTGAACCCGGGAGGCGGAGGTTGCAGTGAGCCAAGATCGCGCCACTGCACTCCAGCCTGGGTGACAGAGGAAGACTCCATCTCAAAAAAAAAAAAAAGAATCTCTGCTTTTTTAGTTGGAGTAGATATTGTCAAATTAGCCTTGCCAAAGCAACTATACCAATTGAATGTCCTACTAGTAGTTTGAGAGTTTTTCCTCCTACTAACTCCCAATACTGATTATTTTCAAAGTTTTTAATCTTTACCAATCTGATAGTTAAAAACTGGTGTCACATTGTTATTCATTATTGTTTTTCTTTACCTATGAACTGCATATTCATGTCCTTTGTCCTTTTTTTTTTTTTTTGGCTGATTGGTGGGAGAGGTTTGTTTCACTGTATTGCCCAGGCTGGTCTCAAATTCCTGGGCTCAAGCAGTCCTCCCACCTCGACCTCCCAAAGTGCTGGGATTATAGATGTGAGCCACTGTGCCCAGCCCCATTTTTCTTATTGAGCTGTGTATTTTTTTTTTTTTCCTGGTGACTTGCAATAGTTCTTTGAATATTGAGGAATTGACACTGGTTTTTCATGTTGCACGTTTTCAGCTAATTATTGACTTTACATTTATTTTTTAAATTGAGATATAATTCACATACCATAAAATTTACCCCTTTAGGGAGCCAGGCACAGTGGCTCATGCCTATAATCCCAGCACTTTGGGAAGCTGAGGCAGGTGGATTACTGGAGGCCAGGAGTTTGAGGCCAGCTTAGCCAACATGGTGAGACCCTGTCTCTACTAAAAATACAAAAATTAGCCGGGTGTGGTGGCTCATGCCTGTAATCCCAGCTACTGGGTGGCTGAGGCAGGAGAATCACTTGAACCCAGGAGGCGGAGGTTGCAGTGAGCCGAGATTGTGCCACTGCACTCTAGCCTGGCGGCAGAGCAAGACTCTGTCTCAAAAAAAAAAATAAAAATAGAAATAAAATTTACCCCTTTAAAGCATACAATTGAGTAGTTTTTATTACTAGACATTTTACATGAATGGATCCATACAATATGTTGCCTTTTGTGTATGGCTTCTTTCACTTAGCATGTTTACAAGGTTTGTTTCTGTGGTAGAATGTATCAGTACTTTCTTTTTATAACTAAATAATATTTCATTGTGTGGATATACCACATTTTATTTATCCATTCATCAGTGGATGGACATTCGAGTTATTTCTATTTTTTCTTTTTTGGCTGTTATGAATAACTCTGCTCTCTTTAGTCTATTTGGGCTGCTATAACAAAATACCTTAGACTGGGTAATATATAAACGATAGAAATGTATTGCTCACAGTTCTGCAGATTCGAAAGTACAAGCTTAAAGTGCCAGCAGATTCAGTGTCTAGTAAGGGCTCATAGTCTCTGCCTCATAGATGGCACCTTCTAGATAATCAAATGTAGGAGGGCAGAGCTGTCATGACCTAATCGTGTCCCAAAGGCCCCATCTCTTTTTTTTTTTTTTTTTTGAGACAGAGTCTAGCTCTGTCACCCAGGCTGGAGTGCAGTGTCACGATCTTGGCTCACTGCACCCTCTGCCTCCTGGGTTCAAGTGATTCTCCTGCCTCAGCCACTTGAATAGTTGGTACTACAGGTGTGCAACACCGTGCCTGGCTAATTTTTTTTTTTTTTTTTTGTAGAGACAGGGTTTCACTATGTTGGCCAGGCTGGTCTTGAACTCCTGACCTCAGGTGATCCACCTGCCTTGGCCTCCCAAAGTGCTGGGATTATAGGCATGAGCCACCTTGCCCAGCTGCAAAGGCCCCACCCTCTTAATACCACCATATCGATGATTAAGTTTCAACATGAATTTAGACCACAACAGCTGTTTTGAACATGCATTCACAAATTTTTGTGTGAACATACATTTTTCAGTTCTTTTTAGTATATACCTAGGAATAGAATTGCTAGGTCATATGGTAATTCAACACTTAACTTCTTGAGGAACTGTCATGCTTCTTTCCAGAGTAGCTGTACCATTTTACGTTTCTACAACAGTGTATGAGGATAGCAGTTTCTCTACATTCTCACGCTTATTTTCCATCTTTTTTATTGTAGCCATCTTAATGGGTATAAAGAGTGATATGGCATTCTGGTATTTACTTGTTTTTGCTGTATGTTTTAGTTTTTTATGTAGCCAACTTTATCAGGAATACACATACATTTTTTTCCCCAAAGCTAAATATGCTTTAGCTCTGCATATTTTTCTTTTTTTCTTAAGACAGGGTCTTGCTTTGTTGCCCAGGCTGGTGTGCAGTGGCATGATCATGGCTTACTGCAGCCTGCACCCTAGAACCCCTGAGCTCAGGTGCTCCTCCTGAGCTCAAGTACTCCTGCCTCAGCTTCCTGAGTAACTAGGACTACCACCATGGCCCGCTAATTAAAAAAATTATTTTTGTACCAACAGGGTCTCAATATGTTACCCAGGCTGCTCTTGAATGCGTGAGCTCAAGCAATCCTCCCTGCCTCAGCCTCCCAAAGTGCTGGGATTTCAGGAATGACCTACTGGACGGAGCCTCCTATTTCTTTTTTTTTTTTTTTTTTTTTTTGAGACGGAGTCTTGCTCTGTTGCCCAGGCTGGAGTGCAGTGGCATGATCTCAGCTCACCATAACCTCCGCCTCTCGGGTTCGAGTGATTCTCCTGCCTCAGCTTCCCGAGTAACTGGGACTACAGGCGCGCGCCACCATGCCCAGCTAATTTTTGTATTTTTAGTAGAGATGGGGTTTCACTATGTTGGCCAGGCTGGTCTCGAACTCCTGACTGTATGATCCGCCTCGGCCTCCCAATGTGCTGGGATTACAGATGTGAGCCACTGCGCCCAGCCCTTCTATTTCTTTATAGTCTCTTTTTCATCCTAGTAGAGTTCCTTAGATGTCTGGCAACCTTTTTTCCCTCATGTTTAAGAATAGGGGAATAGGCTGGGTGCGGTGGCTCACGCCTGTAATCCCAGCACTTTGGGAGGCCGAGGCAGGCAGATCACCTGAGGTCAGGAGTTCGAGACCAGCCTGGCCAAAATAGTGAAACCCTGTCGCTACTAAAAATACAAAAAAAAATTAGCCAAGTGTAGTGGTGGGCACCTGTAATCCCAGCTACTTGGGAGGCTGAGGCAAGAGAATGGCTTGAACCTGGGAGGCGGAGGTTGCAGTGAGCCGAGATCATGCCATTATACTTCAGCCTGGGTGACAAGACCGAGACTCTGTCTCAAAAAAAAAAAAGTGGGGAGAGGGAATAAAAAATGAGAAGCTCTGACCATGTTAATATATGGCTGATTTGAGCTAGTATTGGTGCAAAAGTTATTGTGGTTTTGCCATTTAAAAAATTTTTTTTAAAGTTTTGCACCAACTTAGTAACTGACTATAAACTTCACCATAGGATCCCACTAGGCCATTCATTTGGAAAATTTCCCAAGTCCATATCTTTAAGTCTTTCTTCTTAGAGTGGTCAAATTCCCTAGAAACAACTCTTCTGGTATCTTAACTAGAGATCTTTTTGCTAGTATTTTGGTGGCAAACTGGCAATATCTAGGCAGGTATATTTCACTTCACTTAATCTTCCTATTTTCAGTTTGGCATCCACCCCCATCACAGCTAGGGCTCCCAGGTAGAAATTAGTTTTTATCCTTTCAGAGAATAAATCTCCATTCTTTTACCTAGATATATGGAGAAAGTGAAGGGATCTGAAAGTATGGCTGCTTCCAGATCAGACTTTCAGCTTGATTTTTAACTTTTCATTTTGAAATAACTTCAGACTTACAAAAAACATTGCTAAAATAGTACAAAGAGTTTCCATAAACCCTTCACCATTCATCTATGGGAAGCTTTTTAGAGGTACAACTTCCCTAGTTCCTACCCGAGGATTTAAGTGGGTCAACTGGGTTAAGACATAGAAGTGTATGTTTTTAAAAAGGTCTCTAAATAACTAATGTGCATCCAGATTTAGGAGCCACTTTCTTAGACATTATAAATGTTAGGAAAGCATTTATTTATTCATTCAACAAGTATTTATTAAACAATTATGTATTAGACACCGTGCTGGACACCAATGATAGAGATTAATAAATCAGGATCTCTGTTCTAAAGTTGCTTTATTACTAAACGGGTGAAAGAGACATAGAGGCGTAAAATTACAATTCAGTGGGATAAATGCTATGTTAGAGCTACAGAGGTAAGGGACTGGTTTACTTTAGCAGAGAGAATTAAGAAGGGCTTTATGGCTAAGGTAAAAATTTGATCTAGGACTTGAAATCTTATCAGGAATCACCCAAGTAAAAAAGCATATTCTATTAAGAAGGAGCAGCAAGCATTAAAGCAAGGGATTCTGAATGGTTACAGCATATTGTTGGAATGGTAAGAAGATTGATAAAGTGTGGTATATGTGGTTGGTAATGGAGAGAAATAAGGCTGGAGAGGAAGGATGAGGGTGGATTTTAAAGT
Organism: Homo sapiens; assembly: GCF_000001405.40. Lineage (NCBI taxonomy): Eukaryota > Metazoa > Chordata > Mammalia > Primates > Hominidae > Homo > Homo sapiens. Next base: position 200,998,172 of record NC_000002.12, on the reverse strand, counting down.
ACCTTGTAAGAAGGACTTTGATTTTAAAGGACCTTGTGATAAGTTTGGATTTTATTATGAAGTCAGTAGGAAGATGGTAGACTTATTCATAGGGGAGTCATCTGTTCAAGCATGATTGATTGATTGATTGATTTTTTGAGATGGAGTCTCACTCTGTTGCCCGGGCTGGAGTGCAGTGGCACAGTCTCGGCTCACTGCAACCTCCGCCTCCCGGGTTCAAGCAATTCTCCTGCCTCAGCCTTCTGAGTAGCTGGGACTACAGGCATGTGCCACCACACCTGCCTAATTTTTGTATTTTTAATAGAGACGGGGTTTCACCGTGTTAGCCAGGATGGTCTCGATCTTCTGACCTTGTGATCCACCCACTTCGGCCTCCCAAAGTGCTGGGATTACAGGCATGAGCCCCTGCACCTGGCCTGATTTATTTTTTAAAAACGGAAATATAGATGACAAGATGACAGCAAGGGTTATGATTTGTAATAAGGAGAATATAAACAGGGAAACCTTTGAGGAAGATGCTATATTGATTTGATTAAGAAATCATAAAGGTCAATATTAAGGCATTGTCATAACCAGTTGCTAGTAGAAGTAATTATTTGTAATCCTTTTAACCTTGCATTTGTTGTTTTTAGGTTTGAAGTCCTGAGTTTTCTCATGCTGTGTTATAATTCTGCTATTGTATATATGCCTGCCTCATCTTACCAATCTCTTTGTCGGATGGGTTCCAGGTGAGAAGAGTGATTATTACTAATCTTCATATTTATTTGATAGATATTTATTGAGCACATTCTCTAAGCCAAGCACTGTTCTAACTTCTGGTATTACAGCAGTAAACAAAACTCATGGAGCTTGCATTCCTGTAGGAGTCCTTATCCTCATGAGGCTGTTTTTGTTGTTGTTGTTGTTTTGGTTTTTTATGAGATAGGATTTCTCTCTGTCGCCTAGGCTGGAGTACAGTGGCTCAATCATAGCTCACTGTGCCCTCAGCCTTCTTGGCTCAAGGGATCCTCCCGCCTGGGCCTCCCAAGTAGCTGGGACCACAGGTGTACACCACGACTCTCAGCTAATTTTTGTAGAGAAAGGGTCTTGCTATGTTGCCCAGGTTTGTCTTGAAGTTCTGGCCTCAAGCATTCTTGCCACATCAGCCTTCCAAAGTGCTGCGAGTACAGGTGTGAGCCACCATGCCTGGCCTCGTGCATTCTTGAAAATGTTTTCAGCATTAAAGAAATATTTTCTAGCTGAACGTGGAGTTGTACCAAGACATCCAAATCTAGGGTTGTTTAGTGATATATCTTATTCCCTGGTTGCCAGTTTTTGTAAATCACTTTGAGATCTTTGAAAAAAAATAGTGCTATATATGGGGAAAGTCTTAAGGAATATGAACCTCTTCCCATACATTTCATAAATAACTGTCTCTGTGTTGGAGAAAGTGATTAGCAATAGTACCAATGATGTGTGTGTCTCATTTGTATGTAGGGGGTGGATATTCTGTATCTCATGGATTATAATCTTTACTAAATCATAATTTCTAATAATTTGGACAGACCTAGGCTTAAATCTTGTTCTGTCACCCAGACTGGAGTGCAGTGGTGCCATATTGGCTCATTCAACCTTTGCCTCTCAGGTTCAAGTGATCTTCTCACCTCAGTCTCCTGAGTAGTTAGGACTACAGGTGCCCACCACCATGCTGGGCTATTTTTTTTTTTTAAAAGAGACCAGGTTTCACAATGTTGCACAGGCAGGTCACAAACTCCTGGGATTAAGTGATCTGCCTGCCCTGGCCTTCCAAAGTGCTAGGATTACAGGCATGAGCCACCACACCTGGCGTTAAATTTCTACCATAGAAAAAATGTAGGCCAGGGTCAGTGGCCCATGCCTGTAATCCCAGCATGATGGGAGGCCAAGGCCTGAGGTCAGGAGTTTGAGACCAGCCTGGCCAACGTGGTGAAACCCTGTCTCTATACAAAAATACAAAAATTAGCTGGGTGGTAGCGCATGCCTATAATCCCAGCTATTTGAGAGGCTGAGGCATGTGGATCACTTGAACCTGGTAGGCAGGGTTGCAGTGATCTGAGATCACGCCACTGCACTCCAGCCTGGGCGACAGAGTGACACCTTGTCTCAAAAAAAAAAAAAAAAAAAAAGAAAAAAGAAAAATTTAAGTGATACAAATTAGTTCAGAGACAATGGATGTTTAGAGGCACAGAAGTTCAGTTATAGAAGGAATTCTGAATTCAGCCTTTCAAAATGATTTTTACTTGAGGATATCAATCCCCCAAAAAGGTTAAATGTTGTGTTAGTTTTCTATTACTGCATAATAAATTGCTACAAATTGAGCAGGGTAAAACATCACACATCTATTATTTCACAGTTTTTGTGGGTCAGGAATCCAGATGGCTTAGCTGGGGTCCTCTGCTCCTCTGCTTAGCATCTTAGAAGACTGCAGTTAAGATGTTAGCTGGAGTTGCAGTCTCATCTGAGGCTCAGAAGTTTTGTTGGCAGAATTGAGTTCCTGTGGCTGTAGGACTGAGGGCTTCAGTTTTTTGTAGCTGTGTGCTGGAAGCCATCCTTTGCTCCTTGTCATATTGGCCTCCCAACACAGGCAACCTACAACATGGCAGCTTGCTTCTTCAACGTGGGAGGAGTGAGACTCCAGCAAGACCTGTTACCTTATGTAACGTACTCACGTACACATAATCATGGAATCCCATCACCTTTGCCTTATTCTGCTGGTTAGAAGCAAGCTGTAGATCCCACCCGTGCTGAAGGGGAAGGGCATGACACAGTGTGAATACCAGAAAGATCATAGGGATCATGGCTCTCCAAGAGTCTGTCCACCACAAGTGCTTTGCTCAAGGTCACATGCTATTTTGTTACTGGGAAGAGATCCTGCTTATAACAAAACTTATTAATTTTGCCCATCTAAATTAGCTGTTACTTTGATTTTATAGATTACTTAAAAATATGTTTCTCTTAACTGTAATACCATGATTAACAAAATTCTTGTCTCTAATTTAGATGCTACTTAAGCACTTACTCCCTATCTGCAGATAAACTTATTTATAATTCATTACTTTTGGTTCATTAAAAGAAAACTGCTTGTTCTCTTATTGGCAACATTATTGTGGCCTTCAATAGAATTTTTTTCTTTCTTTTTTTTTTTTTTTGAGAGAGTCTTCCTTTGTCACCCAGGCTAGAATGCAGTGGCACAATCATTATACATAGCTCACTGCAGCCTCGAACTCCTAGGCTCAAGCAGTCCTTCCACCCCAGCCTGTTTATTAGCTATGACTATAGGGATGTGCCACCATACTTGGCTAATTTTTAAATTTGTTATAGAGATGGGGTCTCACCGTGTTGTCCAGGCTGGTCTTGAACTCCTGGCCTCAAGTGATCTTCCTACCTTGGTCTCCCAGAGTACTGGGATTACAGGCATGAGTCACCACACCCAGCCTAATAGAATTTCTTAATAACAAAAATGATGGCGGAGTTTAGTGGTCCTCAAACTTTTGTTCTTTTGTTCATATATCCTCTACAGAATTTTGAAAAACTATGTATGTACTCCTTGTACATTGTTAAGTTGACATTAAAAAATTTTCATCCTATCTTAAATAGGTAGAAATGATATAATTTCTAGGCCAGGCGCGGTGGCTCATGCCTCTAATCCCAGCACTTTGGGAGTCCAAGGTGGGCAGATCACCTGAGGTCAGGGGTTTGAGACCAGCCTGGCCAACATAGTGAAACCCCATCTCTACTAATTAGCCGGGAGTGGTGGCACATGCCTGTAGTCCACTACTTGGGAGGCTACTCGGGAGGCTGAGGCAGGTGAATTGCTTGAAACTGGGAGGCAGAGGTTGCAGTGAGCCGAGATCAGGCCACTGTACTTCCAGTCTGCGCGGCAGAGCGAGACTCCGTCTCCAAAAAAAAAAGGAAATGATATAATTTCTAGTATGGAAGTATCTACATAATTAAAAAAATAACTGTTGGGTCACTGTTTTAAATATATGTAATGTAAATACCATAGTGGTGTGATACTCACCATCATCCATTTGAGGAATAAATGAAGAAACTTTTCTTTAATGGTCTAACATTACATTTATTCCTTTTTCTCCTTGAAATTGAAGAAGAAATTTCCATTCCCCTTTCCCCACATGGTTTTATCTTAATATAATGCTATTTTTATTTATTTATTTATTTATTTTTGAGACAGAGTCTCACTCTGTCACCCAGGCTGGAGTGAAGTGGCGTGATCTCGGCTCACTGCAAGCTCCACTTCCCAGGTTCACGCCATTCTCGTAGCTGGGACTACAGGCACCCGCCACCATGCCCGGCTAATTTTTTTTTTTTGTATTTTTAGTAGAGACGGGGTTTCACCGTGTTAGCCAGGATGGTCTTGATCTCCTGACCTCGTGATCCGCCTGCCTCAGCCTCCCAAAGTGCTGGGATTACAGGCGTGAGCCACCACGCCTGGCCATATAATGCTATTTTTAAATTGCAGGTCTTTTATTGTATGTCTCTGCTATAAAAAATATATAAACAATTAAAAAAAAATTTCCCAAGACCATAAGGCACTAAACACTGAAAGATTTCTTCTGGACTCACTATTATAATTATCTTACTAAATTAATTGATTAAATAATGTAGTATATTACAACTGTTGATCATTATCAAGCATAACTTTTTTGGAAGCATCACTTAATGAGATTGAATGGATGTTAGGGAGTTGTTTATAGTTCTTTGTTTAAAAATGGCCTCACAGACAACAGTATTTTGAAATGTCCTTTTGTTTTGAGATCTCTATACTTCCCAGTAATTCACCCTGATACAATTTGGGGTGAGTAAAAGTTAGACATTTTTGTGTGTATGTGTGTGAAGAGAAAGAAGGATGATTGCGAAAGAGATGATTAGCTATTTCAGAAAAGTTGCTTTTATGGGCAGTCCACTAGAATGAGTGCTTTATGAGAGCACAGATTTCGGATTTTTATTTTTTATTTTTTATCTTTCACCTGTTCACAACTGTATGCCTAGGCCCAGAACGATGACTGGTATATAACAGGCACTCAATATATACTTGAGGAATGAATAAATTGAATAAATGAATTTAGGAAAACAAAAACTATTTTATTTGATGAATCTGGAAATCACATGTTAAATAGTGTATTTTCCTAGGGTTTGTGTGAGTGGCTTTCCACGGCAACATGAAAAACACTGGAAAGAACTCTGTGGTCGAATAGTATTGGATCCTGAATTTATGGTGCAACTTCTCACAGGGGTTTATTATGCCATGTAAGTAGGTGGAATATAAAATTGTATGAATTCTTCCTAATGTTTAGAAACTTTGAATATTTCTCTTTCTTCCTTATCCGACACAATACTGAATCTTTTGTTCCATGATGGGCTTATCTTGTTTTTCTAATATGGTTTCCTTTTAGTACTTTTAAATAAGCCAAAATATAACATAACTAGTCATTAAAATTGGAGTCTAGAAATTGTCAGGTTTTCTGTATGGAAAACTATCTCTACATAGTTCATAACCCAGGTTTTCATGAACGCATTGAAAAGATTACTCTAAATATCAGCATGTAATAAAAACCAATTTATGTGAAGAAACATTTGTAAACATAATATTTAAAATCTGTTTTGTTTTTATAACCAAAAGTGGGATAGTTTATAAATGAAATGACGTAACACTTGGTATGAAAGTTTTGCTTCACAACCAAAATAGCAGGACTTGGAACAATTTAAAAAGTTGTGCTGAAGATTAGATATTTGCTCAAGAGTATAAATGATCTGCTTCTTCATAGGTATAATGGACAGTGGGACCTTGGCCAGGAAGTTCTTGATGATATCATTTATAGAGCCCAGCTAGAGCTTTTTTCTCAACCACTATTGGTAAGTTATTATCTTAACTCTTTATTAAATATACTGGTACCTAAAAAAGGTACTAGGTTAAAAATGTAAGACAATCCAAATAATTAGGGGAAAATTTGTATTCCATGATAACAGTTGGTTAACTGTTAGAGAAAAAACAAAATAGGTTTAGGTCCTTTCCACCTTCCAGTACCAAAATAAAGTTCAGATAAAGTGAATAACTAAACGTTTTGAAATCCTTTAAGAAAAGAGAGAAGAAAAGGTTCTAAATATTCAGATTTCTAGAGAAGGGAAGATTTCTAAGCATAAATGATAGGACAAGTCACTAAAATAAGATTGATTTGCCCACCTCCCCCCCCGGCCCCGACATAAACACCTAAATTCTAAGCCATTAGGATTTTGGGGGTTTTTTTGTTTCTTGTTTTGTATTTTTTTTATAGGGACAGGGTCTTTCTGTGTTGCCAAGGCTGGCCTCAGCCTCCCAGAGTGCTGGAATTACAGATGTGTGACACCACACCCAGCCTATTCCATCAGTTTTTTTAAATTTTTTATTTTTATTTTGTTTTTGATACGAAGTCTCTCTCTGCCACCCAGACTGGAGTGCAGTGGTGTGATCTTGGCTCACTGGAACCTCTGCCTCATGGGTTCAAGCGATCCTCCCATCTTAGCCTACCAAGTAGCTGGGATTGTAGGCATCACCATGCCCAGGTGATTTTTTCTTTTTTTTTTTTTTGAGACGGAGTCTTGCTCTGTCTCCTATGCTGGAGTGCAGTGGCGCTATCTCAGCTCACTGCAACCTCCGCCTCCTGGGTTCAAGCGATTCTCCTGCCTCAGCCTCCTGAGTAGCTGGGACTATAGGCGTGTGCCACCACACCTGGCTAATTTTTTATATTTTTAGTAGAGATGGGGTTTCACTGTATTAGCCAGGATGGTCTCGATCTCCTGACCTCGTGATCCACCCACCTCGGCCTCCCAAGCGAATTTTTGTATTTTTAGTAGAGATGGAGTTTCACTATGTTGAACAGGCTGGTTTTGAAATCCTGATCTCAAGTGATCTGCCTGCCTTGGCCTCCCAGAGTGCTGGGATTATAGGCATGAGCTACCACGCCTGGCCTCCATCACGTTTTTAAAAGCAAAATTAATATATGCAGGGCACAAACTGAGAAACATATTTTCAGCAGTCATGATACAAATAAGCAAATTAATATTTCATTCTATGTAAAAAGATTTTGTACTCTCCCACAAAATAAACAAATCTCCAACTGGTAAGTGATCAATTAAAAAACAAATGTAAGGCTGGGTGCAGTGGCTCATGCCTGTAATTCCAGCACTTTGGGAGGCTGAGGCGGGTGGATCACCTGAGGCCACAAGTTCAAGACCAGCCTGGCCAACGTGGCAAAACCCCGTCTCTACAAAAAAATACAAAATTTAAGGCCAGGGGCTGTGGCTCACACCTGTAACCCAGCACTTCGGGAGGCCGAGGCGGGTGTATCACGAGGTCAGGAGTTCAAGACCAGACTGTCCAAGATGGTGAAACCCCATCTCTACTAAAAATACAAAAAATTAGCTGGGCGCGGTGGCGGGCGCCTGTAATCCCAGCTACTTGGGAGGCTGAGGCAAAGAATTGCTTAAACCCGGGAGGTGGAGGTTGCAGTGAGCTGAAATCATGCCACTGCACCTCAGCCTGGGCAACAGAGTGAGACCCCATTTGAAAAAAAAAAAGAAAAAAAAATTTAGCGGGATGTGGTGGTGCACACTTGTAATTCCAGCTGCTTGGGAGGCTGAGGCATGATAATTGCTTGAACCTGGGAGGCAGAGGTTGCAGTAGGCTGAGATCATGCTACTGCACTCTAGCCTGGGTGACAGAGCAAGACCTTGTTTCAAAAAACAAAACAAAAAAAAATGTAAATATCCAGTAGTGAAGTGAGGAAGGCATTCTTTATGTTACAGTAGTAGTATGACACAACTCTGACTATCCCCTGAAGAAGCAGTTTGGTAATGTGTGTTTATTTCTTTGACCCTCTATCCCATGTCTAGCAATGTATTCCAGGAAACTAAACTTAAATTTAATACCAAAATTATAAATACCAAAGACAATGTATTATAAGCACAACATTACAGTTTTATTTCTAATTGCAAAGGAATAAAAACAGTCTAAATGTCCCACAGCAGAGAATGATTTAAGTTATATAATATTTACTTGATGAGATTATATATTTGAGGTTTTATATTAAAGGGAAGTGCTAGCTTGTATGAGGTAGAAAAACAGTATACAACTATTTTTTAGATCTAGACAGGACAGAGGAAACATACAAAATGCTATAATAGTTGTCTCGGTGATTTGACTATGGATTTTTATTCCTTTCCAATTTCCTAAGCTTTTTGTAATATTTTGATAACAGTATTCTTAAAATACTATTTTCTACTTGCAGCATTGTAAGAATACAGCTTTTTATTTTATTGTTTCAAAAAATTACTATTATTTTTTGAGACAGGGTCTCACTCTGTCACCTATACTGGAGTGCAGTGGTGTGATCACAGTTCACTGTAACATCCACCTTCCGGGCTCAAGTGGTCCTCCTGCCCCAGCCTCCTGAGTAGCTGGGACTACAGGTGCATACCAGCACACCCAGCAAATTTTCGTATTTTTTTGTGGAGACGAGATCTCACCATGTTGCCCAGTCTGGTCTCAAATTCCTGGACTCAAGTGATCTGCCTGCTTCAGCCTCTCAAAGTGGTGGGATTACAGGCATGAGCCACCTTGCCTGGCCCAGCTTCTCAAAAGCCATTTTATTTATATCATTTTTAAAATACTTTAAGCTAAATATAAATTTATTGAGGTAGCATTTGCAGTAATTCTCCATTTGAATTCCCATTTGTTTCCTAATCTTACCCTAAGAGTTATATTAAAACAAATGGATAAAAAGATTAAAAAATTATATCATCATAGTAGTACCTTGAACTTATGAATCTCTTTAAATTAATAGTTTATCCTTTCAACAATCTTGTAAATTAAGTAGAGGTGGCATTTCCAAGGCAATACAGGTAAAGAGATTAGTAACTCTAGTGTTACTAACAGTATTCTTTTATTGTCAGTGGTCTCTGAGGGACCCAGTAATAATACCCTTTTTCCCTATTCAAATCTAGAGCCACGTGATAAACAGAAAAATAGTTCGTAGATGGGGAACAAGTATTTTCATTACTGTTAAAAGCTAAATTGAAAGACTCAACTTTCCTTCACATCTAGACCTTGGAACAGCCCACTGGAAAGAATGTTTGAGTGAGCTGATCAGGCACACCTATCCAGGCTGCTTAATTCCACATGGGCTTGTCCAAGTGGAGAGGGAAGGAGCAAGACAATCCTTTAGCTCAAGATTTTTGCTAGATTAGTACAACCCAATTAGGAAACATGCATCAGTCAAATGGCAATTACCAGGTATGTCACTTTCCTTTTCAGGGAGCAGAAAATGGTAGGACAAAATGCCAGAAGTATTTAGGGAACATTTCTCCTCATGTAAACAGAAGAGTGGAGAACATCCTAATGTTTATCAGAGATTAAATTTTGCATGTTATTTATCATCTGAAGAATCAGACAATTCTAAATTGTCTCATAATCAGAGTTTATATGTTAATTCTTTCTTTGGAATGCTTTTTCTCTTTGAAAGTCAACAATTTTAAGGCATCAGTGGGGTATGTGACTCATATTTTAGAAATTCTCATTTGAAAAGCCTGCTTAAAAGAATACAGAACAACAAAGATATGTTTATTACACATTATAATGCAAATTTTAAATACATATTCGAAAATTATGGACACATGTAGTATAAACAAAAACTGCATATTGATTGTAAACTTGTATAGACTTATATTATCATTGTAGGTTGCCAATGCCATGAAAAACTCATTACCATTTGATGCTCCTGATTCTACACAAGAAGGCCAGAAAGTCCTTAAAGTTGAAGTCACTCCAACAGTGCCGAGGATTTCTCGGACTGCAATTACAACAGCTTCAATCCGTCGTCATAGATGGAGAAGAGAAGGTGAGTACAAAATCCCCATAGTCCACACATGGAGTCAAGTAAATTTATCACTGTTTTTACAGACTGTCTTAGCACGTGATATTAAAAGACCCTGTATAATTAAAGTAATTTTTTTTGTTAAAAATATCACTAGAAATGTGACTAAATGTCTAAAGTTATTTTAATATGTATTTATAAAATAGATGTTTAGATTGCTGTATAAAGATTAAAACAAAATAAGATGAGGTTAAATTTTGTCTTTTTTTGAACTAAATAAGAACAATAGGAAAGAAGTTGCTTTAACCTTGTTACCATACTGGAAAAAAAAAGGTGCACATATGAGCACTGTGGGAAAAACTATATAACTGGCCAAACTAACAGTATAATGCAAGCTATTCATAAAATGATTTATTCTTGATTTTGGATTTTTATCTTTGCCTTTCCTTTTTTTGTAAGTGCTGAATCCAGCAGTATTTCATACACATGGTACTTGAATAGTCAAGCTGTCTTGCCTAAGAGATATTGCCATTTTAATGATCCTGATTTTTCTGTCTTAATTCATTTGCAAACCTCACATTGTTCATCTGCTGCCTTATGTGTGTGCACAGCATGCACACACATGTAACTATATAAATAGTGTTTGTGTTTATATCATATCCATATATACATTCTCTTATCTGCCTGGGTCAAAATGCTCAGAAAATAATAGAGCAGCATAAAAGCACTAAAATGTTATATGTTGAATCCCAGATGGCTTTGACTTCTCAAACGAGGCTGACTCGAGTATTCCTGGCTCCCCGATCCAACACGGCTCCACTGACCTAGGGATCAAACGTGTGCAAGAGGGGGAGGTGCTGGTGCGCAGGACCCCTGAGCATGGCTCGCCGGAGCCCAACTCAGCAACAGCCACAACAGAGGGTAGGACAGAGATGAGGAGGCAGAAGTCAGTGAGGCAGTTGCTGGAGAAGGATCCTGGCTCTCTATCCCCAAGCAGAGCATCTTTCCATTCTAATGTGTGTTTCTAGTACCCCAGGGTGTATTAGCTTCTCTTTGCAAAGCACCCTCCCTCCTCATATACATAGCACCAGGTCAGGTGCAATCTTTAGTTACTATTTGTGCTGGCCTGGAGTCTGCATCCCTGTGTAATCAAGGAACAGCTTGGCATGGCTACTAACAAGGCAGGGTCCTGTCTCCAAAAGGTCTGCAAATGCTTGGAATTTTTTTATTACTGAGCATGTTTATTCTAACATTAGGAAAGAAAAATGCACCCAGTGGACATGAGCCTTATTCATCAATATGAATGATTTTATTTATACAATAATTTATTCTTTAAAATTTTGTGAAGAGAGTTTTAAAACATTAGCATATTATCATTAAGACATTGAAGTGGAGCCAGCTGATTTATCTGTAATTCTATGGTGTTCAATGGACAATTTCTCAGCTCTTTGACAAAGTATGCTGATATTCATTGGCTTTATCATCTGTAGATTAAGTTGCTTAGGCCTAACTAGTAAACTACTGATACCTTCTAGAAATGTGCTATCCTGATGCACAGTACATTTTACAATTTATTGTAAATAATGGTTGTATTCAATTCAATGGAATTAAAATGTATTATTCTATTTAGAGGTCAGATATCCTAGTAGAGCCTTATTTCTACAATGTAGGTATCGCAACATGGAGGGGTTTTTTAATACCCTTCCCCCCCGAACCCCCATCTGTAAAAGAATGCTTCTCTTTGTTGGAAAAGTATTTACTTACTGTTTTGCATGTAATGCCGTAGGAATTTTTAGCTTTGTAAAAGAGGGAACTGTAGCCAGTTTTTTTAAAAATTATTTAATGTATTGCTACTGTGGAACCTTTATACTTATTTATGAAATCAAGCAAGTAGCTTTAAAAGAGGTTATATATTTTTACTTAAAGACCAAACATACATAAAGCAGTTAATTTCCACCATAGGGAACTCTTGCTCTTTGGTGCATTAGAAATTTGAGCATGCTCAGTAAGAATCTAAATCTACCCTCTGTTCCCTTGCCCATTTACCCAGATTGACCTTAATTCATTTAACAGTGTTGCATGTGCATGACCTAGGGACCCAAAAAAGTTGGTGCTGTTTGAGAGATCCTTTAAATGGCTCTGAAAGATGGCAGCGTTCCCTTTTTCCCCTGTATCTTATTACATTATCCCTAGGAGTAAGTTTTATCTTGTATAAACACATAACAATAAAAAGATGAATAGATGTGGAACCCAGAGTTGGCCTAAACTGAACATTCCTGAATGACTGAGCCACTTATCTACTACTATTGCTAGAATATTGGAAGTATTTATGCTAAATATAGTACTATGTTAATCAACAGTTGCTGAAATTCCAGAAAGTGTGGGATTAGATTGAAGCATTCCTTCCAGTACATCGAGTCATACACTTTGAAACAAATGAAACAAAATAGTAGTTCCTTTTTAATATCCTATAAAATATTAAAATATCCTATTTTAATATCTATCACTGGTAAAATTTCAATTTGGGGGAGGGAGGGAGAGGGTGTAGCCACAAGGAAAGAGGAATGTTTCCTTATTTTACCTTTTAATCCAGATTATTTGTAGTTTTATTTATTTATTTTTTTGAGGCAGGATCTCACTCACGTCGCCCAGGCAAGAGTGCAGTGGCACAATCAAGGCTCACTGTAGCCTCAACTTCCTGGTCTTAAGTGATCCTCCCACCTCAGCCTCTGGAATAGCTAGGACTACAGGCACGCCACCACAGCCGGCTAGTTTTTTTGTATTTTTAGTAGAGATGGGGTTTTGCCATGTTGTCTAGGCTGGTCTCAAACTCCTGGGCTCAAGCAATCTGCCCACCTCAGCCTCCCAGGGTGCTGGGATTACAGGCATGAGCCACCGCCCCTGGCCTATTTGTAGTTTTAAATCAGTATTAACAGAAGCCAAATGTGTAAGTAAAGTCAGCCATGAATAGAAAAGTTCATTAAAAATCCATTTCATAGCTTCTTGGCGTTCAGTGTAAATACAAAAAGGAATAAAAAAAAATAAAAAAATTCCATTTCAGATGTCTCCTCTTTGGACCATGAATGGTATTGTTATCACCTTTGGAGAAAATTACAAAGGAAAAATGTTTTGAGACACAATTGCCTTTTTCTTTCTTGAGGGTTTTTTCTCGACCCCCAGATGGTCTCACTCTGTTGCCCAGGCTGGAGTGTAGTGGCACAGTCATAGCTCACTGTAACCTCAGACTCCTGGGCTCCAGCAAACCTCTGGCCTCAGCCTTCTCAGTAGCTAGGACAACAGGCATGTCACCATGCCCAGTTAATTTTTAAATTGTTTGTAGAGATGGGGTCTTGCTATGTTGCCCAGACTAGTCTTGAACTCCCAGGCTCAAGCAATCCTCCTATCTTGGCCTCCCCAGGTGTGACCCACTGCAGCCAGCCTCCTTAAGATTCATAGCTCACTGCCACCTCGAATTCCTGGACTTAGTGATCCTTCTACCATTGCCTCCTGAGTAGCTGGGACTATAGGTGGGTGCCATCACATCTGGCTAATTTTTTAACTTTTTATGGAGATAAGATCTTGCCATTTGCCCAGGCTGGTCTCAAACTCCTCAACTCAAGGGATCTGCCTGTCTTGGCTTCCCAAAATGTTGGGATTACAGGCGTAAGCCACCATACCCCACCAAGCTTTTTAAACAGAAGAAAGGAAATTACTAAAACCTATGAAAAGTCTTGGTAATTCTGAACTCTGCTCAAGCTTTTGGATTAACATAGATTATTGACTAGTTTTCTGCTATGATGGCTTTAAATAATTTTACAATTAAAATTGGGTTTATTACATGTTGAAATTGAAGGGACAATATAAGCCCATCACTTACTTTTCTCCTGATTGTCAAGTACATTCTATTTATGACTTTTAAAGCTGGAGTTAAGATTATTACTAAACTGGCCAGGCACGATGGCTCATGCCTATAATATCAGCACTTTGGGAGGCCCAGGCAGGTGGATTGCTTAAGCCCAGGAGTTTGACACCAGCCTGGGCAACATGGCAAAACCCCATCTCTACAAAATATACAAAAATTAGCCAAGCATGGTGGCAGATGCCTGTAGTCCCAGCTGCTTAAGAGGCTGAGGTGGGAGGATCACTTGAGCCTGGGAGGTTGAGGCTACAGTGGGCTGTGATCGTGCCACTGCACTCCAGCCTATACAACAGAGTGAGACCTTGTCTCAAAAAAAAATAATAAAAATAAATAAATGTTTTTAAAAATTATTACTAAACTGAAGATAATACCTGTGATTAAAGTACAATCAGTATTCCATTATATATACTAAGCATTTCTTAGTATATAAAATATCAGTAGATTCTCTTGCATGGTGGCTTTTATGTTATCATCTTTTTTATGGCCATATTGCTTGGGCATCAGATCTGCATGTAGCAAGATTCAGAAGCTAGCACTAAGTCTCTCAGTCTCCTTTCCTAATAAATATACCTAATGATACATTTCTGTTCACTCCCAGTTTTATATCACTAATATCAATTCTGACCCAATAACTATCCTTTCTTGGGCATTTTGGAGTTCTTTATACTAATTGTAAGTAAATTACTAAAATGTATCATATGAATATAATTTAAAGTTTTTATTTTGAGGTACATTATAAAAGTACATTATATACAGTTCTTTTGAAGAGGTTGAGAGAAGTGGTGTCAGCTGCTACTGTTCTTAGTAAATGCATTTTCATATGGCTTTGCATGATGATTAAAGATTATTAAACTGCTGGATATAATAAGGTGCCTTTTGCTTTAAGGATAGCTTATTTCATTCTTTAGAAGGAAGAAAATAATCCATATGAGTAAATATAGCTAAGTAAATAGTTTATTTTTCCAGGTGCTATGTTAAATAAAAGATTGTGTTTAAATATTTTGTATATATTTTGCTTAGGTAACCTATATCTCTAATATTTGTTTAGATTCTTTCCTAACATTTTTACCTTACCTGTAATGTTGATATCTGTTTTGTAGATTCAGATTAAACTTTACAGAAGTCTGGAAAATGTATTTAATAGGTAGCAAACCAATATGAGTTATTGAAAGAAGCAAATGTATTACTTTCTAAGAGAATATTCATCATACTTTCAGTAAGAGAATTGGCTTTCTGTAAACTGCAAGCTCAGTATATTATATATTCTTCTCTTCTTCCTACAAAAACCCAAGATAAGAATTCTGTTGTTGGCCGGGCGCGGTGGCTCATGCCTGTAATCCCAGCACTTTGGGAGGCTGAGGTGGGCAGATCACTTGAGGTCAGGAGTCGGAGACCAGCCTGGCCAACATGGTGAAATCCCATCTCTACTAAAAATACAAAAATTAGCTGGGCGTGGTGACACACGCCTGTAATCCCAGCTACTCGGGAGGCTGAGGCAGGAGAATTACTTGAACCTGGGAGGCAGAGGTTGCAGTGAGCTGAAGATCGTGCCACTGCACTCCAGTCTGGGTGACAGAGCAAGACTGTCTCAAAAAAAATAAATAAATAAATTATTTTGTTAACTGCAGTTTCTGCATGAAATGAAATGTGATGGGACACTATCGTATTTTGTGATTATGACAATACATCTCAATACTAAGAATCTAAAATATAGAAATAATTACATAAAATATTATCAAAACATACCATATAGAAAATATAAATCCTTAAATACCCCTGCTGGTTCCCTACCACTGCTCTCTGATATTTTCTTCACATTAATTGATCAAAATATGGAAACCAGTGAGTAGAAAAGGCCATAGACAAAATATGACTGTGAAGTTACAGAAGCAATATAGTTTTGAGTTATTTAAAAAATTTGCTAGTTCCATGTTAAAGGTTCTAAAACCATATAGAAGCAGTTAACCAACCACTGAGTAAATATAAAATTTTATTATAGTTAAAAAGAGTTTGGCCTGTAAGCATAAATGGGTTTTTGGTATAATTCTGGATAACTGGAATTAGAAGAGGGTCTCTTTTGCACATCTTATGGTGGGTTAAAGAAGGTATGAGGGGAAAAGTTTTTTTTTTTTTTTTCCAGTAGGTAGATATGGTCATTTCAGAAGAAGAATGATAGTGTATTATAAAAATTTATGTTAACAAACTGTTGTATTTTACCTAGTCGTTTTACATGCCTAAATATTGACAGTATACTAGATATGTTTGTGGATAGTTGTACAAAAACTGGACTAAATAAAGCTAAACTAACATCTATTAGCATAGTAGAATTCTGTGTAGATTAAGATTTCCCCTAAATTATTTAGGGGAAGTGTTGATAGTAGGGCCATTGACAACCTATAGCGAACATTGCCCAAGAGATAAGGTCAGTGTTGTTATTCACAGCTGCTTCTTATTTAATTTAGCTATTGCTGAGTCTGTCTGATTTGTTTTCTTAGGTGCTGAGGGTGTAAATGGAGGAGAGGAGTCTGTAAACCTGAATGATGCAGATGAAGGATTTTCATCAGGGGCTTCCCTCAGCAGTCAGCCAATTGGGACCAAACCATCCTCCTCTTCTCAGAGGGGAAGCTTAAGGAAAGTAGCAACTGGGCGTTCAGCCAAGGATAAAGAAACAGCCTCTGCCATCAAATCCAGTGAGAGCCCTCGAGATTCAGTAGTTCGCAAGCAGTATGTACAGCAACCAACTGATCTTAGTGTAGATTCAGTTGAGCTGACACCAATGAAGAAACACCTGAGCCTGCCTGCTGGCCAGGTGGTGCCAAAAATCAATAGCTTAAGTCTAATCCGGACAGCCAGTGCTTCCTCAAGTAAATCATTTGACTATGTAAATGGCAGTCAAGCAAGTACCAGCATTGGGGTTGGCACTGAGGGAGGTACTAATTTAGCAGCCAACAATGCTAATCGATACTCAACTGTCAGTCTGCAGGAAGACCGGCTAGGTCAAGCTGGCGAAGGTAAAGAGCTCCTCAGCCCAGGAGCCCCCTTGACCAAGCAGTCTCGATCCCCAAGTTTCAATATGCAGCTAATATCCCAGGTGTAGTTTTGACATCCTCCCTCATCTTTCTGCTTACCTTTTAAACTGAACATTTCATTGTGCAAGAAGACACTTCATCCCACATTGTGAAAATATTGGTCACTGTTATCAGATTTCATTTAGTTTAGGTATCTTCATACTGTATTTTGTATCAAAACAGCAATAAGGTTTTCTTTATCCCTCTTTCCTACATCTTCTCTTCACCTATCCCTTGTAAATGTGTTTGTGAAGCAGTATAAAATGGTTGCCTTTTCCATGCCTTCCTTTCTCCTTGGGTGATGTGCAATCCATCGTAGGCTGATCGGTCCCATTTCAACACTGTGAGACTGAGGGTACATTAGAGGAAATGGTGTATATGATCCCTATGAAACGATTCTTTGGCTTTTGTTTAAAAACAAAACGGGTTTGTTCTCATAATCTATAGAACTATGAAGATTACTGGATCATATTTTTTTCTCTTAACCAGGAGTGCCTCAGAGATTCTGCTATGACTTTGGACTTCTCTGAGTCTGTGCAATCATTTTCTGGAGAAGCATGGGGAAAGGTGGTAGACTGCTGCACTTTTTCATTAAAATGAGGGTAGCTCTTTCTCCACCCCCCCATCTCCTTTATCCCGAAGACATAAATGTTCAATTACGGAGGCATTTAAATCAAGTTGTGACCACCTCCATTGGAGGGCAGGACTCTTGATTGTGTAATTGATAATGCACTTTCTCAATGGCTGTATAGTCATTATTAACGTGTCTTCCCTCTTCCCCACAAGGACATATAAGGTCATTTCTGTCCTTCAAGTTTGGCCAACTAACAAATCAGAATCTGAGGGGCATGTTCTATTTCCCAGGAATGATTGACACTTTGGTGCTGGGGTTTTGTGGGGGCGGGGGGTAGTTTTTGTTTAGCTTTTGTGGAGATTGTGTGTGTGAGAGGAGATTTGATTTTTTTTTCTTCTTTTCCTTTGTGAGCTGATGGCTGAAGTGTAACAGTACATCTTCAGGTAAAGAGAGGGATTTCTCAATCTACTTTCTGTTATGTCAGACTATAAGAGAAACCCTTTCAGCTGCTTTCTAGATGTACCTAAATTCAGTCAGACATTTTGGATTAAGAAACCTAAAGTCCTGATACATTACATACTCCAAGGAAATATATCAGGGACAGACAATTGGCTGAAACACTGATACTTCAATGTGACACATTTTTATAGAACATTTCTACCAGGGGGTACTGACCTTGATTTCTCCTACAAGGACCACACTGCCTTTGTGTTTAATGTAATGCAATTTGTGTACCTTCTAATCATATATCTGCAGTTCCTCATTTTTATAAAACTTTGATATCATGCCAGTAAGCTAGATGTTGAATGTATGTAAGTAGCATTTGGTAACTGCTAAGAGGTTACAAAAACATTATTGGTAAAAAAAATTTCCTTAGTTCTGATCTGGTTGGATAAGATTTTATCATAACTTTTCTGGGTCTCAGGCTCTGATGTTTGAAAAAGAAGGGAATATATTGGGTTTTAAAAAAGTGTATTGTGACTTAAACTGTTATAAGTTATCCTTCCACAGAATACATCAGAGCTATCAGTGCTTTGTACATTTAGATGTTTTTACTTGATTATTGTTTAAGAAAAATATACTGAATTTATAGAAAGCAAGTATTCTCCTAATTAGCAAAAGTTAAAATTTTATCTCTACCATTAAAATTACAATAGATTTTGATAAATAACCAGAAAAAACGCCTTTTTTTTTTTCACACCTAGCAATCCTCCCGTTTTTATTGTAAGGACTTTCTTTTTTCCCTAAGAGACTTTCTGTTAGACTCTTTATATATGAGATGCTTGTTTAAATATGGTGGTCTGTAACATTTTTCCAGCTCATGTGAAAATGGAAAACTAGAACCTGAACTAGTATCTACAACATTGCCAAAGTCCAGGGTAAAGCTAAAAGTTGATAAGTAGACAATTTATTGTTTTGTGTGTGTCTGTGTGTGTGTGTGTGTGTGTGTGTGTGTGTGTATGGTGTGTATATGTATATATCACAAAGTTGTATTTTAAATATTTTAAATACCCTTTCTTTTAATTTAAGGGATGTCAAATAAATGAAAGGAGTTTAAAAATAGCCAAAATAAATGAGCTATAAAGGCCCATAACATACTAAAACAGGCAGTTTCAGGTATGTAAGGAAAGGAACATTATACTTACCTAGAAAGTGAGATCTAAAAAAAAATTAAAAATAAATAAAAAATAAAAAAGAAAGTGAGATCTTGGCTATGGCTGGAGGTCAGTCACTTTATGGCATAAATTATTTGGGAGGTAAAAAGACTGTTTTCAATTCAAATTGTGCATTTATTGGCATCTAAATCTAGCATGATTTTGGTTAGAGCACAAAAGAAATACCACATAATACCAAATCACAGCAAATGTTAGAATTAATACAACAAAATTTTCCTTTGGCTAGAAATCTTATGTTATACCTGAAAAATTGGTTTTAAAAAATGTTCATCTTGGCCGGGCACGGTGGCTCACGCCTGTAATCCCAACACTCTGGGAGGCTGAGGTGGGTGAATCATGAGGTCAGGAGTTCGAGACCAGCCTGGCCAACATGGTGAAACCCTGTCTCTACTAAAAATACAAAAAATTAGCTGGGCGTGGTGGCAGGCGCCTGTAATCCCAGCTACTCGGGAGGCTGAGGCAGGAGAATCTCTTGAACCTGGGAGGTGGAGGTTGCAGTGAGCCAAGAATGCACTACTGTACTCCAGCCTAGGCAACAGTGCAAGACTCCATCTCTGAAAAAAAAAAAAAAAAAAAAAAAAAAAGTTCATCTTAGAGGATTTTATTTATCTGTATGTATATACATATATGTTTGTATGTATACATACCCACATTAACATTTTATGACCCTGTAACATTTGTTTTCTATTCTTTTAGGTGATGTGAATTGACCTCAGTGAAGAAACATTTCATTTAGTCTAAGCCTTGCATTCAGGGTCTTACAACAGATTTCTTGTGCAAGAATTATTATTAGTTAAAATGGAAGGTGTTAGTTTAACAAACTGAGAGTCAAATTTTCTAAGTTTTTAAATATGCATTTTAACATGCATTATTTTTGGCATTTAATTTAAAATAGTTTTGTTTCATGTATACAACAGCTGTTACAGATATATGCCAGCAATATTCATACTTTTTTAACAAGCTTTTGTTATATATTTTCTAATCTCCATAAAAGTCTAATCATCTATGAAAAAGATATTTAGGGAGAAAATACTTGTTTTCTGTAATAAAACAATTAGGTTGGTGCCATGTATGCCAAGTTGGATAAAAGAATACAAAGAAACAGCTGAAGGTTTTGGGAGCTCGCTCTGACATTAATTACTAGAAAGCAAACTAAAATGCAAAGTGAATAGTTAACTCAGAAGATTTGAATTTTTTGAAATAGGGTCTCACTCTGTCCTCTAGGCTAGAGTGCAGTGGCACTATCACGGCTCACTGCAGCCTCAACCTCCCTGGGCTCAGGTGATCTTCCCACCTCAGCCTCTGGAGTAGCTGGAACTCCAGGCATGCACCACCACACCTGGCTAATTTTTGTATTTTTAGTAGAGACGAGGTTTTGCCATGTTGCCCAGGCTGGTCTCGAACTCCTGGGCTTAAGAGATCCACCCACCTGGCCTCCCAGAAGTGCTAGGATTACAGACATAACTACCACACCTGGCCTGAAGATTTTTAAATGTGAAAATATTTTAAGAAGCTAAGGGGAAAATCGTTATTTTAAAATCCTGATCCCCTTAACTTTACCCCTTACCATTCCCCTTACCTTTCCAATTCACTTTTGTCTATTTATTATAGAATCAGAATTGTGCTAAGAAGAAACCCTGGAGATAATCTAGCTAGTCTCCCACTCCCTCACCCCAACCTTCATCCTCAAGAAACAGAGGCTCAGAGGTTGTGGTGTGATCAAGATCATATACCTAAAGCAGAGCCAGAATCAAACCCAGTCTCCCATGGGTTTGGGGAGGCAGTGGGTTGTTAACTCCATTTTTGCAGTTTCTTTATAGTTCTGGTCTAGTAGTTGGTGAATACAACACATTAAGAAAAGTGTTAAATCCAGAAAAAATGTAGAGTAATCTAGATGGGGAAATGTTGGAAATGTTAAGTATATCTACAGATGTAAGGATCAATACATTATTCTAATTTATGCCTTACTATTTTCTGCCACATAACAGTTGTATGCTGCCATTTTATAGTTGAATACATTTGTTGGGATTTATTTAAATATAAAATAAACCCTGTGAAATGGCTTTGATCAGTGTTTTCTAGTTATTTTAAAGTAATTTTTGAGTCAGCCAGCTTTCAGTCACCAGTGTGGCAAGCTAATTATATTGCACAATAGAGTATTGCAAAGTAAAGATTAAATAAATTTGATTCCATTACTTTTTAATGTAGAAAGAGACTGAATCTTATGCTTAGAGCAAATGCAAGCAATATTTCCTTATATGATTGAAAAAGGTTCTATAGTGTGAAGCTTATGATTCCATAATGGAACAGTGACCATGATGTCATTTAAAGTGTGTATATACCATATAAAATGTCTTAAATGCGGTAGTCTCAGCTATATAAGCTCAGTATTTCCAGTCTGTATTCTCAGATTCCATCTAGTAGCTTTAAATTAATTAAAATTGTTTATTAGACACTGGAATACTGAGAATAACTTCTTTCAGATTGTTTTGTTTGCACCACTTTTGTGAATATTTTAATGAAGTGGAGTCCATTTTTGAGTACTTCAGTTGTTGACAATCAGTTGTCTCGTTTAAATCTCTGCATGTTCATTTGTAAATAAAAAATGTAGTACCTGTCTTTAGGGGTAGTCCCCTATTTATTACAAACACTGGCAAGGAATATCTGTCCATTTCTGACCTTGGATTACAAAGTATGTTTTGGGTTTTTCCTTTTTTAATCAGTATTTCAGTTACATCTTTGTTTTCAGCTTTAAAAAGTTTAACGGGTCATGCCAATGATCAGAAAATCTGTAAGAATTTTAGAGCAATTTTTCTATGTACAGCTATGTTAAACAGTCTGAACATGAGACTTTTTCTTTCAAGTTGAAGATTATTGTCATCGTTTTACCACTAAGTTGGTTGAGACACTTACTTGTAATACTTTAATTTTTTTAAAGTGTTTTTAGAAACAAGTTGTTTGAAAACCAATTAGAAATTAGAATATTTGCCAGATTATAAGCAGATGGAATGCAGTGTAAAACTGTTAACAATGCTAATAAAATTATGAGTCATCAGATTGGTACAGTTTTCCCTGCCAAGATGGTCATATTGATAATGTAAGACAAATTTTAGTATTACTTGCATTATGTGTACCTAATAGGTATATCATACTGGTACTGAGCATATATAGAAAATACTATTCATAGAGGAGTCATCACCACCCAACCTCCTTGCCTGTGTAGGCATATTTCTTCTGAACCTGACCACACAAGTACAACATTTTGGTAACTTCAGTCTTTTCAGTATTTTTGTAATCTTAGCCATAGTCCTATGAGAAATGTACATAAGAGCAAACAATTCAGGATAGAAATTAGCAGAAAGCTGGGAATGATGTGAAATAACTGGCAGCATAGTACAGAAATGTAAGGTATATGTTTTGCTTCTGGATTTTTAGAAATTGTGCTAATCATGTTTACAAATTAAGGCATATTCAGATGTCTGCTATTATGTTTAATATTGATTTGATAAAAAAATGGAATTAGGTGTAGCTTAGAGTATAAATGAGTCTTTTTAAAAATGTGTATCTGGAAGTAGGGCTAATAAAGAAATCCTTTTATTTTCAAAGAAATGAACTTAATTGGACAACTCATCCCCAATTACAGAATTGATATCAATATGGTTTGCTGTATTTGAGTATAAACAGCTCAGTGTTAATTATATCAAAGGAAGTTCTTTACATCTTCATTGATTACAAAATTTACCAAAGAAAATGTATCTACCAAATATAATTTTTAAAGTACTTGTTAAGGAATGAGGCCTCTTTAACATATAAAGTATCTTAAAAATATTCTCTGACCTGGAAAATAGGTTTACAGTAGCTACAAGATTCCATTTTAGGTTTTCTTATGTCAATAAATGTCAATATTTTACACTTCCAGCAAAAGTACCCGTTAAAGCTAAATCTAAATATTATTCCTCATAGCACAGTTTCTGGTCTCCTTAAATTAAGGATCCTACTCATCAGGATTGAATAAAAAGGGGGAAATTCCTAAAATTGGTATATTGTATAATATTGTGGGTTAAGTAAAATTTAGGGGGGCATTATGGAAATGTACCTATTTTAAAGGGCAGTGGCAATTACTATAATATTGGTTAAACTGGTAAAGTTTGTTAAATAATTTATGTCCATGATCATTCTGAGTGTTTTTTTTCTTTGCAGAAAAACAGGATTGGGTTAAGAAAAGCTAAAATACTCATTTTTTTAAAATGTATAGCCCAATAAGAACTAAATGATTTATTTCAAAAGTTAAATAATTTTTTTTGGAAATCATGGAATGTATTTGCATATTGATGTTCCAAACAGGTTTTATGTATTGTTTTTTATAGCAGGGAGTAGTTGAAAAGTAATGAGTATATTGATTAGCTGTCTTGGAAAGAGAGGATTGGCTTTCTAACAATCACTGATACAGGTTTGGGTTTGGGGGGGTTTGTTTGTTTGTTTTTAAGTTTTATCATCCATACTGAATTGAGAGATATGCTCCATGTTTAAAAATATTTGTAATAAGTTCATCTACTTGACACTGAATCTTTTTTATTCTTACTCTAAAATTATTCTGGCTTTACATTCAGTTTAAGTGGTTAAGTGAAACAGTTTTTAGGGTGCAAAAATTATTTTCCCACTGTTTTTCTCATGATAATTTGAGTCTCCTGAGCTATAATTTCTGAAGGATTTTTACTACTTTGGCATTATGTAATCTGATCTCTGTCACAATGATATTAAATAAGAACTATCTCACTTTCATATGTTTGCTTCATAAAAGGATATGGAATGTACACATCAGCTCTTTTTTTTTTTTTAAACTAGCATCAACCTATAACTTGGTATAAACTTCCCAAGTATTTAGAGAATAGTGCTGGTGAAAATTTAAATAGGATAGGCATATAGAAATTATGACTTGTATTGAGTGATGTCCTTTCAACCTAGGACTAGTGACAACCTTCATTTTTTCAGAGCTGAAGAAAAAACCGTGAATTTAAGATCATATTTATTGGTGCATGTAAGCCATTATCCTGTCTTAATGAACCGATTAATGCTGTTGATTGTTGAAATGTGAAATGTAGTCACTGTTGACCTTGTAAATATCTGCCAGAGATGAAAAAATATTTTAAGTTATTGTAAATAAAGATGTATAAAATTCAGTATCAGTCTGCAATGCAGAAACATATCTTAGATGTTAAAATACTGTGTTTGAGAGATGTGTAATTTACCCTTAGATGTATCTAGTTACATTAAGAGTGTAAATTTTTTTGTACAGTATAAAAATACAGCTCTATTTGGCTTTTAACTGGATTTCCCTGAGTTGATTTTATCTTACGTAAATTTTATATCTTAAAAGGGTCTTTTCATATTTTTTCAAAGTGTACCATTTTTATTTTATATCTGAACCTTTATATCATACCCTATTACATTAAGGCAGTATAAAAATTATATTTAACACCACAAAATAAGAAACAAGACAAAGGCAGGTGTGAAATTAATACATAAAACGTGCCATATATTTCTGTAGTTAATTGCAGGGGTACAGATTTAGCACTGAACGTTAAAGCAGCCAAATGTAAAGACAGAAGTAAGATTAATTACATAATTTTCATATTCCTTAAGATTCAACAAGTTTCTCAGGTGAAGCACAACTATTTCTAATGTTAAAATATTTTCTTTCCTGGGTCCTTGTAAAGAGGAACCAATATTATTATAATACAGTTTACAATACAACTTATGAAGGTGCCTGTTTCTTCACACCCTTACCTGCAGTTAGTTCTCTCATCATTAAACTTTTTGGCCTTTCCCACATTGTCTTTCCTAAAGATACTTTAGCCTTCGCTTGGAACATGGGTTTAATCAAGGGTTAAGCCCTAGGCCCTTTTTCCTTTCCCTTTCTTTACATGCATTTTCTGGAAAAATCTCTTTTGTGCCTTTTTTCTTTATGACTGTTATTCCTTGCTGAGTCAAAGTTTTATCCTCCATTTTATTTTAGATTCAAGCAAAGTACATTATCTTTTTGATATTTATTATTCCTTAATCCAAAGATTGGCAGATCCAGAACCAAGACTGTGTTTTTCTCTTTGATTCTGGATCTGCATTAGTAAGGAAGGATGAGATTCACAAGCTGACAGTTCCAATTTTTTCCCTTTATTAGAAATGTAATAGTTGTTCATTTACAAAATACAGAAAAAGGGCCGGGTGTGGTGGCTCACGTCTATAATCCCAGCACTTTGGGAGGCCGAGGTGGGTGGATCACCTGAGGTCAGGAGTTTGAAATCAGCCTGGCCAACATGGTAAAACCCCATCTCTACTAAAAGTACAAAAATTAGCCGGGCATAGTGACAGGCACCTGTAATCACAGCTACTAGGAAGGCTGAGGCAGGAAAATCGCTTGAACCTGGGAGGTGGAGGTTGCAGTGAGCCGAGATCGTGCCATTGCACTCCAGCTTGGGGGACAAGAGCAAAACTCCATCTCAAAACAAACAAACAAAAAACAAAAGAAAATACAGAAGTACAACAGGAAAAGTAATATTTTCCTTTAAGGTATTGTAATATAATTGTGATATTAATAGAATAGTGGAGGCACTTTATATACACACACACACATACATACATACATACACACACACACATACACACTATCCCCACACATACAACTCTTGTCCAGGTAAGTCACAGTATTTTATGGTACAAAGATTCTTCCCATGTAAATTAAACAATAACTAACATTATTGGGTGCTTAGGATGTGCCAGGCACTATTCTAAACACTTTAAAGAAAATGCAGTCATTCATTTAATACTCAGTACAACAGCATTAGATAAGTACTATTCTTCTTTTATGAGAAAAGTAAAGTACAGCTGTCCAAAGTCACAGAGCTAGTAAGTGGAAGAGCTAACATTGAACATAGACACTCAGGCGAATGCACTTGTGAACTTAAACATCGTAATATACTGCATAATTGCATTGATTGTTCTCAACTATTAGTACACTTGCCAAGCACCTACCCCAGAAAGCCAGTCCCCCTGTGAAGGACGGGAAGAAAGGGAGGGGTTGGATCTCAACAGAGCTAGATTGCTAATAGGCAAACTAAATCCATGAAAGAATCAAGCCCTAACATCCTAAGTATCCACAGTTATAAGTTAACTTCTCTCCTATGTAATATACAGTGGTTCTTGTGTACCATCCTGAGGGAAAATGAGAAAATAGTCTTTTTGTGGTTCACGTAAGGAAGCTCAGTTGAGAAAAGCTATTTTACAGCATAATAAAGCAGAAGAGACTGCCAAAATATAAAACTTAAAATTATATGACAGTTCTTCCTATGACCCTTCCCATCCACACAAAAAAGCTGCTGGGTAGCATGGGAGGAAAGCAGAACTTTGTTGGGCTGATGACTATGTTATGATTTAATGTTAAATTTTTAAGTACCTGAGAGAGGGCAGACGTATAGTCTTTCGTGTTTAGGATATGTAAAGGTCTTTATCTGGCCCGGGGTGATAATCCAAATGGGATAGATATAATCTGTGATAATAGGCCGGGCACAGTGGCTCATGCCTGTAATCCCAGCACTTTGGGAGGCCAAGGTGAGTGGATCGTCTGAAGTCAGGAGTTCGAGACCAGCCTGGCCAACATGGTGAAACCCTGTCTATACTAAAATTAGCTGGGTGTGGTAGCGCACCCTTGTGATCCTAGCTATCCTGAGGCATGAGAATCGCTCAAACCTGGGAGGCGGAGGTTGCAGTGAGCCAATATCGCACCATTGCACTCTAGCCTGGGCGACGGAGTGAGACCCTCTCTCAAAAAAAAAACCAAAAAAAAAAAAAAACAGAAACAATGCTAATAGTCTCAAAACAAAACACTCATATTCAATAGGCTTTTTATTTTATTCTCTCCAATATTCAGTAGGCAATTCCCCAAACATAGGCTTTCTTCACTTCCTCCAAGTAAAATTACAGAATGTTAAGAAATCTATATATATTTCCTTTATTCACAAATGTTACACTGACTTTATACACACTGTAAAACGCAGAATTTTGTTTGTTTGTTTGCTGTTTTTTTTGAGACGGTGTCGCCCAGGCTGGAGTGCAGTAGCATGATCTCAGCTTACTGCAAGCTCCGCCTCCCGGGTTCATGCCATTCTCCTGCCTCAGCCTCCCGAGTAGCTGGGACTACAGGCGCCCACCATGATGCCCGACTAATTTTTTTTTTTCTGTTTTTTAGTTGAGACGGGGTTTCACCGTGTTAGCCAGGATGGTCTCCATCTCCTGACCTCGTGATCCGCCCGCCTCGGCCTCCCAAAGTGCTGGGATTACAGGCGTGAGCCACCACGCCTGGCCAACTCAGAATTGTTTTCAAAAACTAATTCCCATTATTGTAATTACTCTGTGTACGTTTTTTTGTTGTTGTTGTTGTTGTTTTTTTTTTTTTTTTTGATATGGAATTTCGCTCTTATTGTCCAGGCTGGAGTGCAATGGTGTGGTCTTGGCTCACTGCAACCTCTGCCTCCTGGGTTCAAGCAATTCTCCTGCCTCAGCCTCCCAAGTAGCTGGGATTACAGGCGCCCGCCAACATGCCCAGCTAATTTTTATATTTTTAGTAGAGACGGGGTTT
Source organism: Homo sapiens (assembly GCF_000001405.40). Classification (NCBI taxonomy): domain Eukaryota; kingdom Metazoa; phylum Chordata; class Mammalia; order Primates; family Hominidae; genus Homo; species Homo sapiens. The sequence goes on along the minus strand of NC_000002.12, from coordinate 200,970,416 downwards.
CACCATGTTGACCAGGCTGGTCTCAAACTCCTGACCTCAGGTGATCCACCCACCTCGGCCTCCCAAAGTGCTGGGATTACAGGCTTGAGCCACCACACCCAGCCCTCTGTGTACATTTTTAAGGATTACTGTGTCAAATCTTTCACTACTTATTTGATGATGTCATCTCGTGTCCTCACTGACTGCTTTACCATCCCTGGTACAAAAAAAATTATCTTGGAGGTTTTGGCTGCCATATTCTCTTTTATTACTAGATACTCAGATATAATCACTTTTCCTGAGCATGACAAATCAATTTGACATATAAAAAAATTTCAGGGTAGAAGTTATTTGCTGAGGCATCTGCCACTGACATTCTAGATCTATTGAAACTTTATCAAGTGTGTGTTTAACATACATGATCTAGGCCACTGCGTATCTCACAAAAAATTTTATTGCCAATTTTTAATTGTCTCTAGCTCACTGGTTCTCAGCCCTAGCTTCACATTAAAATCATCTGGCCAACTGGGCACAGTGTCTCACGCCCGTAATTCCTGCACTTTGGGAGGCCGAGGTGGGTGGATCACCTGAGGTCAGGAGTTTAAGACCAGCCTGGTCAACATGGTGAAACCCTGTCTCTATTAAAAATAAAAAAGAATTAGCCGGTTGTGGCGGTGGGCGCCTGTAGTCCCAGCTACTCTGGAGGCTGAGGCAAGAGAGTCACTTGAACCCAGGAGGCGGAGGCTGCAGTGAGCCGAGATCGTGCCACTGCACTCCAGCCTGGGCAGCAGAGTGAAACTCTGTCTCAAAAAAAAAAAAAAAAATCATCTGGGTAATTTTTTAAAACAATTCTGATGACCAGGCCCCATGCAGACTCTCTGGGAGTAGGATCTGGCGTCACATAGTTCTCAAAGATCCCCAGCTAATTCTCATGTGCAATCAGGATTGAAAATTCTCTTTAATGCTATACCAATCTTTGGCATAGGTAAGCTTTCTCTCTTCTGTCCAGAACCTGACTCAATAATAAATTTTTCCTAGAGAAACACCTAGTATAGTAACTGACAATACAAGAAAGAAGTATCATTAACCCATTCCATAAATATACCTCCACCCCAAAGAATAGACCCATCCATATTAATGCTTTAGTCTGCCTTCTCTATTCCCTAACTCAGGCCACTGAACACTGTAGGTGTTAATACATTTTCAATGGACCCTTGTACTTCTTGGCCTGTCCCCTTTCTCATTCCCTTTAGTTTCTATTCCGCAGCTTCAGCACATAAAGTATCACTTTCTCAGCAGCCTCAACTCTTTTTCTATGAAATGGAGGCCATCATGCTAGAATAAATATGCTTAATTTCCTGTTTCCCACCACCACTTCAAAGTTCTGAACTCTATCTGTAACTATCCTTATCCCCTTGCTGCCTGTCTCAAATGAGAGGTATCTCACATTATTTCTTATTTTTCTCACACTCCCTGCACAGTTCTCATTTTCGCCACTTGGCTTAAATCTATAAACGGATGACCCTAGATCTGTATCTCTAGGCCTAGACCTCTTGAATGTTAGACTTTTAAATCCAACTGGCTGCTGGATAGCTGGATATCTCTCAGGCACTTCAAAGTTAAGATGCTTTAAACTAAACTCATCTACCTTTTTCCTCTATCAGTAATCTCTCTCTCACATCACACCAATAAACTAATCCAGGCAACCAAGCCAGAAACCTGAGAATTATATCTCCTCTCTCCCTCACCTCTATTATCCAGTCTCCAAATCCTGCTGACTGCCCCCTTTTTTTTTTAATTAATCCTTCCCATCTTTACTACTACAGCACAAACTCATATCCTCTTCATATCGACTGCTTCAATAGCCTCCTAACTAGACTCCTTGCCCTTAAATTTATCCTCCTTAGTGATGGATATTAAATGCTTATCAGTGCCCTGGTTAAAATTATCCAGTGGTTCCAATATAGGGGATAAATTCCATGTTATTTAGCCTGCATACAAGGCCCTGTGGCCTACTTCTACTCCATCTCCTATCATTCTTAAGTAACAACAAAGTGCTTTGTACTACCATACTCATTTGCACAATCACACCCTTTGTCCTTTGTACTGCCACACCCAGTTTGTACTTTCTTCCTGAAATCTCTTCTCCAGTACTTTCTCTTTTGCTTAAGTCTACTTGTCTTTTGAAATTGGATTGGCCGTTCCTCTGCTATCCCCCAACCCAACCCCTAGATTAAGCTAAATGGCAGTTGTCCTTGTAGTTCTCAGTACACCTTTTTGAATTTTTGTGTTTTTTTTGGTACAGATGGGGGTCTCCCTATGTGCTCAGAGTGACCTCAAACTCCTGGGCTCCAGTGCTCCTCTCGCCTCAGCCTCCCAAGCTGTTGGGACTACAGGTGTCAGCCACTGGGCCCAGCCTACACCCTTTTGTGTTGAAATTATCTGATTCTTTCTACCGAACTAAATTCTAAATTCCTTAAGGGTAAGGGCCATACCTGGGCATTATGCCCCTGGTTGAGGTAGGGGCTCAAAAATTTTATTAAATAAACTGTTCAAAGACCCAGGGAGAAAATGGATTTTTTTCAAGGAGCAATAGCATCAATATGAAGCTTTTCACGATACTGGCAAAGACAAAAGTTAACTGAGTTTCCCAAACTTAGGAACCAATATAAATGTATCTTAACTTGTTCATAAGACCTACTTAGTTCTGGTTGCTTAATCTAGATCTCTCACAGATATCTATACAGCTATTTAGATTATATTTCAATTTGGAAGATATGAACTGAGATCATATTCTTGAATTTGATCAAGTAAAATATGGTTTCGGTAAAAAACCTTGTTTGAATATAAAAAAATTTAAAAAAAGATTTAATTTTTTAACTCAGTCATCTCCTTGAAGAAGAAATTTATAAAGATTCTGATTTTCTTCAGTGTGCTGACAGATGAGATCACAGGTGAAGAAAAATATAAGCTGCTATCATCTTGATTCTGCAGTCTATTTAAAAATTAATTAAAACTTTAAGAATTTTCTCCTTAAAGAATCTAAATTTGATGACTCACATTCCTTTTTACATTCCTTTTTTAATAGATATAAAATGTCAAGAGTTTATTACAGTTTTGAGTAAATTTTTCTCTGGGTTCTACATAGTATGTTTGCTCCTGCTTTATTTTTTTTCTTTTTCAGAGCTGAGGCTTTATTCCAAAGTTTGGTAATGCTAAAATTGATCAGAAGCTCAGCGTGCAGGGACTAGCTTATCAGCTAGTAGGTGTCAGCGTAGGTCTATATTAATAAACTGGCTTTTTCAATTGGGGCCTCCTCTCTTTTCTGATTAGCTTGCCTGAAAAAGTCTTTAAATTTAATGCCCAGGGGATATATGACTCATTGCCAGCGTTCTGGGAGCCAAGTAAGACGAGGTCCTGAGCTTATCCTCCCCATTTCAGTATGACCTCATTTCTACTCTCAGTTGTGCCTAGTGGTAGAGTCTAGATCCTCTCGGTTCACCTTATAATCTCCTGGTCCTCCACAAAGTATGACAGGAGATCTAGCATCTAATTGTTTCAAGACTCCCAACCAATCTTCAGTCTCAGCTTCATACTCCATTTTTTTTTCCAACCAATCCTCCAGTCTCAGCTTCATGCTTTTTTTCTTTTTCTTTCTTTTTTTGAGACAGAGTTTCGCTATAGTTGCCCAGGCTGTAGTGCAATGGCATGATCTCGGCTCACCGCAGACACCGCCTCCCGGGTTTAAGCAATTCTCCTGCCTCGGCCTCCCAAGTAGCTCAGGTTACAGGCATGCACCACCAAGCCCAGCTAATTTTGTATTCTTAGTAGAAACGGAGTTTCACCATGTTGGTCAGGCTGGTCTTGCACTCCTGACCTCAAGTGATCCACCTGCCTCGGCCTCCCAAAGTGCTGGGATTATAGGCATGAGCCACCGCACCAGACCCATGCTGCTTTTAACGTATTCCTGAGACTACCACCTGGAGTTCTGTGAAAGGAATAGGCTTCTTACTGGCTTCCCCCTTTCAGGCCTGGATTCCAGCTAACCAACTTATGTTAACCTGTTTTTCTATTCTGTTAATTTTATGTTTACTAACTTCAATAAAAAATTCTGATTATTATTTTACTGGTATTTAAAAAGTCTTCAATTCACCCTGTTTCATAGATTAGATTTTTAAAAGCCAGTCCCTAAATTTCAAACTATTACCCAATTAGCTGCTTGTGCCTCTACTCTTATAGTATTGAGCTTCTATTTCCCCCTTTGGAACAGTCTACTTGCCCTGCGCAAAATTTCCGTGAATACATGGGGAGTTGCCATTTTATGGTCCCCTCTGACTTCAGCTTCCTGCTGCTCCTAAATCCTGTGTCTCCATTCTGAAGGTATGGCTCTTTGTTTTTATCTTAGTGTCAACCTAAAAGCAAAACTCAGCTCCTTCCCTCTATTTTCCACACATATACCATAAAAACTACATCCAAACCCACCACTCACACCAAGGCCTCTGTGGTCTGTAGAAGCCTTTTTTCAAGATGTGAGAAGGAGAGGAATGAAGGGGAGTTTACTGACATCATAGAAATATAAAAAAACAGCCAGGTGCAGTGGCTCACACCTGTAATCCCAACACTTTTGGAGGCCGAGATGAGTGGATCACTTGAGCTCTGGAGTTGGAGACCAGCCAGAGCAATATGGTGAAACCCCCACTCTACAAAAAATACAAAAATTAGCCGGGTATGGTGGTGTGCGCCTGCAGTCACAGCTACTCAGGAAGCTGAGGTGGGAGGTTTGGTTGAGAGCAGATAGTCGAGGCTGCAGTGAACAGTAATGTTGCCACTGCACTCCAGCCTGGGCGGCAGAGGGAGACTGCATCTCAAAAAAAAAAAATTATATATATAAAAAACACACATAAGTTGAACATATCTATTCAACATTCCTAGATCTTCATCTTTTTTTCAAATTTCTTTTCTTTTTTAAGAAATGGGGTCTCGATGTGTTGCCCAGGCTGGAGTGCAGTGGCTATTCACAAGTGAGATCACTGCTCACTGCATCCTGGAACTCTGGGATGCAAACAATCTTCCTTTTCTCAGCCTCACAAGTAGCTGGGATTACAGGTGTGTGTGCTGGGCTAGTCATCTTCACATTTTTAAACACTCTTCAAACACATCATTGTTAACTGTTGAGCTATGTTCTCTTTATCTTCTGTCTCTAGTCACTCCCCAAATTCTTATTTATAATGCACAAAAAATTGCCTTTCTCTTCCATTTTCTTAACTCCACCTAGCCAAAATGGAATAATGAGGTATCAAGGCTATGATCATTTCTTTCTCAACTGGATTTCCTAAACAGCTCCCAAATCTTGTGACTCTATATCTTCCCTCCCAATCCTACCTCCTTTATCCAAAGATCTTTCAATACAAATCTGACCAGTGCCCTAAGGGCCAACTAAGCCCTTCATAATAACAGACCCAATGCTTGGCATTTTACACAGCTGTTACACGGATTTGGACCTTCTACCTGGAAAATTTTACCCCTCTTGGCCTGTTTTAAATCTATTCAACACAGGGGTTTCAGTTTAAACATCTCTTCCTCCTAGAAAATTGTTCCTGACTCCTTCTGGGCTTTTAATTAGCTACTCCTACCATGTGCTCCAATGCACTTCCCATATCATGGTATTTTTCTCAATATTGTCCGTTCAATATCTTCACGTGCTAGGTAACTACAGTGAATGCAGAGATCGTAGTTGTCTCGCTCGATAATGAATACTTATCTTCTGTTCGCAGAGTACTCTGTAGTTTTGTTTTGAGTAAGTGAATCCAAATGAAACAATACCCTGTTCTTAATACTGTATGGATCCCATCCAGGTTCATTCCTTTTCTTCCTCATTTTCTCTGTCTTGTCTTTTTTATATTTTGGATAGTTGAAGTCAATCATTTTCTCTGTCTATTCATTCTATTTCCCCAGCCTCTTCATCCCACTAGCCGTCCGATCCCATCTCCATATTCAGTGCTTCTCCTAACGTCTCTTCTTCTCCCTACCCCAAACCCTGGAGATGTACAAGATCCTACCTTTCACGCCAAATGAAGAAAATCTTTAAAAAAGAAATGCGAATCAATTTCCATTACCTTTTTCTTCAAAAGGTAGCTGGGAAACCAATGAACACTTTTTTTTTTTTTTTTTTTTTTTTTTGAGACGGAGTTTCGCTCTTGTTGCCCAGGCTGGAATGCAATGGCTCGATCTCGGCTCACTGCAACGTCCGCCTCCCGGGTTCAAGCGTTTCTCCTGCCTCAGCCTCCCGAGTAGCTAGTATTACAGGCATGCGCCACCACGCCCGGCTAATTTTGTATTTTTAGGAGAGACGGGGTTTCTCCATGTCGGTCAGACTGGTCTCGAGCTCCCGACCTCAGGTGATTCGCCCGCCTCGGCCTCCCAAGGTGCTGGGATTAGAGGCGTGAGACACTGCGCCCGACCCCAAAGAACACTTTTTAAAGATTGCTACAAGACAAACAGCTACCACTCAGCCAGCTACTGTGCAAACTTCCTCAGATCCAAACAACACTTCCTTTTCCCTTCCCCGGAAACGGAAAGAAGAAAGGAAAGGTAAGGCCCACAACTCAGGGCCCAAGAATCCGTTTTCCTCAGGTTTCCTGATGGGCGGGGCCGAATGGCCGGCGCCGACTGGACGGCAGAGCCGTCGCTCTTGGCCGACTCCTCTTCCTATTGGCTTCCTCGGGCACCGCCCCCTGAACAGGGCGGGAGATTCGGTGTGCCGCACGCAGGCTTCCCATCCCCCAGCTGGCCTCCGGTGCTCCTTACCTCCCCGGTGGTCGGGCGCGAATTACTGGAAATTGGCTTTTCCCGTTGGGGCCGAAGGTACCTTCCCTGCGGCGGCGACTCAGCGGGGTGTCGTTCGGCCGGCGTGACGCAGCCGGATCGGCGCCAGACGGAAACCTAGCGGTGAGTAGTGGGGTGTCGGGGCAGCCTGCCTCCCTTTTCTGCTTAGCTCGCGGCGTGTGAGGTGCGTCCAGGTGCACCCAGCCCCGCGTCGGAGCTTGGCCCCTAGCGTCCCAAGTCGCGCATCTCAGGACTTTCCCTCGGCACTTGGGGCATGGTCTTTGCGCCTCGCTGCCCCCCGCAGGCTGCCCGGGGGCTCGAGAACCCTTACTGGTGGAGCGCAGCCAACTGGCCAGAGGCTGGAGGCGCAGGCCAAAGTCCTTTAAGACTTGAGGTGAGAGGCTCACTCTGGGAGGACCTTTCGTTAGTCTGCCCCGCAGTTATAGGCCTTTTGTGCAAGGGACGCCTGATACTAACCTACCTGATTCCCAGCTTACGAAGCCCTCTGGTTGGAAAAGGAGAACTGTGAAGATGTGTAACGACAGTGGTAAAGTGCCCTGTGAGGTATGAAGAGGAAGAGATCGCGTCCCAGAACCACTGTAGCTAGAACCTTTGATGTCATCCCAGCCTGGAGGCACCAATGTGTCCTGCCAGCTAACTGATCGGTCACCTTGGAGCCATGCTTGGCTGTAAAATGTTGATAAGCCAGGCTCTTTTGGTAGAGCTTTTTAATTAAAAAGATGTTGAGACGTTACTTTTCATTTTACAATTGAAATCCTAATAGAATCATTACACTTTCCCGCAGTTAAATTGCAATCTGAAGAAAAATAGCACGGCCCTACACCGTTATATAAGGGCACTGCACGTTAAACGGACATCATCACTTATTGAGCAGTTTTTCTGTTAGATGTTGAATGAGTTAGAGATGTACAAGAGATCTGCATGGTTAAGTTGAAGTTTAAAGTAAAAATATCTCAGTGCACTGCAGTAAGGAGCTAAAAAAGAAAAAGGTTAAAGTAAAAATACCGATAATTGGGAGCATTCAGTGATGCTCTTTTATATATCAGGCACATCATTTCATTTAATCGTCAGGACTTTGGACAAAGTCACACAGTTATAAAGTATGGAGTGGAGATTGGAACTCAGGTTTCTCCAATATTAAAATTGGTGTTTAACCACTAATCTATCCAACCTTCTTTTTCAAAGGATTATGTTTTTAAAAATTACAGCAAATCTTTTATTTGTTTTCAAAGGAGAGTGTGTTGCTACCACTTGGTGCAATGCTAACACTTGGTGCTGCAGAATTGCCTTGAAGTAACTCCTTGAAAGGGGTTGGCCTATAAGCACCAAGGCAGTGCCTTGAGGGGTCATAATGGTCACTAAATATTGCATTTTATTGTGTGATTGTTAGGTTTTTTTGTTCGTTTGTTTTTCAGGAACTGTTGGAAAGCAAAGAAGGAAACGTTTCTCATGAGGTCTTTGTAGACATTTTCTTTAATTTGGTGATTTTGTACTATTTAATAAGATGCTCCAAAATTAGAAAAGGAAATGTTTGTATAAATGCACTTGGCTACAAACAAGTCTCAGGCTGCCTCTCTCCAGGCAATTCTTGTGTAGAATACCATAGGGAAATTGCCTAGGACAATACTCAGTTGCCTAGAATATTTGTTTTTAAATTTTCCTAGAAAATCTTGTCCCCACATCCCCAAGAACAACTAAACTTTTGCCAATAAGAATTACGTAACCGACCTTTACTTGCTTTTTGCTTTGATTGCCAGGAAGCTCAGAGCCAAAAATTCATTGTGTGATTTTATTTTCTGCTTTCCTTTATATTTTTTCTGATGCAGACTCCCTATTAGCATTTATAAATTATAATTTGTTTTATTGCATTTGCTCATTGTCACTGCTTCAAATCCTTTGTAGTACACAGCAGTGTATAATTAAGTAAAATAATGTAGATTATGCTGACTCTGGCCATGCTCTTTGAAGTATGCTTGATAGAACTAGTGATGTTTCACCCAATGAACTGGAAAGTTAGAGAAACTTTCCAGTTTGGACATTCTATAGTTACCTGCTATAGAATACCCTAACCCTAATTGACATGTAGAGAAATAATTAGACCTATTATGAATGGTTTTCAGAGGTCAAAACAAGCATTTAGCGTCCAGCACAGTGGTTCACACCTGCAGTCCCAGCACTTGGGGAGGCTGAGGTGGGCAGATTGCTTGAGCTCAGGCCAGCCTGGGCAACATGGGGAAACCCCGTCTCTACAAAAAAATACAAAAATTAGCAAGGCTTGGCATTGCACGCCTGTAGTCCCACCTGTTCAGGAGGCTGAGGTGAGATGTTGCAGTGAGCTGAGATCGCACCACTGCACTCCAGCCTGGGTGACAGAGCTGAATGACCCTGTTTCAAAAAACAAACCCCACAAAAACAAAAAACCCAAAACAACAAAAAAACCAAGCATTTATGATAACATTTTTATTTGATGGCAGGAGAGGTATGTGGTGTAATAGAGTGGTCAGGAAGTTAGGAATCTGCCAGGTGCAGTGGCTTACACCTGTAATCCCAACACTTTGGGAGGCTGAGGTGGGCCAATCACGAGTTCAAGAGATCGACACCATCCTGGCCGACATGGTGAAACCCCATCTCTACTAAAAATGCAAAAATTAGCTGGGTGTGGTGGTGCACACCTGTAGTCCCAGCTACTCGGGAGGCTGAGGCAGGAGGATCTCTTGAACCCAGGAGGCGGAGGTTGCAGTGAGCTGAAACTGAGCCTCTGCACTCCAGCCTGGGACACAGCCAGACTCCATCTTAGAAAAAAAAAAGAAGAAGTTAGGATCAGTCCGAAGTGAATTTCAACCCTAATAGATTTATAATTGTGTGTATTTGCATTAATAATTCAATGAGTTATTAATATTTAATGAGTTGACCTCAGTTTACTCATTTGTAAGTTGGGGACATTATATATATAAAGAGAGAGATGCAAAATACCTAAGTCAGAGAATCTGAGGATTTAATGAGCTGGTGTACATAAATGTGCCTAATACAGTGCCTCACAAACAGCCCCTTAAAAAACCTGTTGCTTTATTTTATACAAATATTACATAAATGGGTTAAACTTTTTCTCTAATACACCCAGTTTCCCCATAATAGGAAACAGTATTATGACTAGAAAAATGGCCCAAGAGGACATGTTTTACAAGCAATGGTCATAAGTTATAGATGAAGTATTTATTATCTTTATTTTTTATTTTTATTTTTAAAATTTTTCCTTCATATCACAGCCAAGTCCACAATTTTTTGTTGTCGTTGTTGTTTAAAAAAATTTTTTTGACCTGGTGTGGTGGCTCACTCCTGTAATCCCAGCAGTTTGGGAGGTAGAGGTGGGTAGATCGCTTGAGCCCAAAGGTTTGAGACAAGCCTAGGCAACATGGTGAAACCTCATTTCTACAAAAAATACAAAAGTTAGCTGGACGTGGTGGCAGAAGCTAGTAGTCCCAGCTGTATGGGAGGCTGAGGTGGGCAGATCACCTGAGCCCAGGAGGTTGGAGCTGTGGTGAGCCAAGATCATACCACTGCTCTAGGTGACAGAGCCCAGACCCTGTCTCAAAAAAAAAGAAAAAAAAATTAGAGACAGAGTCTCACTCTGTTGCCCAATCCGAGTAGACTATAGGCACATGCCACTACGCCCAGCTAATTTTTTTTTTTTTTGGTAGAGGCAGGCCTTACTGTTGCCAGGCTTGTCTTCAACTCCTGGCCTCAAGGGATCCCCCTGCCTCAGCCTCCCAAAGCACTGAGATTATAGGCATGAGCCACTGCACCCAGCCCACTATTTATTATCTTTATACACAAAGTATGAACCTCATAGAGTTGTGCAGATTAAATGAGAATACATATGGAGTACTCAAAACTGTCTAGCACAATGTAAGTGCTCAAATTTTGTCCTCCTCTCTTCCCACTCCATCCAGATGTTCTCAGTATCTAGGGCTTCCTAGCCAAATCAGTAATGGTCTTTTTGTCCTTTACTATACCATTACAACAGCTTTGGCTTTGTAAGGTCTACATGTATCTATTCATCATGCTTGTTAAAACTTGTGGAACTTGTTTTTGCCCCATTGCTTTCATTTTTCTGCTAGCTGACCCTGACTGAGTTATTTTTCCAATTACAGGTGACTGTATCTGAATTTTGCAGCTGCAGAATGTGTAGTACCTTAAAAGGTAAATGAAAACTGAAAGAAGTCATTTAAGCATGTTGCTTGTCAAAATAAAACTTGGTAACATTGAATTAGTTTTCTTCCTGCAGTTAATGAACTCAGAAGAGATAAATGACTGTGGTGGTGGCCCATGCCTGTAAATCCCAGAGGTTTGGGAGGGTGAGGTGGGAAAATTGCTTAATTCCAGGAGCTCAGAACCAGCCTGGGCAACATAGTGAGGCTCCATCTCTACAAAAAAAGGAAAACCTGCCAAGCATGGTGGCATGTGCCTGTAATCCCAACTACTTCAGAGGTTGAGATGGGAGGATTGCTTGAGCCCAGGTGGTTGAGGCTGCAGCAACACAGTGAGACCCTGTCTCAATAAAAAAAGAAAGAAAAGAGAGACACAGTCAATAGTTTCTCCTGCCAAAAGAAAAGGTGAAAACAAGATTGTAAGAAAGAGAGAAGAGAAAAGAAATCACCAAGAACACTGAATCTTAGTTTACATTTTTTGGGTAAACTGATTAGCTGGCAGCAGTTAAAATCATCATTAGTTATTTTCAGGCCAGTAGCATAGTAAGTTCTGAAAGTTCATTTTGTGAGACTAGCCAGAGTTGATCAAACTTTTGCTTGCCAAACTCTGGAGGTTTGTTCAGTGAGGAACTGAGTGTAAAGTGTTCGAAAGATTTGTGTTTACTGTTTAGTTACCAAGATATCTAGAAAGCCATATTCATATTTGTAAAGTTGTTTGGTAAGCATTCCATAAAAGTAAAGGGAGGTGCTTGAGGGTTTTTTGATCCAGGCTTAGGACACAAGTGAAGTTTAACAGACTCCCCACAATTGACTGTAGCTTTCTAGTGAACAGATAATAAAATCCATTAAAGCATTATTCTTTGTTTGGCTGTCACTTTTCTAAACACTCATGTATTAACCACCCCCTTTCTGTTAATGTGCTTATCTGGATTGGTTAGAGCTTTCATTAAAACTTAAAATTGTTTTTCTGAGAATATTTTATTTTATTTTTCTGAGTATATTTTAGCTACCTTGATTGGATTTAGCTCTTCTCAAATCTCAGAATCTCTTTGCCTCCCCAATTTTTTAGATAAAGAATTGAGTTACCTACAGTTGAATATGTAGTAATACAGTAATGCATAATGTATTTTTTATACTTAAAAAGACTTTAAAAATATTAGATAAAGACATGTATTCATTATGTGAATGTTTAATTTGGTGGTTGATATGAATTCTTCATCACTTTTGAGTAACTTACTGTTTTTGTTTAGGTTGGCAACAATGAGTAAACCAGAATTAAAGGAAGACAAGATGCTGGAGGTTCACTTTGTGGGAGATGATGATGTTCTTAATCACATTCTAGATAGAGAAGGAGGTATTAAGTGATTGTACAATTTGAAGAGATGCTTATTATAATGTTTATGGATTATTTCACTTTTAAAACTTTTAACATTTTCTTTTGAAAATATAGCGCAAAGGATTGATCTGGTTAGTAAAACTAAATAAAAACTGCTTTAATTTTTAGTTTAATTCTTTCAAACTTTAATTGAAAATGTTCAGTAAAGCCTAATATAAAACAAAATGCCCAGGAGTGGTAGTCACTAATAACTACCCATTGTAATTTAAAATATGTGGTTATTTTGAACCCTAAAAATATATACTTTCAAGATTGTGTGTGTTTTTTTTTTTAACTATATAAACTGTGGAAGAGTGGTCAGAGTGGTCAGTTTTAATCAAAGAGAAAGCTTTTTTCCCAGCTTTTAAGTAATGACAATATAAATATTATAATTTCTTATTTAAATGTAATGTTTAGAAAGAATTTATACCTGTCATGCTCTATTTCTTTGGATGTTCTTATAGGAGCTAAATTGAAGAAGGAGCGAGCGCAGCTTTTGGTCAACCCCAAAAAAATAATAAAGAAGCCAGAATATGATTTGGAGGAAGATGACCAGGAGGTCTTAAAAGATCAGAACTATGTGGAAATTATGGGAAGAGATGTTCAAGGTATTTGAGGGGGTGAAATATACACTCGTTTCTGCTAGTAGCAGAAATTGCTTTATAGGATACACAAAAGTAGTCTGGTAGGTTAAACAGTGGTGTTCTATATGATCATGTTTCTCATCTAAAAAGCATTTGCTTCAATTTCTCCATAGTTCTTTTTTTTAACAACCAGTCCTGCACATAGTTTTCAGTAAGAAGGAATCTATAGACCAACCACTCTAAAGTTATTTTATTTTTAAAATTTTTCCAGGATACATGTGTACAATGTGCAGGCTTGTTACATAGGTATACATGTGCCATGGTGGTTTGCTGCACCTTTCAACCCATCATCTAGGTTTTAAGCCCCACATGCATTAGCTGTCTGTCCTTATGCTCTCCCTCCCTCCACCCACCCGCAGGCTGTGGCATATGTTGTTCCCCTCCCTGTGTCCATGTGTTCTCATTTTTCAACTCCCACCTATGAGTGAGAATATGCAGTGTGTGGTTTTCTGTTCCTGTGTTAGTTTGCTGAGGATGATGACTTCTAGCTTCATACATGTCCCTGCAAAGGACATGATCTCATTCCTTTTATGGCTGCATAGTACTCCTAAAGTTATTTTCAAGATTATTTATTTATTTATTTATTTATTTTAGAGACAGGGTCTTGCTCAGTCACCCAGATTGGGATGCCATGGCACAATCATAGCTCATTGTAGCCTCCAACTTCTGGGTTCAGGAGATCCTCCCAACTTAGCCACCTGAGTAGCTAGTACTATTTTTAAGGTATTTATTTATGGCCAGACATGGTGGCTCACGCCTGTGATCCCAGTACATTGGGAGACTGAGGCAGGAGGACTGCTTGAGCCCAGGAGTTTGTAACCATCCTAGGCAACATAGTAAGATCCCGTTTCTACAAAAAAAAAAAGTTTTTAATTAGCTGGAAGCTGGGTGTGTGATGGCTCATGCCTGTAATCTCAGCATATTGGGAGACCAAAGCAGATTGATCGCTTGAGTCCAGGAGTTTGAGACTAGCCTGGCATGGTGGCACACACCTGTGGTCCCAGCTATGAGTGAGGCTGAGGTGGGAGGATCACTTGAGCCTGGGAGGTTGAGGCAGCAGTGAGCCGTGATCATACCACTACACTCCAGCCTGGGCAACAGAGTGAGACCCTGTCTCAAAAAAAAAATAAAACTAGCTGAGCATGGTGGCGTGTGCCTGTAGTCCTAGTTACTTGGGAGGCTAACGCAGAGGATTGCTTGAGCCCAGGAGGTTGAGGCTACAGTGAGCTGTGATTGCATCACTATACTCAGCCTGGGTGACAAAGCGAGACCCTAGGTCAAAACAGAACAAAAAAAAGATATTTATATTTTTAACTTATTTAAAATACCTTTCTAAAGCAAGTTACTTTATTCTTACCTTGATCTTTACAGAACTAGGAGGAGCATTTCAAGAAGTAGTGTTCTAACCCAGGGATGCTGGTATTATGTGTGTGGTTTTAATTTTTACATCTAAGCCAGATTCCTGCAAGATTATTCTTAACATAAAACATTTTTTTAGGTTCGAATTATATTTTAGTTAGGTTTTTCCTGGGTACAAGGAACACAGATCCCCACAACCTAGCTTAAAAAAATAATGACAAAGGAAAGAAATCAATATTGTTGGGTACTAGGAGAGTTGGAACTGGGACAGTGTTAAAAACTGAGGAACTGTGCTTTCATGAGTCTCCAGGTCTCCCTGTGTCATCTCTGTGCATCTGTTCTGATTTCTCTATGCCACATATTTTCTTCATGTACATGTGTTTTATTCTCACATACTTATAAATGTCCATCAAGTTCCCAGTGTTAAGTGATTTGGTTTTTCAGTTCTCCCATTCTAGATTCTCAAGAGTCAATTTAGCTCAATTCATTTTTAAAATCTGGACATAGAAATAGCATATAATTGGAATATCCACAGATGAATCACAGTTGAGTTATCTGTGCCTATTACTTATTATATTAATGAACATAATTACATAGTTCATTAACTATGGGGGTAGAGTCATATACTCCATGTATAGAGTTATACAAAAAATGACCACTGCTCCTCAATAGATTTAGTGGGCTGGGTAGGGTCTCCTATGTGTCCACAGCTAGACAGTTGACATTTTTTGAGCATATTCTAAATAAAACTTGGTGTTCTTGACTCCCTATTATGCCAGGCCTAAGAAGAGATTGATAACAGTATTCCACAAAGGAAACTTTTATCATAAAAATTGTCTCTTAAAAAAGTAGTATGTTTGTTGTAGAAATTCAGTGCTTCCAACCTTTCTCACATAACAGCACTCACAGCAAATGATATTTGGAGGCACAATGGAATAAATAGAAGAGGATGCTGCAGACCAAGGACAAATACCCCAGGGCCCTAACCCTACCCCTGCTACTGGCCTTGATTGGCATCCTCAAAGGCCTGAGAGAATCAGTACTCAGCACATATGAAACCCATACCATTTATTTATTTATTTATTTATTTATTTATTTATTCATTCATTCATTCATTCATTCCTCACACTGGGGAACTTTGCCTTATTTTTTGGCATCATGCCCTATGTTTTTCAACCTTTTTAAAATTATTGACCCCTAATTAGCCTTTTTAGACATTTTCTCCTAATCACTTTTTCCCACCCTAAAAATTTCAGTACTACATATATGCTGTATATCTGTTTATGTACTGTGACGCTTTGGAGGGCCACAGACTATTATATTAATAATGTCAAAGTCTTTTTTCCACACTCCCTCCTGTGCCAAGATCCAGTTTTACCCAATTGGGAGATGTATTGTACCTGTCAAGAATGCCTGCTTTAGAGAACGTGGAACCGTTAACATTTCAGTGTGTATCTTCTGTCTGTTCATACATGCATGGGCACACATAAGCTTGCACCATTACGTTTATAAATAGACTTTTTGCAATTAATAATGTATCATATATACATTACTCTGTCATTAGACATTCTTCTACAATAAGAGTTTTGACATGTATTGCCAAATATCCTCCTAAAGTTTATACAGATTACACTATTTAATCATAGTTACATTTTCCTAAAGACTTAGTTTTGGCCAGGTGCAGTGGCTCATGCCTGTAATCTCAGCACTTTGGGAGGCCAAGGCGGGTGGATCGCCTGAGGACGGGAATTCAAGACCAGCCTGGCCAACATGGCGAAACCGTGTCTCTACTAAAAATACAAAAAATTAGCTGGGCGTGGTGGTGGGTGCCTGTAATCTCAGCTACTCGGGAGGCTGAGGCAGGAAAATCGCTTGAACCCGGGAGATGGAGGTTGCAATGAGCCAAGGTCACACCATTGCACTTCAGCCTGGGCAACAAGAGTGAAAATCCATCTCAAAAAAAAAAAAAGAAAAAGAAAGAAAGAAATCCCAAATCCCATCTCTACAAAAAACATACAAAAATTAGCTGGGCGTGGTGGCATGCACCTGTAGTCCTAGCTGCTCAGAAGGCTGAAGTGGGAGGATCACTGGAGCCCAGGAGGTTGAGGCTGCAGTGAGCCACAATCACACCATTGCACACTAGCATGGGTGACAGAGCAAGAATTTATCTCATACACACACAAAAAAGCTTAGCATCTGAACCATTTTTAAAGTGTATGGGTTCAGTGGCATTAGGTACATTCACACCATTTGTAACCAATCTCCCAAACTTTTCTCATTGTACAAAACTGAAATTTATTCATCTGTAGATGGACACTTGGGTTGCTTCAACCTTTTGGGTATTGCGAATGATGCTGCTATGAACATGGGTGTACAAATACCTCTTTGTGACCCTGCATTCAATTCTTTGGGGTTTATACCCATAAGTGGAAATGCTGGATCATGTGCTAATTCTATTTTTAATTTTTTAAGG
This sequence comes from Homo sapiens, assembly GCF_000001405.40. Lineage (NCBI taxonomy): Eukaryota > Metazoa > Chordata > Mammalia > Primates > Hominidae > Homo > Homo sapiens. The sequence goes on along the minus strand of NC_000002.12, from coordinate 200,953,532 downwards.
AACCACCATACTTTTTGCACAGTGGCTGCACCATTTTACATATCAACCTACAGTGTACAAGGGTTCCAATTTCTCCACGTTCTTACCAACACCTATTTCCTTTTTTAAAAAAAAAAAAAAACAGTAGCCCTTTTAATGGATATGAGGCGGTGGTTTTATTTTCTTTTAAATTTAACATATCGTTAAATTCTCAGAGGTCAGTCTTCGGACAAAAAGAACTGTAATAGCTAGTAGTATTGCATTCTAATATATAAATAATGTGTGGTTTTCTATATTATACTTTTGGATTGTTTGTAACTTTTTATTAGTGTAACTAATGCAGTAGTGATTGATTTTGATGTAGGACTTGAGTCTTTGAATGTAAGTTTGTTGGAGATCAGCTGGTTGAACAGTATTGCCTTTTTTTTTTTTTTTTTTTTTGAGACAGGGTCTCACTCTGTCACCTAGGCTGGAGTGCAGTGGCACAATCAAGGCTCACTGCAACCTTAGCCTCCCTGGGCTCAGGTGATCCTCCCACCTAAGCCTCCTGAGTAGCTGCAACTACAGGTGCGGACCACCATGCCTGGCTAGTTTTTGTATATTTTGTAGAGGTGGAGTCTCACCATGTTGACCAGGCTGGTCTCAAACCCCTAGGCTCAAGTGATCTGCCAGCCTCAGCCTATCCAAAGTGCTGAGATTAGAGGTGTAAGCAATTATGCCCAGCCTGCTTTTTTTTTTTTTAATTTTTAAGCTATCATATCCATAATGCATCAACTGGAATTTTCCAGTTTCATTTTCTTCCAATAAACTGATAACTTAATGATACTTTTGATGCTATCTGAGTGTAGTAGGCTTTCATGTTTCTCAAATTTTCTCTTAAATCTTTTACAGTTTCTCATTCTCACCTTATTTAAAACCAGTTGTTTTAGTTAATAACTTTTTCAAGTTTATATTTTGTCTATATTTGACATTCAGACAAAAATAAATTATATAGGCCGGGCGCGGTGGCTCATGCCTGTAATCCCAGCACTTTGGGAGGCCAAGGTGGGTGGATCATGAGGTCAGGAGATCGAGACCATCCTGGCTAACACAGTGAAACCCTGTCCCTACTAAAAATACAAAAAAAATTAGCCGGGTGTGGTGGCGGGCGACTGTAGTCCCAGCTACTCGGGAGGTGGAGGCAGGAGAATGGCATGAACCCAGGAGGCAGAGCTTGCAGTGAGCCTAGATCGTGCCACTGCACTCCAGCCTGGGCGACAGAGTGAGACTCCGTCTCAAAAAATAAATAAATAAATAAATTATATAAATATATAGTTATACATTCTATATTCTAATTATATATTCTAGTTGTAGTTCTATCATTGCAGTAACAAGTTCTCCATAAATAGATTTGTGCATATATGAAAACTAGATATACTGTAGAAGTAGCATTGCAGATCACTGGGCTAGTGATGAACTGGTCAGTAAATGGTGATGGGACAATTGTATATTCCCATTTTAAAAAAAAGGCCCTCTACCTCCCTTTATAAACAGATTAATTACCTTAATTATTTAAACATGAAAAGCAAATTGTAAATGCTTTTAGACAAAAATATAAGAGAATATGGTTTTGGTCTTGATTACAGAAAGTTTTCTTAGAAAATATGTAATCAAAAGAAAAGATTGACAAATTCAACTAATTAAAATTCATTGTTTCTCAAGAAAGTGAGAAGACTACAGACTAGAAGAAAATGTTGCAGAAGACATGTCTGATAAAGGACTTTTAATCCAAAATATACAAAGAGCTTTTAAAATTCAGCAATAAGAAAACAATTTAATTAAAAAATAGGCAAATAGGTATTTGAACAGATACCATATGCTTATTTGCCATCTATTTTTATTCTTTATTACCAAGGAAAATAAACAGATGGCCAATAAGCATATGAAAATATGCTCAATATCATATCATTAGGGAATTGCAAATTAAAACAAAATGAGATACCACTATACACCTATTAGAATAGCCAAAATCCAAAACACGAATACCACCAAATACTGATTAGGATGTGGAGCAGCAAGAACTCATTTATCTCTAGTTAATGCAAAATGGTGCAGCCCCATGAAAAACAGCTGTGCTGCTGCTTATGAAACTCAACATACTCTAACTATATAATCCAGTAGTTATGTTTCTTAGTATTTACCCAAATGAGTTGAATACTTATGTCCACACAAAAACCTGCAGGTGGACCTTTATAGCAATTTCATTCACAATGGCCAAAACTTGGAAGCAACAAAGAGGTCGTTCAGTAGATGAATGGATGAACAAACTGGCACATCCTGACCATGGAGTATTCAGCACTTAAATAAAAAAGAGCTATCAAGCCATGAACAAGATATGAAAGGACCTTAAAAGTATGTTACTAAGTGAAATAAGCCAATCTGAAAAGGCTACATACTGTATGATTCCAACTATATGACATTCTGGAAAATGCAAAACTGTGGAGACAGTAAAAAGACTAGTGTAAAGTCTATTTTATAAGAAACCAGCACTTTCCTTCAAATGACACCATAAAAAGAGTGTAAAGACAAGCCACAGCGTAAAGAAGATATTTTTTCTGAGAAGAAACCTGTAAAAAAATGTTCAGTGTCATTAATGATTAAGGAAATACAAATTTAAGACGCCTCTCTTCAGTTTATACCCATTGTTTGACAAAGATTAAGGAGTTTGGATAAAACCAAGCGTTGGTGGAAATACAGATCACTAGGAAAGCTTAATAAGGAGGATGAGCACACACTTTGGAAAGTTTGACACCATTTTCTAATAAATCCATTAAGTATTGACAAAAATTACATATATTTAAATGAAAACAACTTTCAATAACTTAATGAGGAGGGCATTGTTTTCTATTTTTAATGTCTGGCTTCATTGAAGGCAACTGGATTTTCTTCTTCACGCATTCCATTAGTCAATATGGTAACTTGTTATCACATCATGTCGTCTCTGGCATACCTCACTGTACACTCTTGTTTGAGAGTCAAAAGTTAATTAATGTCTTAGTATTATTACGAAGTAATTTTGACCTCAGGGATCCTAGCAACCCTCAGGCCACATGTTGGAAATTGCTGTGATAGAAAGTAGGATACTAGAAATGAATGTTCACTGTGTTGTAGGTAGCAGTTGATATTTAAAGAGGAGATTGAAGAATGTCAGTTAAGTCAGGATCTGTGAAGAAAGCTTTTTTTTTTGATACTTTATCACTTTATCACCGAGGCTGGAGTGCAGTGGCACAATCTCTGCTCACCGCAACCTCTGCCTCCCAGGTTCAAGCAATTCTTCTGCCTCAGCCTCCTGAGTAGCTGGAACTACAGGCATGTGCCCCCATGCCCGGCTAATTTTTTGTATTTTCAGTAGAGACGAGGTTTCACTGTGTTAGCCAGGATGCTCTCAATCTCCTGACCTCGTGATCACCTGGCTCAGCCTCCCAAAGTGCTGGGATTACAGGTGTGAGCCACTGCGCCCGGCCAAGAAAGCTTCTACCATAAAACAGCTGTTTAAATCTCAACCTCAACAATTGTACTTTTCATCTTTGCTTCAGAAAATAAATATAACCAAAAAACTCCCTTTAGTCCTCCCTTCCCAGGGACAACTGTTACTAGGAATTGAATGCATATCCCTCTAATCTGGGGTTTTGCTATGGTTTTGTATTTTTACATAGATGTCTGTGTATCTTTGAATAGCATGTTAAAACTTATATAAACAGTTTCATAGCCTGTTTTCTTTACTATGTATTTCCAAATATTTTATATATAAATATAGTTAAATCTTTATGCAAGGCTATGAGGGGTACAAATCTTAAGTTTTTTTGTTAAAATTTTTTTCTGTTAATTTTGTTCTTTTTTCCTAAATGTATATTGCATTTTTTTCTTTCAGAATCATTGAAAAATGGCTCTGCTACAGGTGGTGGAAATAAAGTTTATTCTTTTCAGAATAGAAAACACTCTGAAAAGATGGCTAAATTAGGTATGTTGCTTTTCTGATTTCTATAACTATTACTCATCTTTCCTAAGGTAGATTTAACCACATTCCCCATGATTATTATACCACTACATTTCCTAAAAGAATGAAGAGAGATTCCCTATGGTTTAGGGAATAATGAGACGTTCCCTAAAAGAAGGATGTTATATTAAGCACAATTAAGTTCATTTGTTTTTTTCATGCTCAGATGTCTTCTGTTTTCAGCTAGATTATAAGCTTCTTGTAGTATGTGCACAGTCTTTGTTTTTCTTTAGTCCTCTCCAAAATATGTAGCTTAGTTTCTTTTTTTTTTTTTTTAAAGGTGGAGTCTCACTCTGTTGCCCAAGCTGGAGTGCAGTGGTGCAATCTCGGCTCACTGCAACCTCCACCTCCTGGGTTCAAGCAATTCTCCTGCCTCAGCCTCCTGAGTAGCTGAGACTACAGGTGTGCTCCACCACACCCGGCTAATTTTTTTGTATTTTTAGTAGAGAAGGGGTTTCACCATGTTGGCCAGGTTGGTCTCAAACTCCAAACCTCAAGTGATCCACCCACCTCGGCTTCCCAAAGTGCTGGGATTACAGGCATGAGTCACCATGCCCGGCCATAGCTTAGTTTCTTCACAAATTTTTTTGAAGTAACAAGTGAGAATCACATAGAGATATTCTGAATTGATTAATAAATAAGAGTTTTGCTGGGCATGGTTGCTCACGGCTGTAATCCCAGCACTTTGGGAAGCTGAGGCAGGAGGCAGGCAGATCCCTTGAGGTCAAGAGTTTGAGACCAGCCTGGCTAACATGGTAAAACCCCGTCTCTACTAAAAATACGAAAAATGAGCCAGGCGTGGTGGCACGTGCCTGTAGTCCTAGCTATCCAGGAGGCTGAGGCAGGAGAATCACTTGAACCTGGGAGGCAGAGGTTGCAGTGAGCCGAGATTGTGCCATTGCACTCCAGCCTGGGTGACAGAACAAGACTCCATCTCAAAAAACAAACAAACAAAAAAACCCAGAGTTTTACCCTGTATATGGAAAAATGTTGTTTATATTACAGAAAAATGCTTATATAAAGTTATTAGTAATGGTCTTCTAACATTTTTCTTACTTGAGTTACCACCTATACCAATTAACACTTCAGTTGCTGATTTTCAGAGAACTAAGCTGTAATAAATTACATATAACCTTAAAATTAAACTGTCAATTATTTTTCAAAATTCAGGCCAGGCATGGTAGCTCATGCCTGTAATCTCAGCACTTTGGGTGGCCAAGACAGGAGGATCGCTTGAGGCCAGTAGTTCAGTACCAGCCTGGGCAACATAGCGAAACCCTGTCTCTACAGAAAATTTAAAAATTAGGCTGGGTGCAGTGGCTCACGCCTGTAATCCCAGCACTTTGGGAGGCCGAGGCAGGTGGATCACAAGGTCAGAAGATCGAGACCATCCTGGCTAACACAGTGAAACCCCGTCTCTACTAAAAATACAAAAAAAAAAATTAGCCAGGCGTGGTGGCGGGCGACTGTAGTCCCAGCTACTCGGGAGGTTGAGGCAGGAGAATGGCGTGAACCCGGGAGGCGGAGCTTGCAGTGAGCCGAGATCGCGCCACTGCACTCCAGCCTGGGCGACAGAGCGAGACTCAGTCTCAAAAAAAAAAAGAAAATTAAAAAATTAGCCAGGCATGGTGGTACATGCCTATAGTCCCAGCTACTTGGGAGGCTGAAGCAGGAGGATGACTTGAGCCTAGGGGTTCAAGGTTGCAGTGAGCCATGATCACACCACTACACTCCAGCCTGGGTGACAGAGTGAAACCCTGTCTCAAAAAAACAAAAACAAAAAAATCAGATGGCACTGTATTTCGATCTTGTGGTATGAGGGGGTCATCATTTTTGAAAGCAGTAAGGAAGGGAAATAATATATGTGAAAGCACTTTGAAAATTATAAAGGTATATAAATACAAAGTTTGGAAATACCAAAAAGTCAGGAACAAAAGTATAATAATTATCCACCTGGTAAATGTAATAGTTGAAAAAGAGGGCTTATAACGTATAATTATAAAACACCTATGGATATTTCTTCAGTGGTTTGTTTTTATTCAATCACTGTAGCCAATGACACATGTAAACATTCAAGGTCAAGTAAAAATAAAATATGTTAAATGTTGACACTGATGAGGAATATATGAGAAGTAATTATAAAACCTGTATTTCTGAATATAAGTTAATCAGTTGCCAAAATCAGTTTAGTTTTTCTAAAATGTGTAACATTAAATACATTACTGATTTTGAACATAACATGGTACATACAATAATTTACATTAATTGATGTGTTTCTTAGTATTTATTATCTACATCAAGAAATTAAGTTTTTTTGGTTGGTCGCGGTGGCTCGCTCCTGTAATCCCAGCACTTTGGGAGGCCGAGGTAGGTGGATCACTTGAGGTCAGGAGTTCAAGACCAGCCTGGCCAACATGGTGAAACCCAGCTCTACTAAAAATACAAAAATTAGCTGGGTGTGGTGGCACACACCTGTAATTCTGGCTACCTGGGAGGCTGAGGCAGGAGAATCACTTGAACCCAGAACGTGGAGGTTGCAGTGAGCCAAGATTGCACCACTGCACTCCAGCCTGGGTGACAGAAAGAGACTCCATCTGAAAAAACAAGAAATTAAGTTTTTAAATCTATAAAAATGACTGAATCCTGTATAGGAGCACTGAGAAACCAGAGAAGAAATGCTGATGTAATAATTAGAAAGATAAAGTAGACAGCAAGACCAAAATGAAACCCTAGGACAATGGTGCAGGACAAAGAAATACCACTGGAGAAAGAGGAGAATTATTATTGTAAAGTGAAATAGAACTCACAGGAGTAATCAAGTAGTAGTTCTCCATTTGGAGAATTAGCATGCTCATAACTTAAAGATGATAATGTGTTGTATTTGTAAGCACTGCATAAAACTGGAATATTATCCTCATTCTGCGCATTTCTGTCATCATATCTGAAAGAAATACACATTTTAAAGTCATGAGAAGATAGTTTTATAGATATTTCGTCTTTATTATTATGACCATGAAATTTCAGGAACGCAGTTTAACAGACTGATCAGACTTTCTATAATCTTTGTTTAGTTATGATGCTCTTTAATGAATTTCATTGACTCATTAAGTATTGTTGCTAATTGTGTTTACATCTAAATATATCAGTAAAATAGAATGCCTTAATATTTAATAAATAACATGATCTGCCAGAAAATCATATGTTATTCTGAGTATAAATGATGATTTTGTCCAGGCATGGTAGCTCACACCTATAATCCCAACACTTTGAGAGGAAAAGGTAAGAGGATCACTTAAGCCCAGGAGTTTGAGACCAGCCCGTGCAACCTAGTGAGACCTTGTCTCTATAAAAAAAAATTAAAAAAAAAAATAGATTTTCATATAATTGGGCTAACCAAGATATAGGGCTAGAAATAGACTATAAGTTAGATAGGAAGGCTTTGTAAAATACAGAGAATGTATCTAGAGTAAGAAAATAAATGTAAACAAAAGAGCAAAAGTAGAAGTACCAGGTAGAGAAGAAAGTGAGGAGTTCAGTCAGGCTGGAGAAATAAATGGGTAAATTAAAAATAGATTGAGATCCAGCAATCCCACTACTAGATATATACCCAAAGGGTATGAAATGAGTATGTCGAAGAGATATCTGCACTCCCGTGTTCATTGCAGTATTATTTTGCAATATCCAGGATATGGAATCAAGCTAAATGTTCATCAACAGAGGAGCAGATAAATATAAATGAGGTAAAAGAAAATAAGTATCTTTTTAAAAAAATTAGAAAATAGATTGGTTAGATAGGACCAGATAATAGACTAATCTAAAGCTATCATTAGACAGAGACCAGTTTATTGTGTAAAATACAATACAGATGAATTAATAGAATAATGAATATAAAGATACAAAATTTATGCCCTATTTTTTTTTGCAAGCCCACAAATAATATCATAATTTTTTTTAAGGGTCTCACTGTATTGCCCCGGCTGGAACGTGTGGTGTAATCTTGGCTTGCTGCAACTTCCATGTCCTAGGCTCAAGCAATTTTCCTGCCTCAGCTTCCTTTCCTCAGTGTCCCTTTAGCTCGGGCTAAAGTCACACGCCACCACACCTGGCTAATTTTTCTATTCTTTTGTAGAGACAGGGTTTCTTCATGTTGCCCAGTCTGGTCTCGAACTCCTAGACTCAAGTGATCCACCCACCTCGGTCTCCCAAAGTGCTGGGATTATAGGCTTGAGCCACCATGTCCAGGTCTAATTTTCTATTAATAGAGTCAACAGCCATGCCATTACATTTCATTTAATATCATCAAAAACAAATATGACATAGGAGCAAGAAAAGAATAAAAACTGTACACATGCATTGAAAGTGTGCATGTAGATGATTAATACAGAGCAAAGGTCAGCCAGCTTTTTCTGTAAAGGGCCAGACAGTAAATATTTTCAGCTCTGTGAGCTAGACAGTCTCTGTTGTGACTACTGAACTTGGCTGTTGTAGCTGAAAAGCAGCCACAGACAATACGTATGGATGGTGTGGCTACATAAAGCTGTACTTAAAACAAGTGGAAAGGCTGGGTTTGGCCCCATAGACTTATAGCTTGCTGACCCCTGACATAAAGAAACACTGTAACTTTTTGCCATTCATAGTCATAACTAAACACAAAGTTATGTGTTAAATAGTGATTCACCGCTGGGCGTGGTGACTCATGCTTGTAATCTTAGCACTTTGAGAGGCCGAGGCGGGAGGAGAACTTGAGGCCAGGAGTTTGAAACCAGCCTGAGCAACATAGGAAGACCCAGTCTCTACAAAAATTTAAAAATTAGCTAGGCATAGTGGCGCACGCCTGTGGTCTCAGCTATTTGGGAGTTTGAGGTGGGAGGATTGCTTGGGCCCAGGAGGTCAAGGCTGCAGTGAGCCATGATCACGCCAGTGTACTCCTGGGCGACAGGTACTTGTACTAGGCATTGTGCCTGGTGCTTATTAGACATGTTGAGTCATCCAAGAGGTGTTGGAATGTCTGCCTATCTCTGTGTGCTCACAAAAATGACTATCTTAGCCGGGCGCGGTGGCTCACACCTGTAATCCCAGCACTTTGGGAGGCCAAGGCAGGCAGATCACGAGGTCAGGAGTTTGAGACTAGCCTGGCCAGCATGGTGAAACCCCCGCTCTACTAAAAATACAAAAAATTAGGTGGGCATGATGGCACACATGTGTAATCCCAGCTACTCAGGAGGCTGAGGCTGGATAACTGCTTGAACCTGGGAGGCAGAGGGTGCAGTGAGCTGAGATCGCACCACTGCACTCCAGCCTGGGCGACAGAGCAAGACTCTATCTCAAAAAAAAAGAGACTATCTTGTTCTTAATCCTCTTCAATTCTTCCTTTTTATTCTTTTCTCCCTGGCTCCTTTGTAGTTTAATAGTTATTTAAAATCAGGTGGAGCATTTTTATGTTTCAGTATAACACCAAAATGATCTCAGCTAAGTTGCTTTTGTTGCTTCTTTTCATATGAAGTTTTTTCCCTATCCTGTGAATCAGCCTTTAATCCAAAAATGACATAAAGAGAAGAGCAAGGACTGAGCCTTAAGTATGCCTAGAATGTTGAGGAGGCTGAGGACAGTGAAGAAGAGATGAAATAACCACAACCAGTAGCTTGGGAACCAGGATAATGTCATAAGACTCAAATGGAGGAATTAATATCAAGGGAAGATTAAAAAAAAAAAAAAAACTTAGTGAATCATATAGAAGACCGAAGGGATTAAGGAAGAAGAAGCAGCCAATTCATTTGTAGAGATTGTTATGAGTATTTTGGGTCAGTTTCAAGACTGGAGGATAAAAATGGGGGCAGGTTAGAAAGGTTTAGGAGCCAGTAAAATGGCTTTCACTTGTACAAATTTAACTACACCTTCTCCATTTAGAGAAAAAAAGCAAAAAAGCAGTTAATTTGGTATGTGCCCTTTTTCTCAGTGAACAGTGTCCCAGTGTGAGAGTTAACTTGGAAAAGGTAAATCTGTTTCTTCATTTGGGTTCATTTTCCACATGCCTCTCATGGTGTGAGTGTGAGAGCATCATTAAAGATAACACTTATATTTTTTTATTTAAAATGGCCTCTATTATAAGTGATTTGGTCTTTGGTCTTTAGAAAAAAAAAGCGAGAGAAAGAAAATTGTTAAAGTAAAAATAAAATGGCCCCTAAACAAAAGACCACTATTCCATTTATTCTCGGTTGAAGAAATGGCCATCTGTTCAACACTCTATTTTATGTATTATTTATATGTATTATAGACTTTTTGGCACAAAATAAACTGTTCACACTTTATGGAAGATTTAAAAGATTTTAAAGTATAATTTTAACTCTGCACAGTTTTCACTTGATTTTAGATCTCACTTTCTGGCCCTTCTTTCTCACCCCCCATCAAAGATGTGCCTCAACTATATATGGTAAGAAATGAAAGGAACATAAGTGGTTGATGGAGAGGAGAGTATGGTAATTAGAGAAAGCAGCAAGGTCAAAGTTAGTTATTTGTATTTTCTTTTAAAGAAATCTGTGGGTAATATGAAGGAAAATTTGAAGATTCTGGGAAGACAGCTAATAAAGGTGAAAGCAGTATTACTCCTAATATGGGTAGGATTATTTTTCTGATAAAAGTAACAGAGGTTTTTAAAGAATTTTTGTAAGCGTAATAAGGTTATTTCCCTCTTTATCTACTGTTGTCCTTTAAAAGGTTTTTATATATTTCTTTGTTTACAGCTTCAGAACTAGCAAAAACACCACAAAAAAGTGTTTCATTCAGTTTGAAGAATGATCCTGAGATTACGATAAACGTTCCTCAAAGTAGCAAGGGTAAGACATTACATTAGTTCTTTGAAAAGAATTTTCATAGTTGCTTCAAGATAGAGCATGTTACTTTTTTCCTTGTTTGTGAATTTTTATATATATTTTCTTCTTTTCTGAAAATTCATTCAACAAAATGCAATTAATATTTCAACTCATGTACCTTAGTATACCCGTGTTTAGCAGTCAGTAAGAGGGAAAAATATCTGTGCTAACTGAAGTTGTGCAAATTGACAGGGTTAACCAGAAATAGTCTTTAAGTCCTGTTGTCATGTGCTTGAGTTAGCCAATTATTTATAGAAGATTTGGCTTTGGGAAATACTATATGAAATAAGGCGTTTGGAGTTTGGAAGTCTTACAGATTGTGGAGCAGCTGTTTTTGAATGATCCATTCTAACTAGATTAAAAAGTGTACATTTCGTTGCTCTTTATTTATATTTTTGTTTTTGTTTTTGAACACCAATGTCACTTGCCGACATTTCTGTTTTTTTCATTTTTTAGAGACAGGGTCTCGCTATGTTGCCCAGGCTGAAGTGCATTGGCTATTCACAGGCACAATTACAGCACACTATTAAAGCCTTGAATTCCTGGGCTCAAGTGATCCTCTAGCCTCAGCCTCTCGTGTAACAGGGCCTATAAGCACACCGCATTGTGTCTGGCTCCATTGTACTTTTTTTTTTTTCTTTTTTTTTGAGAAGGAGTCTCGCTTTTCACCCAGGCTGGAGTGCTGGAGTGCTGGAGTGCAGTGGTGTGATCTTGGCTCATTGCAACCTCTGCCTTCTGGGTTCAAGCAATTCTCCTGCCTCAGACTCCTGAATAACTGGGATTACAGGTACCTGCCAACATGCCCAGCTAATTTTTGCATTTTTAGTAGAAATGGGGTTTCACCCTGTTGGTCAGGCTGTTTTCTAACTCCTGACCTCAAGCGATCCTCCTGCCTTGGCCTCCCAAAGTGCTGGGATTACGGGCGTGAGCCACCGCTCCTGGACAGTTGTACTTTTCAATAATCAAAATTTAAAAGGGCTCCGTTTTTCTTGTTAGAATGCTACAGAAATGCAGGAAGTAGCTGTTAAAAATGTGAGTAATCATGAAACTAATAGTGATAATCCTCCGGTGGAGATGGAATTAATTTATAATTCAGTAATAATGTGGTGGCTTCTATGTAGAAGCTGCAACTTTGCTTTTTTTTTTTTTTTTTAATTTTTAATTTTTTGAATAGACACAGGATCACGCTATGATGCTCAGGTTGGTCTTGAACTCCTGGCCTCAAGCAATCTTCCTGCCTTGCCTCCCAAAGTGCTGGGATTACAGATGTGAGCCACCATGCCTGGCAAACTTTACTTTTAATGAAACTAGACCACAATGAAAAGTGAAGTGTCCGTAGTAAGTCATGGCTTTTTGTTTCATTCTTTAGGCCATTCTGCTTCAGACAAGGTTCAACCGAAGGTAAGCAATTGACTAAAAAGCAAAAGCCTTAGTGTTACAAAGTAAGACATGATGAAAAATTGCCAGAAATTCAATGAAAAAATTGATCTCTTAATTTATATAGTGCTTTGTAATTTACAGATATTTGGCAGTTAAATACCTAACTTATAGGTGGAGAATTTGAGGTTCAGAGAGGTAAAGTGACTTGTGTGAGTTCACTTGACTAGGAAGGAGAACAGCTAGAAAATGAAGCCAGGCCTCCCAGACCCAACTGTTGTGCTTTTTCTGCTGTGTGTAGCTGGCCTGAAAATGTTTGGGGTTTTGCTTTTATGTATCATGTTCTGTTTCTTTTGCAGGGGGAAGAGGGCAGTGTTGTGCAGTTTGATCCCAAGATGCATTAGATCCATTACTCTATATTTTTATCTCCTCCTTTGTGGGGTTTTTTCTTTGTTTGTTTGTTTGTTTTTGAGACGGAGTCTTACTCTGTCGCCCAGGCTGGAGTGCAGTGGCGTGGTCTCGGCTCACTGCAACCTCCACCTTCCAGGTTCAAGTGATTCTTACACCTCAGCCTCCTGAGTAGCTGGGATTACAGGTGTGCACCACCACGCCTGGCTAATTTTTGTATTTTTAGTAGAGGCAAGGCTTCACCATGTTGGCCAGGCCGGTCTTGAACTCCTGACCTCAAGTGATCCATCCACCTGGGCCTCTCAAAGTACTGGGATTTCAGGTGTGAGCCACCACGCCTGGCCTCCTTTGTGTTTTTGTGGTATAATTTTCTCATTATGCCTTTTCAAGTGGTGAGTGTTCCATGAAAGGGCCATATATGCAAAGCATCCCCCAAATGCCAAAGGAGCCAAGAAACCAAAGGACAAGGCAGACAAGTTTAGTTTGTCTGTAAAGGGTATTTTATTAGAGACAGAAGCATGGTCTTGGGCAGCCACAAGACAGGTAGCTCTCTGCAGTGTTACTCCCCAGACCCACGGCTTACCTACCATAAGGAAAGGGTATACATGTTCCAGCAAGATAATTAAAGGCAACCCTCTTTAATTGTCAAGAGGGCAAGAATGCTATATGCATTGTAGCCAGTAATTTGTGTGATAATATCAAGGTTGACATGTTCTTTCACAGAAGGCAGTACATAAAGTAGGAATCAGGAGGCATTCATGAGACTGGGGCTAATCAGAAGTTAACGTGATGGATTAGCATCCAAGATGGAGTAACTTTTGTCTCCACAGTCAGTATAGACATTTAAGGCCATGGTTATGGCCTGTGCAGGAATGTCCTATTTAGACAAGTCTAGGTATGGGATTAGACATGCCAGACTTTCATTTGTCTTTAATAATGCTTTTTTCTTATGTCTTGTGTGTTCTATCACTATAAAAGGAAAAAAACTCATTGCCATAATCTAATCAAGAATTTAGATTATTCTTTCTCAAGTTATAGATTATAACCCATTAGAAGATATTGTCAACTCTCCCAAAAAACCAGAAAAACCTGTTGATGAAACAAAGCTACCTATCACAATAAGAGACAACATCGTTGTGACAGAATCTTAGTGTACTGTCTTAGAAAAGCAAGTTCAAGAGAAAATATGTATCGGGCTTGGGGATCCTGGGCTCAAGTGGCTTAAAGCAGGTTTTTCAAAATGGTAAACTGATTGGGATTGGGCAAAGTTAGGGACATGATATTTTAGGATTGGTAGACACAGTGAAGATCGTGTCTTAAAGTGTATCTTGATAACTAAACTGTTGATAAGATAAGCTGTTTGCCCTAGGAGTAATCTGTTGTCCTGATAGGGAGAACAGTTTGCCCAAATGAGCAAACTGTCAAGAGAGATTAGTTTGCAGAAATGTTCTATAGCAAGTAGGAAAAAATTATTTATTAGTCTTGTCTTTTTGAGCAGGAATTTTCTGCAGTGGTTATTTTGACACAGGTGTTGTGAATTCTCAGACTTAAGCTGTGTAGATATATATAAGTTATCTCAATACTCAATCTTGAAATCAGTTTAATAGGACATAAACTGCATTTTTAACAAATGAAGTAGAACAGAATTTTAAATTTCTGTTTTATAATTTTTTTTAGTTATATATACACGTGTACTGGGTCAAGATGACAAAATGTAAAAATTTTTGAGGATCTTGATCAAAAAATTTGAGACATACTGTAATTCCATTGGTAAGGGATTAGCTCAGTTATTAGAGTACTATTCTTTTTTTTTTTTTTTCCCCCTGAGGAAGAGTTTCATTGTGTTGTCCAGGCTGGAGTCCAATAACGTGATCTCGGCTCACCGCAACCTCCACCTCCCAGGTTCAAGCAGTTGTCCTGCCTCAACCTCTCGAGTAGCTGGGATTACAGGCATGCACCAGCACGCCCGGCTAATTTTGTATTTTTAGTAGAGACGGGATTTCTCCATGTTGGTCAGGCTGGTCTCAAACTCCCGACCTCAGGTGATCTGCCCGCCTTGGCCTCCCAAAATGCTGGGATTACACAGGCATGAGCCACTGTGCCCGGCCTAGAGTACTATTCTTAAAATCAAATCAGATTTTAATGACACCAGCAATCTATCACAAGACAATAAACTTAAATTTTTTTGTCATATTGTCATGTTGACAAAATCACAGGGTACTTTAACTTTTTTATCAGTACTATTAGAAATTTACAGGTATATAACAGTGGATGTTTTAATGTGCTAACAATTTATGGTATTAAAGTATTCTATAAAAAAACAGACTTTGTACTCCTACAAAAAGTTACAATTTTTTAAATACAGAAAGTAAGAAAGTGTAAATCTCTCCTTCTCTCCTCAAAGAATGTAATACTTTAACACCAGTAAATTTCTAGCACATTAAAAGGCCCATTGCCATATACATAGGGGTGCCCGTTCCCTTTCATACTTATGATTGCTACATAATACTATCTTTTAAAAAAATACTCCATTGGGCCGGGCGCTGTGGCTCACACCCATAATCCCAGTACTTTGGGAGGTTAAGGTGGGCGGTTCACTTGAGGTCAGGAGTTTTGAGACCAGCCTGGCCAACATGGTGAGACCCTGTCTCTGCTAAAAATACAAAAATTAGCTGGGTGTGGTGGCACGTGCCTATAATCACAGCTACTTGGGAGTCTGAGGCAGGAGAATGGTTTGAACCCATTTGTCATAATCTTCTAGTTCTAGGAACTAAGCTCATCTAGTTCTAATGCAGTCTATTGAAAGCAAAATATTTTTCTTTTTTTCTAGCCTCTTTCACTCAGATCAGTCATTAATTTCCATGTTATTATTTAATGCTTTTTCTATTTCTAAACAGAACAATGACAAAAGTGAATTTCTGTCAACAGCACCTCGTAGTCTAAGAAAAAGATTAATAGGTACGTATTTGTTTTTACATGACTTTTTATAAAAAGTAGCATCTAAACAAGAGGCAATAATAGTTAAGTATATAGGTTCTAGACTTAGACTGCTTGGTGTTTTGAATCTTTGGCTTTTAGTTGCAACACTTAGCACCATGTCTTTCACATTGTAGTCAGTGTATATTGAAGTCAGCTAAAAGGTCTTTCCAATGAAATAACATGCCTTTTAATTGTTTTGAGACAGTTTGGAAATTATTCTATTGATTTATTTGGAAATTTTATAATGAAATAATATTAAATATTCATAGTTGTACTGAATGCTAAACAAAGTCAAGTAAACAGACATGGCTTCTGCCTTCTAGGAAATTAAAAATCGTTTCAGATTTTTGAATATTGAACTTTGAGGCAAATGACTGGACCTTTATATATCAGGAAGATGTCAACACCTTTCATAATGTTGACCCTTGACAATAATAGTATTAGTCAACATTGTTAAATTCAGCCTAACATCAGGGCTTCATACTTCATAGCCCTTTCTTTTCAAGGTATGGATTTCATAGAGTTGTTAAAACTGTATTTTTAATCACCATAAAATTGGTAATGCTAAATGATTTGGTATATTAAAGCAGTAAAAGATCTGTATAGTTGTGATTGTTATTTCATGTCAACTATATCCCATGTCTTATGTTTTCTCCTCATCCCAAATATGGGTTGTTTTTTAGAGAGAAGGTGAACTTCCCTCTTCCTTCTTAATCACCACAAAACATATATACCTACATGGAGGAAGCATACATGTAAAGAAGGTAGAGATACTTTCTGGTACCTGCCACCACTTCTAACTGTGCATGTACCACGAGCAGCAGTCAATGCACACCTGAATCTGCTGAGCTATATATGCCCACAAAATCAAGCCTTTTTTTTTCTTTTTTTTTTTAATATCTACATTTGTTACATGCTGACTTGGGATAATCCTCTGCAGTATATCTGTTGTTCAGAATAAATATGCTGATTTGTTTAAGTTTTTTCACTCATATTTTGGAAGTTAGCTTTTAAAAACAGTTTTATGCCTGTTTAGTGTGAAACTGGCTTTATTCTTATTTGATAAATGTAAAACTAGCTATATTATTTCTGGGGAGTTGTAGGGATGAGGTTGTGGTTTGTTTAAAAAGACAATTCTTGAATCAACTCTGGGATGGTGTATGTGTATGTATTAGTAATAATTATAATCATAAGTACCATTTATTGAGTGCTATATTAGTTAGTATGACGTTTTCAGTAGGCAGCAACAGAAAATTCTATAATGGTAGTTTAAGCCATAGACATTTAAGTATCTCACATCAAAACAAGTATGGAGATGCAAGTTCCATGGTTGATGTGACTTAACAGTATCATTAAGGACCCAGATTCTTCCTATCTTTTACTCTGCCACCAGCATTTTTCATCTTTAGGTTTGATACTTCATATTGCAAAATGGCTTTCATAGCTTTAAACGATGGGTATAAATAGGGGCTTTTCTTCCGTAATTGAGGAAAATCCTTCTCAGAAGCTGCCAGCTATTTTCCCTCAATTCACTGGTCAAGGGGTCACATAGTCAACCATAGTTGGAGCAGAGGCTGGGAAAGCAGGTACCTTGAAGAGGAAAAAGGCAGTTACCATGATTCATCCCCTAGGATGGGGCATATTGCCATATTTTGCAAAATTGGAGTTCTGTTAGCAAGGAAGAGGGAAGGAGAACGGTGTTAGGTATGATTAACAATTTCTATCACAGTTCCTGTGTGTCAGGAATTATTAGTGGCTTTATATACATTTCAATGTAATCTTCCTAATGGTTTATTAAACTATGTACTATTAATTTGATAAATAAACTGGTGCTGAGAGAATTTGTTAATTAGCTCTGGTGAAATCATGAGCAGGTAATGACAAAACCAGAATTCAGACTCTTACTACAGAGCCCCCACTCTTTGCTTTACCCCACAATGCCTCTCTTGTCAAACCATGAAATTGTCCAAATTGCTATTTTTCCCCCCACAGTTCCAAGGTCTCATTCTGACAGTGAAAGCGAATATTCTGCTTCCAACTCAGAGGATGATGAAGGGGTTGCACAGGAACATGAAGAGGACACTAATGCAGTCATATTCAGCCAAAAGATTCAAGCTCAGAATAGAGTAGTTTCAGCTCCTGTTGGCAAAGAAACACCTTCTAAGAGAATGAAAAGAGATAAAACAGTAAGTGAAGAGAGAGACTTTAACCTTAAAGAAAAATTGTGTAATATTTCAAAGATAGGCTACCCTAAGAGATCCACATCTCTCAAAATAATATTTTTTCTTCACTTTTCTATATTTTCTCAGCCTTCCACATAAATTCCCACATATATTTGTTTCTACTTCTGGGCTTTCTTTTCTGGCCTGTCTACATATTCATGAATTAATACCATAGTATATGCTAAATAGTATATGCTAAAAGTGACATCTCAATTCCACTGTATAAAAATGAACTTTTTAGGCTGGGCACAGTGGCTCATGCCTGTAATCCCAGCACTTTGGGAGGCCAAGGCGGGTGGATCACCTGAGGTCAGGAGTTCGAGACCAGCCTGGCCAACATGGTGAAACCCTGTCTCTACTAAAAACACAAAAATTAGCCAGGTGTGGTGATGTGTGCCTGTAATCCCAGCTACGCGGGAGGCTGAAGCAGGAGAATTGCTGGAACCCAGGAGGCAGAGGCTGTAGTGAGCCGAGATCATGCCATTGTACTAGCCTGGGCAATAAGAACGAAACTCCGTCTCAAAAATAAATAAATAAATTTTTAAATAAGCTATGGGATTAGAATAAAAAATAACAAAAATAAAAAATGAACTTTTAAGTAAATATTGATTGGACAATTGGAGGCATGAGTTCTCAGTGTATCTTGTTTTTGTACCATTGTCAATGTATTCAAGTCAGTGTAATGAATGATGTGGCTAGGGACCCATGTTGAGTCATTTGGAAGAACATTGCAGGCACCTTGGTTTTAGAAAAGGCTAATTATCCTGGTGCTCTGTCTAAAGGTTCAGAGCAATTGAGGAGCCTACTGCTTAAATAGCTTTCTGTCCCTTCCTTACCACCCTAGAGTTTAGTCCTGCCCAAAATCAGAAGAACAAATAGTGTGAGAAGAAAATTCCGCTTGACTGGAATAGTAGGCCAGTTTTTTTATTTGTTTGTGGGTTTCTTTTTTTTCTTTTGTTACCTTGCAGTTGATTTCCTCATTTTCACAGTACTTCAGCTATACTAATATTAAAGGATTTGCTAAGACTATTTGAAGCCAGGCATGGTGGCTCATGCCTGTTATCCCAACACTTTGGGAGGGCAAGGTGGGAGGATTGCTTGAGGCCAGGAGTTTGAAACCAGCCTGGATAACATAATAAGACCCTGTCTCTGCAAAAAAAAAAAAAAAACAATTTAAAAAATTAGTCAGGTGTAGTGGTGCATGCCTGTAGTCCCAGCTACTTGGAAGGCTGAGGTAGGAGGATCCCTTGTGCCCAGGAGGTTGGGGGTACAGTGAGCTGTATTTGCACCACTACACTGCAGCCTGGGTGACAGAGTGAGACCCTTCCTCAATAAAGAAAGGAAAAAAAAAAGACTTACTTGAGGAGAAACAAAGATCTTGATATATAAAACCATCTCTCTTTTTTTAGTCTAAATGGAAATTACATATTGTAACTTAGGAATCATTTTTAGGAACAGACTACTACTTCACCTAGTCATTTCTTTAACTTATATGATCCTAGTAATTACTCAGTTTTATTACTGAAATTAAATATGCTTGGTCCTTAACTGGTACTGTTGCTTTAAAAAGAAAATACTACCAAGTAAAGAATTTCACGTGTCCTATTTTACATTAATATTACTGTCTAATTTTGATATGAGACAGATATTTGAAGCTACTAAGGACTGACTACTCTGTTCACTTTCAGAGTGACTTAGTAGAAGAATATTTTGAAGCTCACAGCAGTTCAAAAGTTTTAACCTCTGATAGAACACTGCAGAAGCTAAAGAGAGCTAAACTGGATCAGGTATGTTACAAGGAATGTTACTTCTAAATTTTTTTTACTCTGTCCTGAAAAATATGCTACGTAAGCAACAGATTTGAAAAGTATACACAAGTAGAATTATTGTCCTGATCAAATGAAACACAAGTTAATGTGATTATTACTTCTTTTATTATATAAATAGTAAATAGGCCGGGCACACCTGGCTCATACCTGTAATCTCAGCACCTTGGGAGGCCAAGGGAGGAGGATTATGTGAACACAGGAGTTTGAGACCAGCCTGGGCAATATAGGGAGACCTCGTTGTTACTAAAAATTTAAATAAATAAATAAATAATTTACTGGATTAGACAGACTGTAATTATGCATTTTTCCCCTCTTACTCGTTTATTATTTCTTCAGGATCTATGATAATCATCAGGGTCATAGTTCCTTGATATCCATTTACCATTTATCTCTGTTATTCATTTAACCTATATGTATTCACTAAATCTCACACTGGTCATAAAACAGCAACTGCAACCTGACTTTCTCTCAGTTAAAAACTTTGCACAAAGTAGAGGATATTCTGCTTGAGGATATTATGGAAAACCTGCCCAGTGTGGTAAGGTAACAAGATTACTATGTACCATGGTTCCAGTAGCTCATTTTACAAAAAAAAAAAAAAAAAAAATACCATACAGTTATACTTGCTGGGGTTTTACATCTCTGTGAGAGGAGACAGAACCATCTGAGTGAGAAAATCTTTGTCAGTAATAATTGCAATTGATAATCTAAGTCCTGGCTCATTGGTATTGAGACTCGGATCAGAGAATATAAGCAATATGGGAGAAGGACACATGAGTCTAGACTCACAATAGGACTTCATCAGACTTAGAGGCAAAAAGATCTCTAGGAGGATGAAAGAAACACCTGTCAGTGAGGGAGACGAAAGCCTTTCATTGGGCGTAAACATAGCATAGCTAACCAATACAATCTTCAGTAGCATGTGACAATAAGCATTTTTCATGTCTGCAAGTCAGTCAGAAGTTGGCTGATCTAGGATTTGCTCCATGTTTCTTTTCCTCGTTGGACCAGCAGGCTAGCTGAGGCATGTTATCCTCATGACAGTGGCAGAGGCATAAGAGGAAAAGTGGGAAAACACACAATCTCTTACAGCCCAGGCTCAAAACTAGATTGCCAGTTCTGCTTCATTCTAGTACAGCTGGATATTGGGGTCGAAAGTGCAGTTTTCCATGAATATTAATTAAAGTTTGAAATGAGGCTGGGCATGGAGGCTCACACCTGTAATACCAGCACTTTGGGAGGCCAAGGCGGGAGGATCACGAGGTCAGGAGTTTGAGAGCGGCCTGCCCAACATGGTGAAACCCCATCTCTACTAAAACTACAAAAATTAGCCAGGCGTGGTGGCACGCGCCTGTACTCCCAGCTACTCAGGAGGCTGAGGCAGGAGAATCGCTTGAACCTGGGAGGTGGAGTTTGCAGTGAGCTGAGATTGTGCCACCACACTCCAGGCTGGGTGACAGAGCAAGACTCTGTCTCAAAAAAAAAAAAAAAAAAAAAAAGTTTGAAATGAAAGTACATACATGAGATAACATTCTAGTGTTCACACTCAAGTGTGAATATGCTCAGATAATCTAGTGTAAATGACTGCTGGAAAAGATATTAGTGCTTTCTCTGCTTTTTCAGGGCTCTGAACTCAGAAGAGATAAGAGTTGTTTTTTTTTAACTACCTACTTAACAATTTTACTTAAAGGTAGTTCTGTTTGCTTTAACTGTGACTAAATAAACACAGTACAAGCCAGAGTACCTGGAATATTTATCGCAACTCTAATCTTCAGTATTTAAATAATATTTTACTTGAAAGGTGGTGGAATCATGAAAACATGGTAGTGCCAAAGTGAAGACCCATGTGTAGCTTTTTGCTAGAGTTTTCATTTCAAAAAATGATCTCTGATTCATCAGCATGAATTTCCAAGTTTGGGGTACAGGGCAATGCACTTTCCTCAGTTTATTTATATTATTGTTTTTAAAAATTTGCAATACTTACCAAAGATAAAGGATTTGTTAGAAACAGCTTTTGGAAGAGGAGCAGTGATATAGGTTTATTTTACTAATGATAATAGTAAGTAAATTATAAAGAACCTTTAATGTTTTCTGAGAAAGTAAAGCCTATTCTTGGAGTTTATAATCATTTAAGTGGTTCTGGACAAAACTTACCAAATTCTTTACTGTTATTACTAAAAAGAATGTTAACAATTTTAAGAAAACAAAAAAATTATTTTTTAAGAATTTTGTTTATCGGTTGATATACTCATTGCCAAACCAGATTAAAGTAATATTCCAATTGGATTGGCTTCTTCTAAGCTCTACTTCTAAGGAAATTGTTTGGATTGATTTGCTGTCTGTGCTTTGAGAATGACTTTTTTCCCCTCCTCCTTTTTTTTAAAGCAAACTTTGCGTAACTTATTGAGCAAGGTTTCCCCTTCCTTTTCTGCCGAACTTAAACAACTAAATCAACAGTATGAAAAATTATTTCATAAATGGATGCTGCAATTACAGTAAGTATTATCATTACAAACCCTTGTAAAATAAAGAATAATATTTACATGAATCTTTATGTTAAAGTAAGTTAACATTTTTCTTTTTACAGTGAGTTTCAGATATTTAGTCATATATAAAAATAAATGTAAAAATAGACATTATGACTCAGATATAGAAATGTCACTTTATTGTATGACTCTTCCCAGAAATTCTACAGTTTTTAAGAAATTTGTGTTTATCAGACTTGACAGCCATTGATAAGATAAATAGCATTTCTTAGAATTATGTTATTGGTTTAAAAAACTTGAATATTTCCTTTGTCAAGATTAATAAATATAACAATTAGAAAAAAAAATTATAAAGTTTTCCACAGCATAGTTCTTTAAATGAAAGGATAATATTTACTTTAATCTTATGTATGTGTACTACAGACTTTCAGAATTTTATGAACAGATTTGTTCTATAAGCATTATTTTACTATTTTAACATTATTTCCTAGAATATTTTTTCACTGTTATTATTTTCACACACCTCAGATTAAATTTTAAATTTCCATTAAAACACCTAGAAGAATGATTGAAATCAAAACATAATACTTTCTTTTTATGATAATTACTTTTATCCTTGCAGTTAAAAAGACTTGAACATAAGGAAGTGCTTAAAATGTACACTAATGTGAATATACATGCACACTCACAGTTACATTGTCACTGAGGTAAATAAGAAGGTAGAGCCATGGACCAGGCACTTGGCCTCCCATAATCCCAGTGCTTTGGGAGGCCAAGGCAGGAGGATTGCTTGAGCCCAGGGGTTTGAGAGACTCTGTCTTAAAAAAAAAAAAAAAAAAAAGTTATGCTAGGAAGGGAATGATTAACTTGCCTGCAAGAACCTCAGCTTCTCTCAATAACTATTTATGGATCTATGCATTATAAATTTGTAAGCTCTTCATTCTAATCCCATCCCCAGCCCATCATTTTTTTCTCCCAGCGTGTCAACTTAGATAACTTAATTTGCTTTGCTTCTCAGATTAGACCTTATAGTCAGCAAGTTTGTTGGAATTGCTAGCTCTCTGAATTCCTTGCCTCTTTATTTCTGCTGCTTTGACCTTGGTAATCTCTACCTTTGGAGGTTACCTCTTTTCTGTTCTTCCATTTCTAGGTTATCCTGCATTGCCAGAGAGCATCACATAAATACTGTTTCTGCTTGACCTTTGTAAACAATCACGGAGTTGGACTTTAGCTTGACCTCTAGTGCTTGGTGTTCTGGGTGGTCTCATTCACCCTTCTGGCTTCAGTTGTTTTCTGTATATGAATGACTCATGTAACTGTTAACCTCCAACCCATACCTCACTCTCAGTAGCAGACCTGGATATCTGAATGTATATTAGAAGTTTATACTTGGGTGTCCTGTAAATAATTCAACATACATAAAATTAAACTCATCTGAAATCCACTGTTCCCACCTGCCCCTGCTATCCAGCAGAGTGAATGACTGAATGTTAGTCACTCCATTTGTGTAGTTGCCTATGGCAGAAAACTGAGTCATTCTTTTTTTTTTTTCTTTTCTTTTTAAGAGACAGTCTCACTCTGTCACCCAGAATGGTGTGAATACAGCTCAAGGAGCCCCAACCTCCTGGGTTCAAGCAATCCTCCCACCTCAGCTTCCCAAATAGCTGGGTCCATAGATGTGTGCCACCATGCCTGGGCTAATTTTTTTTATTTTTTATTGTGTAGAGATGAGGTCTCACCATCTTGCCTAGGCTGGTCTCAAACCCCTGGGCACAAGCAATTCTCTGCCTTGGCTTCCAAAACTGCTGGGATTACAGGTGTGAGCCACAGCGCCCAGCCCTGAGTCATTCTTAAGTATTCTTTTCCTCACTCTCCACATCTAATCAGTCTCCAACTCTTACTGGTTTGACTTTCTATAAAGTTCTTGACATTTTAACATTTTTCTCCATGACAGCTAAGTTAATCTTCCACAGTTTTGTTCCTTCCTGTCCATTCCCCAAATATAATCAATGTGATCTTTCTGAAAAGAACATGTTACTTTCCTACTTAAAACCTTTCTGTTAACCCCTCATTAGTTACTTTTAAATGCTCATTCTTGGCTGGGCACGGTGGCTCACGTCTGTAATTCCAGCACTTTGGGAGGCCAAGGTGGGTGGATCACCTGAGGTCAGGAGTTCCAGACCAGCCTGACCAACATAGTGAAATCCTGTCTCTACTAAAAATACAAAGTTAGCCGGGCTTAGTGGTGCATGCCTGTAATCCCAGCTACTTGGGAGGGTGAGGCAGGAGAATTGCTTGAACGCGGGAGGCAGTGAGCCAAAATCGCACCACTGCACTCCAGCCTGGGTGACAGAGCAGGACTCCATCTCAAAATAAATAAATAAATGCTCATTCTCCTTGGAATGAGTGAATTAATGGTTTAGTATGACTTAACAAGGCCTTTGTTACTTGACCTCTTTTCAATTTGTATCAGTTTCAACTCTGCTTCAGCCTATAAAAGTTTTTAGGACTTTTTTTTTGTTGTTTTTTTTTTTGAGACAGAGTCTTGCTCTGTTGCCCAGGCTGAAGTGCAGTGGTGCAATCTCGGCTCACTGCAAGCTCTGCCTCCCGTGTTCACGCCATTCTCCTGCCTCAGCCTCCTGAGTAGCTGGGACTACAGGTGCCTGCCACCACGCCCAGCTAATTTTTTTGTATTTTTAGTAGAGACAGGATTTCACCGTGTTAGCCAAGATGGTCTCGATCTCCTGACCTCGTGATCCGCCCGCCTCGGCCTCCCAAAGTGCTGGGATTACAGGCGTGAGCCACTGCGCCTGGCCTTTTTAGGGCTTTTATTGGCAATGGTCTCCCTTGCCTCCAGTCATCTGTCATCTGAAAAGTAATAGAAGCTACAGTGAAGCTACTGAACAAATTAGAACTAGAAGCTTGGTATACAGATAATAAAATTGTGCCTTTACCTTGTATGGGTTTGGAATAAATATTTATTTATTTATTTAAGATGGAATCTTACTCTGTTGCCCAGGCTGGAATGTAGTGATGTGATCTCAGCTCTCTGCAACCTCCACCTCCCAGGTTCAAGCAATTCTCCTGCCTCAGCCTCCCAAGTAGCTGGGATTACAGGCACCTGCCACCATGCCCAGCCAATTTTTGTATTTTTAGTAGAGACAGGATTTCACCATGTTGGCCAGGCTGGTCTCGAATTCCTGGCCTCATGTGATCCACCTGCCTCGACCTCCCAAAGTGCTGGGATTACAGGCGTGAGCCATCATGCCCGGCCAATAATAATTTTTAAAAAGAATACTTTTTTTTTTTAGGAAGGAAGAGGAAGAACTGGGATGGCTGAATCACTAAACATTGATTCCTGGCCTTGCACGGTGGCTCATGCCTGTAATCCCAGCACTTTGAGAGGCTAAGGCAGGCACATCACCTGAGGTCAAGAGTTCAAGACCAACATGGTGAAACCCCGTCTCTACTAAAAATATAAAAATTAGCTGGGCATGGTGGCGGGCGCCTGTAATCCAGCTGCTCAGGAGGCTGAGGCAGGAGAATCGCTTGAACCCGGGAGGCGGAGGTTGCAGTGAGCTATGATGGTGCCACTACACTCCAGCCTGGGCGACAGAGCGAAAAAAAAAATTATTATTAATTAGTTAATTTTTTTTTACAGACACTGTCTTGCTCTGTTGCCCTGGTTGGAGTGCAGTGGCGGGATCTCGGCTCACTGCAAGCTCCGCCTTCCGTGTTCACGCCATTCTCCTGCCTCAGCCTCCCAAGTAGCTGGGACTACAGGCACCCGCCACTGCACCCAGCTAATTTTTTTTTTTTTTGTATTTTTAGTAGAGATGGGGTTTCACTGTGGTCTCGATCTCCTGACCTCGTGATCCGCCCACCTCGGCCTCCCAAAGTGCTGGGATTACAGGCGTGAGCCACCGCACCTGACCTAATTTTTTTTTTAAATAAAAATATTTTTGGCTAGACATGGTGGCTCACACCTGTAGTCCCAGCAATTTTGGGGGCCAAGGTGGGTGGATTACTTGAGCCCAGTTGTTCAAGACCAGCCTGGGCAACATGGCAAAAGCTCATCTCTAGTAAAAATATAAAAATTAGCCAGGTATGGTGGTGCACAGCTGTAGCCCCAGCTTCTTGGGAGACTGACGCTGAAGAGTTGCTTGAACCTGGGAGGCTGAGGTTGCAGTGAGCCAAGAGTGCCACTGGACTCCAGTCTGGGTGACAGAGTGACTCTGTCTCAAAAAAAAAAAGATACATATATATACATACATGAAAAACTTTTTTGCGTTTGCCTTCCCAAAATTCGGGGATTACAGGCTTGAGCCAGTGCGCCTACCCCTTTCCTGTATTTTTTATAAACTGAATTTAAGGAAACTGGTTGATAATAAAATTGGCAATAAGAGGTATTGAAGTTTAATTTCATGAATACTGTCTTTCCTAACAGCCTTGGGTTCAACATTGTGCTTTATGGTTTGGGTTCTAAGAGAGATTTACTAGAAAGGTTTCGAACCACTATGCTGCAAGATTCCATTCACGTTGTCATCAATGGCTTCTTTCCTGGAATCAGTGTGAAATCAGTAAGTTTCAAAAATGTTAAAGGGAAAAACATTATATCCTCTGCCAATTCAAGCCCCCACATAAATGAGGATGGAGTATTAAAGAATTTTTGTTTTAGCCTTCACGGTAGTAGGATTGTATAGTGCTTAATACCATGTGTTTGGACTCAAGAATCTAGCTTTGAAACCATCTTCGAATGTCCTACATTGTAACTGACATGTATTAAAACTTAGGAAAATGTTAGCTTTGTTTACTATACTGAGTATCAGTGGTACTTCTGAAGGAGGGAATTATGGGGTCTTCAGTTTTGTTATAAACTATGAAAATGCTTTATTAGGCAAAAACTACATGCTGTGAAAATGCTTTAAAATGCAACAGGATGTGATGTGAAGACTGTAGTTTAACAATACATTTATCATAGATCATTTTTATTTCAAATGCTTAATATCTCTTCATCATTTGAACATGAAATCTTTTGGGTGCTGGATATTGAGCCATATAGTATTCCTTTTTTAAAGTGTCTGTAGTGTTTGTGTCCTGTTTCCTTTGATAGAACTGTAGTTTTCTAATGTTTCTCATGTTCTTGGGAGCTTTTTCATTTGTTTTTGCTGCCCTCTTATATTACCTATTACCTGTACATCTTTGCTATTCTTTTCTGTTTTCTTTTAGCCACAACTTAGGCAAAAAACAATGAATTAGATATACTCAAGTACCAGTAGAATTTTTAAAAGTTATTTTTTAAACTTTTGGGAAATCCAAATTCATTTTTAATTTATAAAAAAAGGTTTGATTTTCTAGTTGTATATGACAATAAATTGTAATTAATGTGGTACCTCTTCCACATTCATGATATAGGTCCTGAATTCTATAACAGAAGAAGTCCTCGATCATATGGGTACTTTCCGCAGTATACTGGATCAGCTAGACTGGATAGTAAACAAATTTAAAGAAGGTAACATGAAGTAGATGCTCGGTAGTTTTAGAGTAAAGTTAAGCATATACTTCTACTTATTCATGTATTTATATACATACAATATTATTATTATTATTTTTGAGACAGTCTCTCTGTTGCCCAGCCTGGAGTGCAGTGGTGCGATCATGGCTCACTGCAGCCTTGACCTTCTGGGCTCAAGCAATTCTCCCACTTCAGCCTCCCAGGTAGCTCAGATCACAGGCGTGTGCCATTATGCCTGGCTAATTTTTTATTATTTGTAGAGATGAGGTCTCGCTATGTTGCCCAGGATAGTCTTGAACTTCTGGGCTCAAGCAGTCCTCCTGCCTTGGCCTCCCAAAGGGCTGAGATTATAGGTGTGAGCCACCACACCTGGCCCAAAAAGATTATTTTAATAATGGCATTTATCTTGGTGCTCTAAAAAAGTTTGTCCTTTTTCTATGAACTTTTTCCGTGAACTTAACAGGAAAGAAAAATGTTAGTCCCACTTTCTTAAGTTTGTATATCCAAAAGCCTGTTTCTGTTTATAAAACACTCCAAAAGTGCAGTGGCACGATTTTGGCTCACTGCAACCTCCGCCTCCCGGGTTCAAGCAATTCTCCTGCCTCAGCCTCTCAAGTAGCTGGGATTACAGGCGTGCACCACCAAGCCCAGCGAATTTATTTCAGAATAATTTTCAGGTTTTGTTTTGCTTGTGTAAAGTGCCTCCACTTGAGTGGTACAAGTTTGTCTGATATTTTTATATTGTTTAATGTTTTTATAAAACATTATTTCTTGGCTGGGCGCAGTGGCTGACGCCTGTAATCCCAGCACTTTGGGAGGCCGAGCTCAGTGGGTCACCTGAGGTCAGGAGTTCGAGACCAGCCTGGCCAATATGGTGAAACCCCATCTCTACAAAAATACAAAAAAATTAGCCAGGCGTGGTGGCACATGCCTGTAGTCCCAGCTACTTGGGAGGGTGAGGCAGGAGAATTGCTTGAGCCCGGGAGGCAGAGATTGCAGTGAGCCAAGATCATACCACTGCACTCCACCCTGGGTGATAGAGTGAGACTCTATCTAAAAATAAATAAATAAATAAAACATTATTTCTTTATTCTGTGTACATATCATTACATTGAGATAATTTTATATACTAAGATCTCTTGATTCTTTTGGTGTGAATGTTTTGGTTATGTGAGTATGTCAGAAAATTGGAAATAGTATTATATAGTCTCTAACAGTTAATTGCCATTTAGTAATGACTAAATTAAGAATTAAGAGAAGTAATTGAGAATGCCTAACTGCTTTGATGGATAATTTTTTTGATAATGACAATAATCTTAGCTCTGTTCCGTAGTACTTTTATCTTGTCAATATTCTAGCATGTTCTTTAGTTTTGTCTTCATTTTGTTTCCAACCTGAAAAGCTTTCTGTCCCAAATTTCCTTTCACACTCCTACACCCATTTTATCCACAGTTCTTTATAGAAATGGACCGTATACTTTTTTTTTTTAACACAGTCTTGCTCTCTCACCCAGGCTGGAGTCCAGTGGCACAAACACAGCTCACTACATCCTAAATCTCCTGGGCCCAAGTGATCCACCCAACTCAGCCTCCCCATTAGCTGGGACTACAGGCACATATCACCTGCCTGGCTATTGTTAAAATTTTTTGTAGAGATGGAGTCTCACTGTGTTGCCCAGGCTGGTCTCAAACTCCTAGGCCTCAAGGGATACTCCTGCCTGGGCCTTCCAAAGTGCTGGGATTACAGGCATGAGCCCAGCCAGACAATATACATTTTTATACCAACTCTACACATTTGAAAACAGGTAGAGTTGATTCTCATTATTCACAAATTCTATAATAGCAAATTTACCTGCTTGCTAACATTTATTTATAATCCCAAAATCAATATTCTTGGTACTTTTGCAAAGTGAAACATGGCACAGAGTGGCAAAAAGTTTGCATTGCCCAATGTACATATTCTAAGCCGAGGTCAAACAAGGCAATGCTTTGCCTTCTTGTTTCAACTCTCATACTATAAACAAGCATCGTTTTCACAGTCTGTTCAGTGCTACGTTTTTCACATTTTTCTGCTTTTTTGTTGGTGATTTGGCTGTTTAAAATGGCCCGCAAGCATAGTGTTAAAATGCTATCTAGTGTTCCCAAGCACAAGAAGGCTGTGATGTGCCTTGGGGAAAAAATACCTGTGTATATAAACTTCCTTCAGTTATGAGTTACAGTGTTCTTGACTGTGAGTTCCGTGTTAATAGACCAACAGTGTATATTAAAAATAAAGTTGCCCTTAAGCCGGATGCGGTGGCTCACACCTGCAATCCCTTCACTTTGGGAGGCCGAGGCAGGTGGATCACTTGAGGTTAGGAGTTTGAGACCAGCCTGGGCAACATGGTGAAACCCTGTCTCGACAAAAAATACAAAAAACTAGCCGGTCCTGGTGGTGCGCACCTGTAATCCCAGCTAGTCGGGAGGCTGAGACAGGAGAATCGCTTGAACCTGGGAGTTGGAGGTTGCAGTGAGCCAAGATCACATCACTGCACTCCAGCCTGGGCAACAGAGCGAGACTCCGTCTCCAAAAAGAGTAAATAAATAAAAATAAAATTGCCTTTAAACAGAAACACACATAAAACAAAGTTATATATTGAACCTAACCCTGTATTTCCTCTGGGAACAGTGGTTCAGTATTCAATAATTCAGGATTTGCAGCAGCATAGAACTTAATGTAATGAGAGTCAAGTATATATTTCCCAGAACCCTAAAACTACTGCATATGTGAACATATCTTATTCATTGATTATGTGGGCATATAGTGAATTACTAGCAGGTTATTGTAAGAGAAACAAATCTGTTTGGTTTGTTTTCAGTTCTTTCAACCTTATTATTTAATTAAAAATCAATTGCTGCAATATTTATTCCTATAATAATTTTGCCTTGTTTTTCTGAATTGTCTTTAGTTTTCAACATAAGTTCTCCTACTTAAAGAATAACAGAAGCATTGCTTTTTATTCCCTTACCACAGATCCTTGTAAGAGCCCAGTATTGTTCGTATGCTCATTAAAATAGATGCCTAAGTCACTTTATATTTGTGTGCGTCTGTGTGTATACATACGTTTGGTTTTGGGTGTTTTTGGTTTTGATACTGTTAAATATGATGACGTCTAGATTTCAGGGAACCTGGGATTTTCACAATGTGTCATCTCAGAATCTTTGTCACTGTATTGTCTCTCTTACCCATCTACCCCCGAGTAGAAGAGAAATTAACTCACTCTCTGAAAGACTTATACTCTATCACGTATGCCAAGTCTCCAGAGAGACTTATCAATACCTGTGGCTTTTAAATATACATTAAAAATAAAAGTTACCTGATTCTGCTGCCCTTTCACACTATTTTATTTTTCTGTTTCATACGGTTTCAGTATTTTGGAAGACATGTCCTGCCTTCAATTTTTTTTTTTTTTTTTTTTACCTATTTCATTCTAATGTCTTTCCTCTGTGCTATCAGAACTGTATGCTTGATCACCTGTAACTTTCTTCTTACCAAGCCCAGTGACCTTGGCTCATCCTTTATCTTGATCTCTGCTGTATTTGATAGTGTCAACAGCTCCATCCTCTAAATTCCTCCTTCACTGACTTTTATAATTTATCTGAACTTCCTGATGCCTTGAGCAGTATCCTAACCCCCACCCCCCACCCACTCCTTTTTTGGTCTCCTTTGGCTTTTGTGATAATCCGGGTTTTCTATATAATCTCTGAGAGCATTATATATAATGCTTTCTGAGAAATCCTTTGGTTTTTTTGGTATCCCTCCACTCCCACAGTGTAATAAAACATGCACAGATTCACCTCCAATCTATTGTATACATCTTGCCTATTTCCCATGCCTTATTAAAGCTGCTTTCTTTAGGCTGAGCACGGCGGCTCACACATGTAATCCCACCACTTTGGGAGGCCGAGGCGGGCAGATCACTTGAGCTCACGAGTTCTAGACCAGCCTGGGCAACATGGTGAAACCCCATCTCTACAAAAAATATAAAAATCAGCTAGGTGTGGTGGTACACGCCTATAGTCCCAGCTACTCGGGAGGCTGAAGTGGAAGGATGGCTTGAGCCCTGGATGTCAGGGTTGCAGTGAGCTGAGATCACCCCACTGCACTCTAGCCTGGACAACAGAGCCAGAACTTGTCTTAAAAAACAAAACAAAACAAAAAGCTGCTTTCTGTAGGGCCTGACTTCAGTGCTAATCATGTCTATTTTATGAGTAAATGACATATCTTCTCAAATAAATTACATACCCCTAAGCAATCATTATTTTATCCTATACTACTTTATTTTTTAATACCTAGGCATTGTGTATGGTAGAGGAAATAATCACTGAAATATCACTAAAAATAATAATTGCAGCTGGACATGGTGGTTCACGTCTGTGATCCTAGCACTTTGGGAGGCCAAGTTGAGTCCAGGAGTTCAAGACCAACCTGGGCAACTTAGTGAGACCCCGTCTCTACCAAAAAAACAATTAGCCAGGCATGGTGGTGTGCGCCTAGTTCCAGGTAATCGAGAGGCTGAGGTGGGAGGATTGCTTGAGTCCAGGAGTTGGAGGCTGCAGTGAGCTATGATTGTACCACTGCACTCTAGCCTAGGCAACAGAGTGAGACCCTCTAAAAATAATAATAATAATAATTGGATTTCTTTTCTTTTTAGATTCTTCTTTAGAACTCTTCCTTCTCATCCACAATTTGGATAGCCAGATGTTGAGAGGAGAGAAGAGCCAGCAAATCATTGGTCAGTTGTCATCTTTGCATAACATTTACCTTATAGCATCCATTGACCACCTCAATGCTCCTCTCAGTAAGTTAATTGTTACTATTTTTCCTTCTAGAGATATCAGTCTTACAAGACAAATTCTATTAATATAAATCAGAAAATTTTTACTGTTTTTAGTACGCTTTTTCCCCTTTTACATGTTTAAAAACACAGGTTGCCAAAAAGATGTTCTCAATCTAATTTAGAACATAATTTTTGGAAATAAAAATTCAGATACTAAATGAGGATGTTTTAGTCTAAAGTTAAATGGAGGGAAAAGACCCAACTATTATTTTGGTCTCTTTCTCTTCTTGTAATATCGCAACATTTATTTTATGAACTTAATTTATAGACTTTCTGATAATCCTGTAGAAGAAAATGTTAAAACATTACTAATTTTTTAAAAAGAATGCATTGGTAGTGCTAAGATTTTAATTTATGCTTAATTGAAAATAAAGGTTCAGATGTTGGTTGAAAATGAAATTAGATTGTGAGTTACTGATTTAGATATGGAAGTGGCAAAAATGAAAAACTTGGGGATTCATTTTTATTTAATCCTTTCTCATTCTTTTGTAAAGTGGAATCTAGTAACATGACAATATAAAAATAATTTGTAATTCTTGTTTTCTTTGATCATGTGCTAGTGTGGGATCATGCAAAGCAGAGTCTTTTTAACTGGCTCTGGTATGAAACTACTACATACAGTCCTTATACTGAAGAAACCTCCTATGAGAACTCTCTTCTGGTAAAGCAGTCTGGATCCCTGCCACTTAGCTCCCTTACTCATGTCTTACGAAGCCTTACCCCTAATGCAAGGTAAGGATGAAAACCATATTTCTTTTTTAAAAACTATACATTTTAAGATATGTACTACTAGGTTTTAATGGGGATACTGAAGTCCCTAGTTAGTTGAAGGATTAAGTGAAATTATAGTAATAATAGTTACCAGTACTGGATTATGGAGTAGGCAGACAAGTCAACAGTAGTCTATCAAATTGCCCAGTAATAAAGCGAGAATACCAACTTTTTATTTCTTTGATATTTCTGAATATGAGCACCTGACTGGTCATAATGGAGAAAAAGCAGACTTTTCATGACTTTTACTTAAATTTTATGGTTATTTTTCATTACATATTGAACATTCTGATCCAAACAGTGAGTACTTTATATGCATTACTTCATTTGATCCTAACTAAGGTGGATAGTCAGTGGCACAAAGACTTTGATCCAGATATGCCAGCTCCAAAACTCATGCTCTTAAACATCACTGTATAATGTCTCCAGTCAAGCCCTTACAGCAGCCTAACCTAGAGGCATATCTGAATTAATAAATGCAAGCTGGTTATAGCATAAGCCAGCAAAAAATAAATTGCATAATTAGCCGGACGCAGTGGCCTACACCTGTAATACCAGCACTTTGGGAGGCCAAGGCAGGTGGGTCACTTGAGGTCAGGAGTTCGAGACCAGCCTGGCCGACATGGGGAAACCCCATCTCTACCAAAAATACAAAAATTAGCCAGGTGTGGTGGCACGCACCTGTAGTCTCAGCTACTCAAGAGGCTGAGGCCGGAGAATTGCTTGAACCCAGGAGGCAGAGGTTGCAGTGAGCTGAGATTGCACCACTGCACTCCAGCCTGCGTGACAGAGCAATCTCTGTCTCAAAAAAATAATAAAGAAATTGCATAATTAGCCTGTTGAAAGAAGCTTTTAGTAACAAACTTTACCCCCTGACAAAAGCATAAAATTATAGAATTATATTTAACAAGATGAAGTGTTGAAAAATAACAAACCTTGCTGAGAATAGATAATTAAGAGCTGGATAGATGAAAAGAAATATTGTGTTCTTGGGTGGGTAGATTAAATATTATAAGAGTAGCAATTCTTTCCAAGTTAGAAATGTGTTAGACTTGCCAGGCACAGTGGCTCAAGCCTGTAATCCCAACACTATGCGAAGCTAAGGCAGGAGGATTGCTCCAGCTGGGACCTTGAGACCAGCCTGGGCAACATAGGGAGACTACATCTCTACAAAAAATTTTAAAAATTAATTGAGTGTGGTGGTGTACACCCATAGTCTCAGCTGAGGAGGCTGAAGGGAGCCGAGATTGCGCCACTGCACTCCAGCCTGGGTGATAGAGCAAGACCCTGTCTCCAGAAAAACAGGTATTAGATCTATAAATTAGTCAAAATGTAAATGAATTTTTTTGTTTTAAATTTGAAAGAAAATTTAGTTTCCTAAAGAATAAACAGTCAGCTGGGTGTGGTAGCTCACACCTGTAATCCCAGCACTTTGGGAGGCCGAAGCGGGTGGATCACTTGAAGTCAGGAGTTCGAGACTATCCTGGTCAACATGCTGAAACCCTGTCTCTACTAAAAACACAAAAATTAGCCGGACTTGGTGGCACACACCTGTAATCCCAGCTACTTGGGAGGCTGAAGTGGGAGAATCGCTTGAACCCAGGAGGCGGAGGTTGCAGTAAGCCAAGATCACGCCACTGCACTCCAGCCTGGGTGACAGAGTGAGCCTCTGTCTCAAAAAAAAAAAAAGAAAGAAGAAAAAAGAAAAAAAGAGGGAACAAGCAAGTCTAGCAGAGACAATTTCTTTTTTGTTTTTAAAGAGCAATGAAGGGACACTTGTGGTCAAGATGGCATAATACTTCTCACTCTTTCCTTTCATCCCCTCTTGTTCCAAACACACAGCATAATAGACAGAATTTAAAAATAAATACCCTGGCTCAAAATACAAACATCTCAATACAACAGAATGATAAATCAGTGAGCAGAGTTGAAGCCACAGCACAGCTGCATTCTTGGTTTAGAAGCAGCATTGGCAGCCAGGATATTGACTTATATGGGATGATAGTAGTGTGACGATATATATTGTCCAAACCAGATATTTTCGTTTAGGACAAATGCTGAACTGAACAGATGTTTGTTGTAGAAATAAAACCATATAAAATATATAGCATTCAAATGTATATATCAGTATGAATAAAAGTTTAAAATGTGCATGGAATTAGGTCTTTTTAGGTACTAAAAATAATAAAAAAAAATTAGGTACCAACCCTGGAGAAGAATAAAGGGGAATAGATAGAGGAGAGTGTACACAGGGACTTTGGGGATATCTTTTTTTTTTTTAACCCCCCCTAGCAATTTATTTTCCATTTATTTTTCTTTTACCTGTGTGTTTGTGGTGGAGGGATTAACTTTTTGTTGTGAGATGATTATAGATTCAGAAGAAGCTACAAAAATACATGCAGGGAAGTCTCATGTACCCTCCTCCCAAAGCACCAACTTCCACCAACCACCACCATCTCATATAAACACAGTACAGTATCAGAACCAAGAAATTGACATTGTTATAATCCCATCCATATTTGGATTTCACTATTATACATGCTGCACTCGTGTGTGTAAGTTCTGTGCAGTTTTGTCACTTGTAGCCTTGTATGACTGCCACCTCCATGTATACACTCAGCTGTACCATCACCACAAGACTCAAATGTTAACCCTCAAATGCTAATTTTAATGAATGTTGTTACTCTGTAAAGCTGATTTGAACACTGAAGATGAGATTAGCATTCAACTCGGCCAGGCATAGTGGCTCACCCCTATAATTCTACTACTTTGGGAGCCTGAGGAGGGAAGATTGCATGAGGCCAGGAGTTTGAGACGAACCTGGGCAACGTAGACCCCATCTCTACAAAAAGTAAAAATAAAGCCTTGCATTAATATTGGAATATGCAGGCTGGGCGCGGTGGCTCATGCTTGTAATCTCAGCACTTTGAGAGGCTGAAGCAGGCAGATCGTTTGAGGTCAGGAGTTCGAGACCAGCCTGGCCAACATGGTGAAACCGCATCTCTACTAAAAATTAAAAAATCAGCTGGGCATGGTGGTGCATGCCTGTAATCCCAACTACTTGGGAGGCTGAGGAGGGAGAATCGCTTGAACCCAGGAGGTAAAGGTTGCATTG
Organism: Homo sapiens; assembly: GCF_000001405.40. NCBI lineage: Eukaryota > Metazoa > Chordata > Mammalia > Primates > Hominidae > Homo > Homo sapiens. The sequence continues at coordinate 200,917,067 of NC_000002.12, read as the reverse complement.
AGCTAAGATCACACCACTGCACTCCAGCCTGTGCAACAGAGTGAGACTCTGTCTCAAAAAAAAAAAAAAAAAAAGGTGGGGCACAGTGGCTCACACCTGTAATCCCAGCACTTTGTGAGGCCAAGGCGGGCAGATCACGAGGTCAGGAGATCAAGACCATCCTGGCTAACATGGTGAAATCCCATCTCTACTAAAAAATTAGCCGGGCGTGGTGGCGGGCACCTGAGGTCCCAGCTGCTCAGGAGGCAGAGGCAGGAGAATGGCGTGAACCCAGGAGGCGGAGCTTGCAGTGAGCCGAGATCGCACCACTGCACTCCAGCCTGGGCGACAGAGCGAGACTCCGTCTCAAATAAAATAAAATAAAATAAAAAAATTGAAATAGGCATTAAATGGTTATCTAATGAAATTTTTTGATGGAATTGGGGACAAAGTCTTCATTCTGTTTTGTTATTACTAATAATAAAAGTCCTTAACTGCTGAAGGACTGTTGGAAGTTGCTGTGTGTAAAGTTGAGGGTCCATGCAGTGTGAGAACTCAAAACGTTAAATATGGCACTGGCTACGCTGATGCAAGTTTTTTTTTTGAGATGGAGACTCATGGTGTCGCCAAGGCTGGAGTGCAGTGGCAAGATCTCGGCTCACTGCAACCTCCCTCTCTGGGGTTTAAGGAATTTTCATGCCTCAGCATCCCACAAGTAGCGGGGACTAGAGGCATGCACCACCACACCTGGCTAATTTTTGTATTTTTAGTAGAGATGGAGTTTCACCATGTTGGGCAGGCTGGTCTTGAACTCTTGACCTCAAGTGATCCACCCACCTTGACCTCCCAAAGTGCTGGGATTACAGGCATGAGCCACCATGCCCAGTCTAATGCAAGTATTTTTTAGTTTGGCATGCCTAAATGTCTGTGTGCTAGCCTCAGCATTTTCTTATTTAAACTATTTTGAAATTTTGCTTGATTCTGCAAACTCCAGTATCATTTAGACTTTACTTGGTATGTGATTGAATAAAAATTTTAACCAAAATTCAGCTCTGGAGTTAGTAGTAGTACCTAGTTAAAAAGTAGTCATTGAGGGCCGGATGCGGTGGCTCACTCCTATAATCCTAGCACTTTGGGAGGCTGAAGTGGGCGGATCACTTGACGCCAGGAGTTCAGGACCAGCCTGGCCAACATGGTAAAACGTTGTGTCTACTAAAAATATAAAAAATTAGCTGGGCGTGGTGGTGTCCACCTGTAATCGCAACTACTCAGGAGTCTGAGGCATGAAAATCGCTTGAACCTGGGAGGCCAAGGTTGCAGTGAGCCAAGATCGCACCACTGCACTCCAACCTGGGCAACAGCGAGATTCTGTCTCAAAAAAAAAAAAGTGTTCATTGAGATGATCCAAAATATGATTATAGTAATTGTTTTCTGGACCTGCATAACAATGAAAATTCATATAAGTTTTGAATTTTTGGCATACCCAAGGACTGATGGGAGTCTTAGTTTGTGTAATACTGCTTCTAACCCCATAATTCTACTTGGTTCACTCTTCCATGGAATAATTCAAAATACAAAGAAATACGTACAGTTTTATTTAGTGCTGAGTTATTTTTTCTGTATCCAGTCATCCATTAAGAGTTATTTTTAATCTAAACTTAGAAATAATGTAAACATCCAAACCAATAGGGAAATGGTAAGTTTATGGTACATGGTAGATAAGCAGTTGTTAAAACTTCCTTAAGTTCTTCTTACATGTGGCAAAAAAAAAGAAAAGAAAAACTTGTTTAGGAGAAGTTTTAAAGACATGGGAAAAATCAGGCCGAGGCGGGTGGATCACCTGAGGTCGGGAGTTCAAGACCAGCCTGACCAACATGGCGAAACCCCGTCTCTACTAAAAATACAAAATTAGCTGGGGTGGTGGCACATGCCTATAATCCCAGCTACTCGGAGGCTGAGGCAGGAGAATCGCTTGAACCCGGGAGACAGAGGTTGCGGTGAGCCAAGATCGCGCCATTGCACTCCAGCCTGGGCAACAAGAGCGAAACTCTGTCTCAAAAAAAAAAAAAAAAAAAAAAAAAAAAAGACGTGGGAAGAATCAAAAAGTGAAGAAGCAAGGTATAAAGTGGTATATGCAGTATATAAATGTGTGAATTTCTGTTATTTCCACCCGCCTCATTGCACAAAGATTTGAGATAACAGCATACCCAGTATGATCTCAACACCAAGTGTTAATGGATATGGGATTGATATTTTTCTCTTTAGATGTTATTCTGTATTCCAGCTTTTCTACCAACACTAACCTAAAAAGTAAGAAAAAAATACTTTCATATTTTATTTTTTTGAGACAGGGTGTCTGTCACTCAAGTACAGCCTCAAGCTCCCAGGCTCAAGTGATCTTTGCACCTCAGCCTCCCGAGTAGCTGAGACCATAGGCGCATACCAGTATGCCTGGCTAATTTTTTAATTTTTTATAGAGACAGAGTCTCACTATATTGCCCAGGGTGGTCTCAAACTCCTGGGCTCAAGCAGTCCTCCCACCTCAGTCTCCCAAAGGGGTGAGATTATAGGTGTGAGGCACCACACTCAGCCTATATTTTTCTTTAGAAGAAATAAAAAAGCGGGCCGGGTACAGTGGCTCACGCCTGTAATCCCAGCACTTTGGGAGGCCGAGGCGGGCGGATCACGAGATCAGGAGATCGAGACCATCCTGGCTAACACGGTGAAACCCCATCTCTACTAAAAATACAAAAAATTTAGCCAGGCATGGTGGTGGGCACCTGTAGTCCCAGCTACTTGGGAGGCTGAGGCAGGAGAATGGCGTGAACCCGGGAGGCAGAGCTTGCAGTGAGCCAAGATCATGCCACTGCATTCCAGCCTGGGCAACAGAGCAAGACTCCGTCTCAAAAAAAAAAAAAAAAAAGAAATTAGAAAGCTTTCTGTTTAAGTAGGCAAGGATATGATATTCCTTGGAGGAACAGAAGATAATGCGGATAGGCCAACTACTTGACATTTTCTTTGTGTATTTTACTATTAGTTGTTACCTTTTGATGTTAACATTTTTGGATTTAAATTCCTGTTTTTTTTTTTTTTTAGGGGAATTTTCAGGCTACTAATAAAATACCAGCTGGACAACCAGGATAACCCTTCTTACATTGGTATCCAATATTTATGACATTCAATTGTGTAATTTTTGTTTTACCCTGTACATTTCCTGTCTCTGGAATTTAATGACAGCAGTGCAGTTTTTCACAGCAGTGAGTAAGTGGTCACTCATGATGGGTATGTCTGCCACATAGCAAATTTTCAAGCAGCTCTACAGATCCACTGCTGAGCAAGGTGTTTGCCAACACAAATTGAAAGACAAACCCAGCTTACTTTTAAAATTTTCTGTGCTAACTATGGATGTGTATCTGCCAAGTACATATTTTTCATATTCTAGGCATCTTAGGAGATTTTCTTCCCCTTTGGCAAAAATGATTTCAACAAACATTTTAATAATTGTTCTGCTCTCATGACTTACTTGTTCCTTCTTTAAAAGTCCTATCAATACTTGTTCACTGCTCTGGGATAACATGCAAATAGCACTTTTATTCTGTTCTTTTGTATGGGTGTTTGTATATTGGGTCATGTCTTAAGTGCTGACTTATGTTCATATCCTTTTGAACTTGCCAGGCCTTTCTTTTCAAGATTTTTACCAGCAGTGTCGGGAGGCATTCCTCGTCAATAGTGATCTGACACTCCGGGCCCAGTTAACTGAATTTAGGGACCACAAGCTTATAAGAACAAAGAAGGTAAGACTCCACTATTGTAGCATTGTATGCCAGGAATAGTCCGTATCATTTACTTAAGGACACATATATGTTTGACTTAGACCTGATTTTGAAACTGATGTTCCCTGTTGAGTCACAGAGATTCATTTAGGGGATGTGCCATTTGAGTTTGTAGAAAGAGCCATGGTAGAAGTACCCTGCTTCAGAGCAGAGCAGAAAACTCACATGTTCTAGTCCAGAGTAATAGGCAATTAGAAACATGGTGAGTCAAATAATTCTGTTCTTTTGTTTTTTCCCTCTTGCTCATTCATTAATTTGGTCTGTATTTATTGAGTACTAACTACATAGATATTGCACTAAGTATTAGGATACAGTAGTAAGCAAAAATCTGATTGCTTTTCTTATGGAGCTTAAAGTCTAATGGGGGAGATGGACATTAGTCAAGTAATCGCACACATAACATTTTAACTGTAAGGAAGTCCTATGATTAGAAGGTACATAGTTCTGAAAGAGTTTATTTAAATAGGTGGATTTGACCTAATTATGGATAGATATCAGAAGAGACCACTGAGCTGAGATCTAAAGGAAGACTAGGAGGCCAGGCGTGGTGGCTCACGCCTGTGATCCCAGCACTTTGGGAGGCCGAGGTGGGTAGATCATTTGAGCCCAGGAGTTCGAGACCAGCCTGGCAACACAGGAGACCCTGTCTATGAAAGAAAAAAAAAAAAGAGCTGGTTGTGGTGGCACGCAGCTGTACCTGTAGTCCCAGCTGCCCAGGAGGCTGAGGTGGGAGGATCACTTGAGCCTGGGAGGTGAAGGCTGCAGTAAGCCATGATCGTGCCACCACACTCCAGCCTGGGCAACAGAGTGAAACCCTATTTCAAAAAGAACAAAACACACACACTGAAAGAGTGACATTTTAGGGAGACAGATGATGAGTTCATGATCTTAATCAGTTTAGACAACTCTGTTTGAGGTTCCTTTGAGATTTCCAAATGGAAATGTCAACTATGCAGTTGGATACCTAGGACAAGAAACCAGAGGAAAGATATGGGTTGGAGAGAGAAGATTATGATTCTTATATATTTAGATTATAACTGAAACCAGGCATTGGGGTACTACCTAAAGGGAGGACGTTTAGTGAGAATAGAGAGCTAGGAGATAAGGCCAGAAATGTGACATTTAACAAAAGTAAAGGATAAGCCTGCAGAGGTGAGAGAAACAGCCAGAGAACTAGGAAGAAAACCAGGATGTGATGTCACAGAAGCCAAGAGAAGCATGTTTTAATGCAGAGAAAATAGTCAGCAGTGTCAGATGCTGCTGAGAGGCCAAAAAGATTAAGACTGAAAATATCTGTGAGATTTAGGAATATAAAATTCCTGATGGTCTAAGCAAACGATGTGATAATGGGAACAGTAGCTCAGTTAAACTGTGCTGAATGAGAAGTGTGGAAATGGAGACTGCCATCATAGCCAACTTGCTTGGAGAAGTGCAGAGATAATGTGATAGATGGAGAGGAATGAAGGTGTGTAGTGAGGGTTACTGAAAAATTGGACACACTTGAATGTATTAAATATTTAAAAGCCAACAGGGAAGGTTCTTGTTGAAAGGAGGAAGAAAGGACACAGACATCAATAGTGTTAGATTCTAAACAGGGCAGGAAGGTGAAGAATGATCTAAAGCACAATGAAAAAAATAAATACCCACCTACCCACCCTCTAGTTAGTTGTCTTTTCCACTATAAGGATGTTTAACTATAACTCCATATATTTAAGTATATATGACTGTGTGCCCTTTTGCCTTTTTATACTTATATATTTAAAAATTACATCCAAGAAATAAATTCATTTTTTCTTTAGCCTCTACAATAGAAGAGTTCATATACCTCTTATGAATGACTAACGTACAGGTATTCTTAAATCTTTCAGGGAACTGATGGAGTAGAGTATTTATTAATTCCTGTTGATAATGGAACATTGACTGATTTCTTGGAAAAGGAAGAAGAGGAGGCTTGAAGCTTTCCTTTATTCTTGAATCTCCCATGGAAGGGTTGTACCCCAGCTGCCACTCCTCTAGTTGAAAGTGTTGTGTTTACATCTGACATTAAATTATTTTTCCAGCATACAAGATTTAAATTTGGGAAGGGGGGGATGTCCTCAATTAGAACTTTTTGATCAGCCTGGCTGGTACCGTCTAGTACTATGCAGCGGTCCTCAAGTTGGAGAAAATGTGCCTTTCATTCATTACCTCTCTGGAGACTTCTTGCTGGAATGAACAGTGTGCTCAGGGACTATTTGGAACTGGATGTTTTTGAATTATTTTATACTTAGAGATATTCTGAATTTTTTGAGGGCCTTTTAACACTCCCCGAGCTGATTGTTTGCAAGTGTGTTTGTTCCAGAGTGTGGAAGTATAAAGACATGGGCATCACGTAAATTGGTTTTGTTTGCTATTCTGTGTGTCAGAACCAACGAGTGTAATGGAGAGGGCAGGTCATCTCTTATTGTTTCTAAAACAACTTAAAAGGTGTAGATTGGGAAGAGGTGAGTGATCCAGCTTTCTCCTTTTGGATTGAGGCTATGTACTTGGTGGGGGCAGGGGAGGGAATATATTATAATACTATTCAGTTGGGATAATGGGAAAAACAGAGTATATAGGGTATCTACCCAGCCTAGAAAGCACAGGAACAATACGTCATATATTTGGAACAGTTATTGTCTGTGCCATGACCTTCATGATACCAGTGAGAAGCCAGGCTAGAGAAATAAAATCCTGAATTACATTTTAGTAATTGTTTTCAAGACAACAAAAAATAAAACATTTCATTATTCTTGTATATTGACATATTTTTCTTTTCTTGAACAACATGCAGGTGAGTAGCATATTAATGGCTGGCTGTAAATTAATTTTGATTCCTCTGTCAAGTAGACCTAAAACTCACTGTAAGATATTTCAGTTTTTTCCTTAAAGTGATGATTTCAAACCTCCTGAATATTTGCGCGAGACTTTTTTCTTAGGAAAGAAAAAAGGCTCACCTTGGCTACTGTTGTCAGCTTACAGTCATCACATACCCCCTGAAATATTTGACACTTGGAAATGAAGTTCTTCCTGAAAATATCACTGCAATAAAATACGTACTACGTCAGCATTTCTCACTCATTTCTTATCTTGTAAACCTCTTTCATGAAAATATTTCCAAAAATCCTTGGAATTTTTAAATAATTTTTCTTGTGGCATATAATTAAGTAATTTTGGCCAGGCATAATGGCTTATGCCTGTAATCACAACACTTTGGGAGGCCAAGGCAGGAGGATCTCTGGAGCCCAGGAGTTTAAGAACAGCCTGGGCAACATAGTGAGACCTTGTCTCTACAAAAAATTTAAAAAATCATCCGGGCATGGTGGCCCATGCCTATAGTCCTAGCTGCTGTGGAGGCTGAGGCAGGAGGATCGCTTGAGCCCAGGGGTTCAAGATTACAGTGAGCTATGATTGTGCCACTGCACTTCAGTCTGGGTGCAGAGCAAGACCTTGTCTTTTTTTTTTTTTAAATCATTTTTTTAAAAAGTAATTTTATGTTAAGTCCATGGGCTTAGTCTTTTTTTTTTTTTTTTTTTTTTTAGATGGAATTGCACTGTCATCCAGTCTAGAGTGCAGTGGCGTGATCTAAGCTTACAGCAGCCTCCACCTCCTGGGTTCAAGTGATTCTTGTGCCTCAGCCTCCTGAGCTGGGACTACAGGCACACGCCACCACGCCTGGCTAGTTTTTGAATTTTTAGCAGAGATGGGGTTTCACCATGTTGGCCAGGCTGGTCTCGAATTCCTGACCTCAAGTGATCCTGCCTCGGCCTCCCAAAGTACTGGGATCAGGGGTGAGCCACTATGCCTGGCCAAGGGCTTAGTCTTAAATATAACCTCTAGTCAAAATGTTTAAACAAATTTGTACATAAATGTGATTTAAAAAAATTTTTTTAATAGTACCAAAGGATATTCAGTGAAAGTGAGTTTCCTGCCCACTCCCTGATCCACCCAGTTCTTTAGGCAACCACTGATAGCATTTTCTTAAGTATTCTTCCAGATATCGTCTATGCATATGTAAAAGTATCTGTCTTTCTCCTTTTAAAAACACAATTGGTAATATATCATACTTGCTGGTTTGCACCTTGCTTTTTTTGCTTAATATATCTAGTTTATAATGACCTAATGTGCAAATTTTTGCATCTGCCCTAAATATCTACTGGTTTATTTTTATAATTTTTGTGTCTATACTATTTGCAAGCAGTATGTGTCAGTAGACTTTATTATTAATAAATAAAAAGCCAATTTGGATAGAATCACTTTATAAATTGGTAGTGCTGGTTTTTTACTAAAAATATTTTTAAGTTCTTCAAAAGAAGTTTTATGAGTGCATCTTACAGATCTGGTGAAGATCTTGGCACATTATTGTATGCTGTTTGTTGACTTGTGTCCGCATCGGTGTCCCTGAGGCTCTAGCAATTATGTCTTGACTGATAAGGCTCTAATTTCTTCTACTGTGTTAACTTGCTTCTGGCAAGATTGAACAGATCTACTGAAACCTTGAAAGGTTTTCTGGGTACTCTTAATAAAATTGCAAAAAAAAAAAAAAAAAAAGGCACAGGAGATGTCAAACATTTATTGTTTATAAATTTGCCACAGTGCTGAATTTATTGTGCAAGGACTGCTAAATTAGTTCTCACAGTAGTCCAGAAACTGGACTTTCTTAGCATTGTTTGTTATTTTAATACATGATCACTTCACTCATATAAAAGATCAGTGGAGGCCGGGCGTGGTGGCTCACGCCTGTAATCCCAGCACTTTGGGAGGCCGAGGCAGGCGGATCACGAGGTCAGGAGATCGAGACCATCCTGGCTAAAACGGTGAAACCCCGTCTCTACTAAAAATACAAAAAATTAGCCGGGCGTGGTCGCGGGCGCCTGTAGTCCCAGCTACTTGAGAGGGTGAGGCAGGAGAATGGCGTGAACCCAGGAGACGGAGCTTGCAGTGAGCCGAGATCACGCCACCGCACTCCAGCCTGGGCGACAGAGCGAGACTCCGTCTCAAAAAAAAAAAAAAAAATTCAGTGGAAACAGGCGCAGTAGCTCACACCTGTAATCCCAGCACTTTGGGAGGCCAAGGCAGGCCAATCTCTTGAGGCCAGGAGTTCAAGACCAGCCTGGCCAACATGGCGAAACCCTGTCTCTGCTAAAAATACAAAAAATTAGCTGGGCATGGTGGCACGCACCATGTAGTCCCAGCTACTCAGAAGGCTTAGGTGGATCGATCATCTGAGCCCAGGAAAGCTGAGGCTGCAGTGAGCTGTGATCATGCCACTGCACTCCAGCCTGGTGGGTAACAGAGTGAGACCCTGTCTCAAAATAAAAGATCAGTTGGTTTGGGGGCTGATAAATAGATTTTGCCTAACTTTTAAACAAAATAACTTTAGAAGTCTACTCTTTGTTCCAGCTAATTCAAATGTGGAGGCAGTGGCATTGTTCAGAATGTACTTTTTATATTCTATGAGGTCAAATTACTCTTCCAGCATAATCCTGAATAGCCTAAATTTGAACACTTACTACACAAAAGGCAGTAGTTGTGAGGATATTAAGGTGAAATATGAAATGTCTATAAGTGTTTGTTTTTGAGACAGGGTCTCTGTCACCCAGGTTAGAGTGCAGTGGTGCCATCTCAGCTCACTGCAGCCTTGACCTCCTGGGCTCAAGTGATCCACCCACCTTACCCTCCTGAGTAGCTGGTACTACAGGAGGCACACACCACCACACCTGGCTTTTTTTTTTTTTTTTTTTCCTGTAGAGATGGGGTTTCACCATGTTGCCTAGGCTGGTCTTGAACTCCTGGGCTCAAGTGATCCACCCACCTGGGTCTCCCAAAGTGCTGGGATTAACAGGTGTGAGCCACCTCACCCAGCCTATGAGGTTTTAATAGCATAAGTTGTAGCATCCTTAATGTGTTGAATAAGGCAAATTTGAAAAGACTGATGCTATGGAAAATATAACTTTAAGCATGAGTACAATACAAAGCTCATTACTAAATTTTCATACCAATTTTTATATTTATCACTGGCCCCAGGCTTCCCAAGTATTTAGGGTCAACATCTTTACCTTTGGTACCCAAAGTGTAGGTCTTAAAATGGCAGCATTTGCCTGGCACAGTGGCTCACGCCTGTAATCCCAGCACTTTGGGAGGCTGAGACAGGTGGATAACTTGAGGTCAGGAGTTCTAGACTACCCTGGCCAACATGGTGAAACCCCATCTCTACTAAAAATACAAAATTAGCTGGGCATTGTGGCGAATGCCTGTAATCCCAGCTACTTGGGAGGCTGAGGCAGGAGAATTGCTTCAACCTGGGAGGCGGAGGTTGTATTGAGCTGAGATCGTGCCACTGCACTCCAGCCTGGGTGAAAGAGTGAGACTCTGTCTCACAAAAAATAAAAAATAAAAAAAAATAAGGCCGGGTGTGGTGGCTCACGCCTGTAATCCCAGCACTTAGGGAGGCCGAGGAGGACGGATCACCTGAGGTCAGGAGTTTGAAACCAGCCTGACCAACATGGAGAAACCCTATCTCTACTAAAAATGCTTAATTACCTGGGTCTGGTGGCACATTCCTGTAATCCCAGCTACTCGGGAGGCTGAGGCATGAAAATCGCTTGAACCCGGGAGACGGAGGTTGTGGTGAGCCAAGATCACGCCATTGCCCTCCAGCCTGGGCAACAAGAGTGAAACTCCGTCTCAAAAAAAAAAAACGGCCAGGCTCAGTGGCTCACACCTGTAATCCCAGCACTTTGAGAGGCCAAGGCAGGAGGATTCCCTGAGCTCAGGAGCTCAAGACCAGCCTAGGCAGTGTAGCAAAACCCGGTCTTTACAAAAGTAAAAATTTTTTTAATTTGAAAAAATTAGTCAGTAGGGGGTGGGTGGTGGCAGGTGCCTGTAGGCCCAGCTACCCAGGAGACTGAGGAGAGAGGGTCACTTGAGCCCAGGAGTTTGAAGCTGCAGTGAGCTATGATCACACCACTGTACTCCAGCCTGGGTGACAGAGCAAGACCTTGTCTCTAAATAAAAAAGAAAAAGGAGGGAGATTAGGATTTTGCTTTGGGACTGGTGAAAGGAGGGCAGGAGAACTCTGAGAGATTGTTTCCTGAGGCCTGCCCCTGAGGCTTAACACACCTAAAAGACTGTAACAAGGGCTAGAGGAGTTATAAGCCAGGAACTGTGCAGAAACATGTATATATGTATGTTTTATATATGATAATATATGTATATTTTAACACCCCACATATTAAAAATCCAGATTTCCTTTGCCCCTGAAAGATCAGGAAGACTTGGCCACGCTGGACCTTCATTCTGCCCAGCAGCACTTGCCTTGGGCTGAACTGTTGCTGCCACCTCCTGGCCAGCTTCACTTCTTTCCTGCACTAGTGTCTGATTTGGATCCTGATCTAGATTGGTATGGAGCACCCTCTAATACATGTGCACAAGAGATTATATAAGGTGTCATGGATGCACAACAAAGGTGGTGACACTATTCCCTACAATCTGCAACCTTCCACCTGGAATGTATTGTCCATGTGGGCATCCAAGGCGACCTTTTAAGTCCTACAGGATAGGGAAGATTTTTCATGTGACACCTGTGAGGGAATGTGCATGTCCTTCCTCAGCCTTCAGCTTTCTGGAGTAGATAAGGGATTACTAAACCACTGTTTCATGTCAGTATCTGGCCTTATTTATTAAATCAGCAAAACAACACAAAACATGTCATTAGACACTAAGCTTAAAAATGACATTTCAGGCCAGGCACGGTGGCTCAACCTGTAACCCAGCACTTTGGGAGGATGAGGTGGGCGGATCCCCTGAGCCTAGGAGTTGGAGACCAGCCTGACCAACATGGTGAAACCTCGTCTCTACTAAAAATACAAAAATTAGCTGGGAATGGTGACGTGTGCCTGTAATCCCAGCTACTTGGAATGCTGAGGCAGGAGAATCGCTTGAACCCGGGAGGCAGAGGTTGCAGGGAGCTGTAATCATGCCACTGCTCTCTAGCCTGGGCAACAGAGTGAGACTCCGTCTCCAAAAAAAAAAAAAAAATGACATTAAAAAAAAATGACATTTCTTTTGAGCAGTGTTCCTTTGTATTTTAATAATCCTGTATTTAATATAGATTAAGTAAATATTTAAGTTATAATGGATGTCACATAAAATTTCCTTTAAAGATAGGTAAGAAGATAAAATAGATACTTAAAAGGAAATAAGGGAGTCAAAATACTAGAAAAAAAATCAAACACAAAAGGCGGCAGTAATGGAGAAAACATAAGTGAAAGATGCCGGACACAAAGGACCACATGTTTATGATTCCACTTATAGAAAATATCCAAAATAGACAAATCCATAGAAATAGGATCCAGGGGATGGGAGGAGGGAATTATTACTTAATGGGGGCTTCCCTCTGTGGTGATGAAAAATGCTTTGGAACTGTAGTGGTAACAGTACCACAACACTGTAAATGTACTAAAAGCTACGGAATTGTATACTTTAAAATGGTGAATTTTGGAAGGGGGGGGCAGGAAAATAAAATGGCGAATTTTATGTTATGTGAATTTTACCACAATAAAAAATAAACAAAAAGAGAAAAAGTTGCTTTACACAAAAGCATGAAGTAAAAATTACATGTGGTATGGTAAAATAGCACAAATCATAAAAGCAATCTAAGAATGCCTAAAATGGAGGGAATATTGCTTTAGCCAGATTACCTGAGAACGCAGTCCTCAGGTGGAGAAAGGTGTATCTGCCCTGCCCAACCAGCAGCAGGCAGGCAGGGGCCTCGCAGCCCAGCGCAGGTGCTGTTTAGAAAGGGGCATCCACATGGATAAAAGGCCCAGATTAAATGGGGCAGGATGATATTTTGAGATATCTGACTTTGTTCTTTCTGCTCTGGAATTTCATTCCCTGGCCCTGCCCCCTGCCTGCGGCAGCCAAGTTCATTGCCAGGAGAGGGAAGTGACAGAGCAGAAATCGGGAACAAAGGACTGTGGAAGAAAAAAAAATTACAGGTAAGTCATCTAAAAAGCAATAAAGTAACAGTAATATGAATAATGATTGTGTATACATATTTTCAAAACAACATCCTGATAAATCTCATTCTGATTCTGAAATTTAGGTGAGAGACTGGAATGTAGGCAGAACTAGGAACAAGGACAAACAGAACTTCTTATCACTGCAAAAAGGCTACTACCTAGAAGTGTTCAAGCCCAAGTTTTTCAAGCATAATGTTAACTAACCAAGGGCAGAGATACCCAAATGGATCCATCCCATCTACAATTAAACTAAGGACAGAATCACTTGAGCTCCTTCCAAAGAATGTTAAGTAAACAGATTTTATTCAATCTTTCCTAGAGTTTATAATGAACATTTGTTATTTAATATGGTAGTTATATTACAGTTTTACCTTACGAGCGATAGAACATTTGGTGAATAAGATTAACAAACCGGAAATGATGATACCCTCGAAGACACTCTCTGGAAGCACACCAGTCCCACTGACTCATGTTACAAATTTAAGTTGGCATCCAGCTGATTTGTAGAATGTGTTATCCTGATGTTTCTGCAATTATACCACCTGAAGAGGGTCCCTGTCAGTCTCTGATAGGATAATATTTATCTTATTCTCCAAGTGAGAATCCAGCATATCTCGAAGGTCAGAAAGAAAGCCTCGTTCAGTGTTGCTGTGTTCACAGAGGATGACATTTATTCCTTGGGAAGCAGCATCCAAAGTATCATGATGGGACATCTCACCTACCAAAAAGGGAAGAGCAAATTCTTAAATGCTAAATATGGAATCTGTGGAATGAGGAAACACAAAAGCAGAAATACCAAGTTTGTAGTCTATATGAAGTGAATGTAATAGAGCAGAACTGTTTTACATATAAATCTAGAAAGTAGTGTACAGTTTTCTTTTATGTCCTCCAACTTAAAAAGAGAGAAAAGTCTGGGCGCGGTGGCTCACGCCTGTAATCCCAGCACTTTGGGAGGCCTAGGCAGGCAGATCACCTGAGCTAAGGAGTGCTAGACTAGCCTGGCCAACATGGTGAAACTTCCATCTCTACTAAAAACACAAAAATTAGCTGGGCGTGGTGGTGCGTGCCTGTAATCCCAGCTACTCAGGAGGCTGAGACAGGTGAATAGCTTCAGTCCAGGGCCTGGAGGTTGCAGTGAGCCGAGACTGCACCACTGCACTTCAGCCTGGGTGACAGAGTAAGACTATCTTGAAAATATAAAAATAAAATCCATCCCACTGAGAATTCCAACTTCTTTTTCCTTAGCAGACCCCAAGGCAATTATCCAATCCAACATATCTGGCCAGAACCAGATCTGTAAACACCCATTCAAAGTGTTTCCACGGTAAAATGAATGATCACTGCCAAGTAAAATGAGGCCTTCAGAAAATTTGCCTCTTATGTAAGTAATAAATACCTCTGGAGGAAATTATATGTATACTGCCCAGCAGACTTATGCTTTGTAAGCACCAGTATTTCTGTCGTCAACTTAGTCTAATATATAAGGATGAAATGAATTTAAGATTACTTCCAGGTTAAAAACAAAGTATTTTTCTTTGACTTAAGCAAAATCCCTAGAAACTCTGGAGGGAATCTCATCTGTTGTGAAAAGATTTGGGGAAAATTCATATTCTGAATTTTTAATTTATATTGTTAATTTTTTTTTAGATGGAGTTTTGCTCTGTCACCCAGGCTGGAGTACAGTAGCACGATCTCAGCTCACTGCAACCTCTGCCTCCTGGGTTCAAGTGATTCTCCTGCCTCAGCCTCTCGAGTAGCTGGAATGACAGGCACCCACCACCATGCCTGGCTAATTTTTGTATTTTTAGTAGAGATGGGGTTTCACCACGTTGGCCAGGCTGGTCTCGAACTGCTGGGCTCAAGTGATCTGCCCGCCTCAGCCTCCCAAAGTGCTGGGATTACAGGCGTGAGCCACCATGTCCAGCCTAATATTCTGAATTTCTTAAAATGCAGTTTGTGAATTTGATGACTTCTAATTTAAGAGCAAAACTGTACTGTGTACAATTAGGTTTGTTCTTTAAAAAGTACAATTTTGAACTGTATTTAGAGACAGAAGGGCATATAAATTTAAGAAAAAAGGGTTCTTGGAAAAAAATGAGTTCTCTTTTAATTTTCCCATAAGAAAACACCTATAAGTAAAAAAATGAGTTTTCTTAATTCCAGAATTTTTTAGTTCCCCACAATCTCCTCCTAATAAGTGTCATCTCATTATAAGGAACAGTTTTTATTCAAGCACCTTTTAAAACATCTTAATCTATAATAGTAGAAGTAAAAAGCAAGAAAAAGACACTAAGATGGCCCAGTTGGAAGCCTTGTTTTAGGAAAGGTAAGTCTGGCTGCCTGTACTGTGACAAATTCATTGGCTGGAGAAGGCATGAAAGGGGGGAAATCAGTGAAGACCCTGCAATAATAGCTGAAGCCAATGGAAAGAAAAGCTTGGCCCAGGATGGCAGCTTGGGAAAGAATAAGCAAATGGAGAATGAAAAGACAAATGGGAGAACTTAATTTACAAGGAGCAGGCTCCCCATCTGCTGGTCTTACGGGGTATTACCCTTAACAACCTAATACAATGAGAACACGGCCTCAGGCTCACAGGAAGCGTGATGAAGTTCAGCAGAGGTCCTTTAGGTGGGGCTTCACATCTCTGAAGTTATACTCAAAAGTGATGCCTCACAGACCAGAGACAGCTAATGCTAGCCGGATAATATATTTTCTATTTCTCCCCACAGCCAGATAGGAAGGACATTTTAACATTTTGGAACTGCTTGAATTTATCTTATGCACGTATCATTATACTTTATCATTGTTTTAAAAAACTAGTTTTTAAAAAAGTATAAGGAAACAGATACCCCAAATTGAGAGAGAAGCACAAAACAAAGAGCCTATACTCTTTAAAAATGTCAATGCTATGGAGACAAAGCTGAGAAACTATTCCAGACTGAAGGAGACTAACAACAACTAAATGCAATGTGAGATCATTGGCTGGATATGGATCAGAAAAAGAAATGCTATAAGCTTTTATCAATTGGGAAAATGTGAATATGGACTGTATATCAAGTAAGTGTTTTAACAATATTAAATTCCCATGTTTGATAATTGTTCCATGGACTTAGAATGTCTTTGTTCTTAGACTATACACTGAAGTATTGAGAGGTAAAGAAATTGTCATGTCTGCAATTGATTACAAAATGGTCCTAGGGGAAATACATCAATATATATATAGAACATATTTTAACTTGTATATATTATGTATCTATACATGCAAACACAAATGTGTATAGACACATATATAATATGCACATAGGGAATGTACAAATATGGCAGAATATAACCATAGTAACCAAGGTGAAGAGCATATAGGAGTTCAGTATACTATTCTTGCAACTTTTGCATAGGTCTGAAATTCCTAAGTAAAATGCTAAAATGAATTTTAAAATAGCCAGACACAATACTGTAAGATATTCATATTGAAATTTCACTTTAATCTGGTAGAAATTTAAGGGCTTACAAAAATCTTTTATCTTCAGAAAATATAAAATAAGTAATAGTCACATACATGTTTTGTTTTTTTAAATCAATTTATTGGTTTAGAGCAATTCCATCAGGCTTGCTCAGATGCTGCTCCTCGGTACTTCAGGATGTGACAATGCTTTGAGTGCAGCAGCCTTTGTAAGAGAGTGTGCTATATAACAAAGTGTGGGTGTGGGAGGCAAGGGAAGCATGGAAGTAGCCAAAGGAATGGCCAGAGGGCTAAGAGCCTAGAGCCTGGTCCTCAAAGTGGGAAAAGTAATTCTTTAACTCATTCTCTCCTAACCCTAAGAAGGAGGAGGTAAACAAAGTGGCAACCCCTTAAAATGCCTCCAAATCCTTTGGAGGTGTAAGGGGCCATGTTTGGCCATATTCCTGAGTAGTAACTACATAAAGTAATTCTTTCAATAAAAATTAGCCAGGACCTATTAGGTAGTATCCTAAATGAGAAAGTATAAGGCCCAGCAGCCAGACAATTACTATCCAACAGAAGTGCACATTGGAGGTCAAGGACAAAGTGATAGGGACCCACAAGAGGCAGGAGCAGGACAGTGTCAGAGAAGGCTTCTCAGAGGGGGTGTTCACTTATCACTAGGAGTACAAGGAAAAGGCATTCTAGCCAGAGAAAACAGCATAAGCAAAGGGTACAGGAAAGGGGATGCAATGTTCAGGCTCCACCAGACAGATGAAGGAAATCACTGAAGTCTTTTTAATCAAGACCATCAAATTTGCACTTTGAAAAGTTAATTTCAGGAGAGTATATGGAAGATACCATTAGAGGGTTGATGCTGTACTTCAAGTAGGAGATGGTGCCTGGATAGAGATAAGGGGGAAGATTCTAGAAAGATTTGGGAGCTTGAATTGATAGGAATTGATGATTGGCTTTAGGCTGAGTAAAAGGAACCATTTCCTAGCTAAGGTGACAGGGTAGAAAGTATCCCACTGATGTGAAATCTGAGAGGTTTGGGACAGTTTAGGAAGAATGTAGGTAAAATAAATGCTGACCATTAACTTTTGAGATAATGTAATAAACTGTTCAATGATTTCATCCCTCCACAAAGAATGCAGTAAGTCCCCAGTTCTGTTGTAGTTTCTGTTTAGTTCAGGTTCAGAAAACATTAATTAGGTATCATCTATGTGCCAGGTACTGTCCTAAAATTTGCCATTTTTGATTTTGCAAAAAATAAACCAAGAGAGATCCAAAGTCTGTCCTACCTGTGAGGTAAAGGTCAGCCTCAACACCCTGCAGAACGCTGCTCCCAGAACCAGCACACAGGGCCACGACTTTGACTTGAGACTCTTCAAAACAGAGGAAACAAGAGACCAATACTTTACAATTCCCTTTCATTTTACTATTATAATTTGTACCAAGAATCCTAAACATAATACAGATTTCACTCCTGGTCTCATCACCAGTATATGAATTGTTCTTACTGCATTTTAAAAAAAACATGTTTTAATATAAGCAAACAGGTCATTCTTTGATATTGCATAGCTAACCCAAGGCATGGTTATTATTCCTTTGTTGTGTTTTTTTTTTTCAACAACCTTTGTAAATTGCGCAAAATACGGAACAATGCACAAATTTGCGTGTAATCTTTGCAT
This sequence comes from Homo sapiens, assembly GCF_000001405.40. Classification (NCBI taxonomy): domain Eukaryota; kingdom Metazoa; phylum Chordata; class Mammalia; order Primates; family Hominidae; genus Homo; species Homo sapiens. The sequence goes on along the minus strand of NC_000002.12, from coordinate 200,899,078 downwards.
AGGGGCCATGCTAATCTATATCATCCAATTTTTAGTATATGTGCTGCTGAAGGGGGCACCGTTATTCCTTTGGACATGGCTGCACAAACTCACAAACCACTGAATAGTACTAATGGTGCAGCTCTAGGCTGTATTGCAACAGTGCTAGGTAAAATAATCTCACCTGGGTCTTCAGACAACAGTGAGAGGTAAGCAAGTACTATCTCTATTCTCAGGTGAGGAAGCTAAGGAACTAAAAGGACTATAAAAAGAGGAATGCTACAAATGGATTTGGCACTATTTTTAAATATACTATTTATTCTCAAAAAGCATCCTCTGGAAAGTGAAATAACAGCAACTTTCGAGCCAAAATCCAAGTATTTAGCACTTGGGTTTCTAAAATGAACACTTTAGTGGACACTCCAGTTCAGCAGCAGGGTATCTCAAAGAGGGGGCTTTGGAGTTATTTTGGAAGTCAAATCCCACCTCTGCTATCCATTTTCTTTGGACACTAACTCCCTTGGGTTGTTTGATCTAACTGGACTTTTAGATAAGTTACTGATATGGTTTGGCTCTGTGTCCCCATCCAAATCTCACCTTGAATATAATCCCCATAATTCCCACGGGTCAAGGGCGGGACCAGGTGGAGGTAATTGGATCATGGGGGCAGTTCCCCCATGCTGTTCTTGTGATAATGCGTGAGTCTCACGAGATCTGATGGTTTCATAAGCATCTGGCATTTCTCTTGCTTGCACTCATTCTCTCTCCTGCCACCCTGAGAAGAGGTGCCTTCCAACATGATTGTAAGTTTCCTGTGGCCTCCCCAGCCATGCAGAACTGTGAGTCAATTAAACCTCTTTTCTTTATAAATTACCTAGTCTCAGGTATTTCTTCATAGCAGCGTGAGAACGAACTAATAAAGTTACTTATCTCTCTGAACCACAATTGTTCACCTATAAAATGGGAGAAATAGTACCAACCACAAAACTAACAACAGCTAGCACTTTATACTTAATGTGAGCCAATCACTGTGCCATGTCACATGGATTATACTACCACCTTCTGAGTTAGGTTTTATTAATGCAGTTTTTACAGATGAGGCTACTGTGACACAGAGGGCATAAACTTGTCAAAGACATGCAGCAAACAGGACAGACAAATCTGAAGCCAGGTTGTCTAAGCTCAGAATCCACACCTATAACCGCTGTACCCCACTGCTTTTGCCAGCAGGAGCTCACGTACTTAGGACAGACAATCAGTACAGTGCTAGGCTCACTGAAGGTGTTGAACAAATGTCTGTTCACTCTTTTTGTTCTCAAAAGTACCAGGAAAGGCCAGAAGAAAAAACTACAAGACTTAGAAACTACAATGGATCAGATCACTCAGTAGCACCTCACTAGAAAATATTACCAGTCTTATAAGTGCAAAGTTTATGTTGTAATTGTAGCAATCATGATTCCAGCTCTCTTCCTGACACATGGTAAGACTGCACTTTATGCCTCCCTTGCTTGTATTGGGCAACATGACTAATTCTGGAAAATGAGTTGAGCAGAAATTAACATGTTTCCTGGAATTTTAAACTGATGGTTTAAGACCCTGCAAAACTCCCTCCCTCTGCAACAGCAACCAGTCTACAATGGTCAGACTTCCTACAATGACCAACTTGAAATGAACACATAGCATGACAGAGAAATAAATCTCATTGATTAAGTCAATGAGATGTATTCCACATCAGAACCTGGCCCACCCTAATCAATAACGTAAACCAATTATCTCCTATGAGCTGCTAACACATTCTCTATCACATATTAATACAACCAAGAGTTTCGATCTTTGTCCAATGTTAACAGTAGGCATACTGGATAGATGAAGGAGCTATATTTACCTAAGGTTCTCCCCACCCCAAGGGCTAAGCGAATATGAGATAGTTTTAGGTGTCTTTTTATTCGATCAATCATGGTTGCCAGGGAGACAGATTCATCCAGTGTGCATAACCGTCCCATTCCAGTATGTAGAAGCAAAGGCTGAGGAGAAACAGAAGTTAGAAACGGTGTGCATTGTTAGTCCTAAAACAACAAATGCTAAAATCATCAACATGCACACTGTGAGATTACTATAGCAAGCTCCAGGCTAAATGTGGGGATACAAACCTGACAAAATCATTCTTCTAGGAGTTCACAGTTTTCTAGGAAGGCAGATGTTTAAATCAATAATCAGGCCAGGCGCGATGGCTCATGCCTATAATCCTAGCACTTTGGGAGGCTGTGGTGGGTGGATTGTTTGAGCTCGGGAGTTTGAGACCAGCCTGGGCAACATAGTGAGACCTCATCTCCACAAAAAAATCCAAAAATTAGCCAGGCAGTGGCGTGCGCCTGCAGTCCCAGCTACTTGGGAGGCTGAATGGGAGGTGGGCTTGAGCTACCCAGGAGACAGAGGTTGTGGTGAGCTGAGATTGTACCACTGCACTCTAGCCTGGGGACAGAGCCAGACCCTGTCTCAAATAAACAAAATAATAAAACTGTTTAAATACAAGGTAGGTGCTACAGTTGCAGCAGCACAAAGAATGACAAACTAAATGAGCTGTGACTTAGGAGGCTTGGGGAGTACTTGGAGGAAGGACTTAGGTCTTAGAGAAAACCCTAAAAGAGTTAAAAAGGGGGAAATAAAGAGTTTAAAAAGGGGTGATGTCAAGTGCAGTGTGGCAGGACAGAGGTACGATGAGATGGAGAAAGGCATTCTAAACACAGAGGACATGGACAAAGGTGCCAAAAACTTGAGAGAACACACTATGGGGGCAGATCCAAAAGAAGACAGTATGGCTACTGTGCAGAGTACATGCTGTGGAAGGAGAGGAGGCTGGAGGCCCAGGCTGTAGCAGATCATTAAGGGCTTCCAACACCATGCTAAAGAGCCTGGACTGCCTCCTAGGTGCTCGGTGAGACTACTCTCATCGCAGAAAATGAGAGTTTCAACTACTGTGGTGGCAGAGCCAATACAGAGGAGAAACACTGTATAGATATGAGGCCAGACTCAGCAGGGCCTGGAGTCAAGGAGGAATGTGAAAACTTGGAAACTAAAGTAGATAATGATACTGAAATATGAAATATGGAAAAAAAAAAAAGCGGGGGTGGCAAACGGATAAAGTATTTGGATATACTGAATTTGAAATACTTGTGGGCTCTGTAAGTGCAAAACATCCAGAAAGTAGATGAAAATATGGGTTCTTGTCATTTTTTCCCTTAAGAAAGCATTCTAAGCCAAAAAGTAAAGATAGAAATCATCATACAAATGGCTATCAAGTTAAAGAAGTGAATGACATGGTCCAGGCAGAGCGTGTAAAATAAGGAGACAGCAAACCTGTAACCAAATCTGTAACCCTGAAGACGTACCAATATTTTCCTGTTCCTGGAATGTCTCCCTTTCTCAATTACTTCCTAGAGAATATTATGCTCTCATTGCCATTTTGTACTTTAGATAACAGTGAATGGCCTGTTGATCTAATAATTTACAAATGAATTTGCTGAAGAAAAATGCAAAGTAATGATATTCATCAAATTGTACACATCAAATATGTACAATTCTTAGTATATCAATTATACCTCAATAAGGTATACCTCAATATACCTAAGTATATCAATTATACCTCAATTATACTGTTAGAAAATGTGTGCACAGTATTTTAAGATCAAATACAAAATATTCTTATTACCTTCTCCAGTGACAGAATTTCCGTCTTCTGATAAAGTTGTTTGTTCCGGGAAAGAAAATCTACCACCTGCATCAAAGCCTTCTGAGTACAATTCAGATTAATCCGTGTTTGTTCCTCATTACCAGTCCTAGGGGGGAAAAATCACTCCATTTAGGACAAATATAGCCAAAATGTATTTTAGATAATCCACAGTTTACAAACCTACTATAATAGATTAGATTTATGTGGAACCAAGGATTTAACCAACAGAACCCATTTAATCTGAAACTAATCCATTTTCTAGAATAGCATTTCTCTAACTCTACTGGGCATCAGAATCACCTGGAGGATTATTAAAACACAGAGTGCTGGGCCCCACCCCTGGAGTTTCTGATTCATTATATCTAGGTGGGGGTCTGAGAGGTTACCTTTCTAACAAGTTCCAGGTGATGCTGATGTTGCTGGTCCAAGGACCTCACTTTGAAACCACTGTTCAAGAACTGTTCTCAATCCCGATTGTGCATCAGAAATTTCTTGGCCAGGTGCAGTGGCTCACATCTGTAATCTCAGCATTCTGGGAGGCCAAGGTGGGCGGGTCACTTGAGCCCAGGAGTTCAACACCAGCCTGGGCAACATAGCAGGACCCTATCTTATTATTTTTTTAATTATTAAAAAATTAAAGTTAAAAAAAAAAAAAAAAAGAAGGCCAGGCACAGTGGCTCACACCTGTAATCCCAGCATTTTGGGAGGCCAAGGTAGGTGGATTACCTGAGATCAGGAGTTCAAGACCAGCCTGTCCAACATGATGAAACCCCATCTCCACCAAAAATACAAAAAAAATTAGCCGGGCGTGGTGGGGGGCGGGTGCCTGTAGTCCCAGCTACTGGGGAGGCTGAGGCAGGAGAATCACTTGGACCTGGGAGGCGGAGGTTACAGTGAGCCAAGATCACACCACTGCACTCCAACCTGGGCAACAGAGTGAGACTCTGTCTCAAAAAAATAAAAAAAATTCCTTCTAGCTTCTTAAAATAACAGCTGCTGGATCCTTCCACAGAACCAGTGAACAGAACATCTACAAATGGGGCTGGGGCAAAATGAATTTTTTTAAAGCCTTAGAGATGATAATTTTAAAACATCATTGAATTTGAGAATGTCCTGGACAGATTCTCAGGCAAACTCCATTCTAATTATAAGGTCTGAGGTGAATACAAAAATCTGCATTTTTTTTTTTTTTTTTTGAGACAGAGTCTCTCTCTGTCTCCCAGGCTGGAGTGCAGTGGCGCGATCTCGGCTCACTGCAACCTCCGCCTCTCGGGTTCAAGTGATTCTCCTGCCTCAGCCTCCTGAGTAGCTGGGATTACAGGCATGCGCCACTACGCCCAGCTAATTTTGTATTTTTAGTAGAGACGAGGTTTCTCCATGTTAGTCAGGCTGGTCTCAAACTCCTGACCTCAGGTGATCCACCAGCCTTGGCCTCCCAAAGTGCTGGGATTACAGGTGTGAGCCACCGTGCCCAGCCTGGGAGTCTCTTAAAACAAACAAAAAAAGACTATTCAGAAAAATATTTCCCATGATGTTAAATAAAAAGACTGATTTATGAAAATATATATTTAAAATGTAAAGATAAATATAAAAAAGCACTTGGGAATCACTGATTTGCTGGGAACCAATAAAAGCCTTATCACCACATCACTAGGATCTATCTGTATTCTCTAAAGTAAAAACAACTATCTTTGAACATTACCAGGATTAGAAATACTGTAGGTAAAATGCATAGTATAGTCCCCTGACATAGAAAATACTTAGTGTTACTTACCGTTTTTATTGTTTTGAAAAAATTCCATAGTTCTCCAGGACCCACAAACAAATGAGGAGTATGCTACTTTGTAAATCAACTCCAGAGAAAACTATTTGTTTCAAGCCTAAATACCAGGGTTATAGACTTTGTAAGGAAGATGCTTACCAATAAATACACACAAAAAAAAGAGAAAAATAAATTGTACCTAGCAGAAAAAGAAGTGACAGAAACACCGTCAATTCCTTTCACTGCAGACATGACTTTGTCCAGGTCTTGGGTGTAGTTAACGTTGAATTCTACTCGGTGGTTTCCCTCTGTAGGGTAGTTGGGAGCTTTGGAAGGATGTATGGGCCTGGAGGTACAAGCTCCTAGAGAAAATATTGTGGGAAAATGGGAGTTTTGGGGGGTGAGAGATTAAGATTTAAAAGTAAACTATTATAGGCAAAATTTCTAAGAAATGACTTTTTAAAAAGATTCATTCTCATGCTTACATAACATACACACATCCCTTAGATATACATCACCAGTCCCCATAATCTAGGGCTTTGGCATGGACATACAAAATCAAATTATTTTCAGAATTATTTTCCAAAAGATTCTTAAATCTCTGAAAAACTTGGACAAGAAAGACTGATTCATACATTTTCAGATAATACACAGAATGGTCTACTGCTTGGTAAATCTAGCCATGTAAACCATCATTCAGGTTGCAAATGCTCATACTTTATTTGACCACATTAATCCAGATATCATCATAAAAGCTTTAGCCCAAAATGAGTAAACTAAAGACTTACTAAAATAAAGCTAAAATCCATCCATCATTCCCTCATTGTGCTAGGCATAAGTAAACATTCACTAAAAACATTCATTAAAACCCTGATGTCTATTTACTTGACTTATCAATCAAGTGTATTCTGGAGAGGCCTGAGCTTTCAATTCAACAAGCATTTTCCAAGTGCCTGGGTGACAGGCATTGTGCCACAAAAGTGAGGAATCATGAAGCTCAGTCCAGTAAGGAAGACTTCTGCTCTCCTTACTCCATAAGAATAAAAAATGTTTCCTTTTTCAAATGCAATTTAACTGCCAAATTTCAGCAACATTATTTTAAAATTATTATATAAAAATGGAATCATGCCCTCCCCAACCCTAAAGCAGTTAAAACTTTACTGGAAAGACATCCTAAAGTTTCAAAGTATTTGCAGGGAAAATATCAAATATGAAAGAGGCTTCTCACCAAGCCCTTTAGCCAACCAGTTGTTGACGCCCTGGGGCGCAGCATCATAGGCTGTATGAGGAGAGTAGATACCGACTCTGTTCTCCAGAGCCCGGATCACCAGGCGCTCCTTCCATGTGTTCCAGGTTATGCGCTTCATGGGTCGGAAGATAGGCGGATGGTAGGAGAGAATGAGGTCTGCCTTCTTTTGCAGCACCTCCTCCATCACTTCCTCAGTCAGGTCATTGGTCAGGAAGAGTGTATTTACAGTATGTGGTGGGCTTGGTTCCACCAGTAATCCAACATTGTCCCAACTCTCAGCAAACGAGAGGGATGCAAAGTCATTCAAGGAAGAAAGGAGAGCCTTCAAATCCATGAAGGAACGGGAAGAATTGCAGATCAGGGAATCTACAAACCGGACTGTCGTGGGGACTGGGCGTACGCAAGATGACAACATACAGAAATCAGGTAAAGTTCAAGTTTCTGATGTCAAAACAAAGAAAATGGTACACAGGTATACTTTAGGCCTGGATCTTTGAGGCATCAAAACATATGGGCAAAAGAGCTGTCGTCATAGAGATCTGGGTTCAAATAGTGGCTCTGCCACTTACCAGCACACTGTAACTTAGGTAAGCCATTTAACCTCTCCAATCTTGTTTTCTCACCTACGAAACAGAGATACTATAACCCACTTCACAGGCCATCCAGAGGAGCTAATGAATTATGTAACCTAGCAAAGCCTGGTACATAATACACAAACGTCCATCCCATCTCCTGCCTTGCACACCCTTGTTCTTATTCTCCCTACCCTTGCTTCAACCAACCTCCTCCCTAATCCATTTCTCTAAATATTACCTTTCCTTTTCCCAAGCCCCCTCCAACTTCTTAAATAAAACTTTTCTTGACCTCCCTTTTCAGCATCCTTCCCAAGGCTCCCCACCCCTCAGTATTCTCATAATTCTGTGTGTGCCCATTATGCTAAAGCTACTATGTAATAGGAACTAACTTCAATAAATCTCAGTATCACTAATATAAGCCAGCACTAAATGCTTACTGCATAGAATGACACTGCCCGCCTCCCCTGATTGCAACAGAATTTGGAGTTGGGGTGGTATATACTGGCATTACAATGTGCTTTACCAAAAAACAGAATAATGTGGCGGGGCGCCTGTAATCCCAGCACTTTGGGAGGCCGAGGCGGGAGGATCACAAAGTCAAGAGATAAAGACTATCCTGGCCAACGTGGTGAAACCGTCTCTACTAAAAATACAAAAATTAGCTGGGCATGGTGGTGTGCACCTGTAGTCCCAGCTACTCGGGAGGCTGACGCAGGAGAATCACTTGAACCTGGGAGGCGGAGGTTGCAGTGAGCCAAGATCATGCCACAGCACTCCAGCCTGGCGAGAGAGCAACACTCCGTCTCAAAAAGAAAAAAAAAAAAAAAAAGAATGTTTAAAATGTCAAGTGCTTTATCAGAATCAAAAATCAAGGAATACATAGGCAGGTCACTCTATAAATGGGCAGGGTCAAGGCAGAAGAAGGGAGAAGCCACTGCCCCTTAAGCAACATTTGCTACACAAAGGCCAGGCTCAAGAGGTGGGAGGGGATAAGGTATAGGGTACTTTTCCCAGACAGCCTGTAAGCCTTCTAAGTATCTACATCCAACAAGGAACTGAAAAGGTTGGCAACAGAGGGAAGGTGGGAGGGCAATGGAAAGGTAGAAAAAAACTGCTGGCTCCAAAATATGCACAATTAGTAAATGTTTAATCAAATAACCACAAAAGATAATGCTGTCAACCCCATTCTTAAACTTACCACTTATAAACACTTTTTGAAGAAAAACATTTCATAGTATGCACAATAAGAAAGCATAGCCAACTGTAAATTTGATGAAATATCCATAAGTCAATTATTCCAAAAGCAATTTTTCAACATTTCTATTTAATGAGATGAAGATGCTTGTTTAACACATTATTTGAAGTGATACAGGGTCTCCAAAAACCACTCGAGGTCTTGGAAGTTTGTTTTTGTTTTTTTCTTTTTGACACAGGGTTTCACTAGGCGCCTAGGCTGGAGTGCAGTGGCGTGATCTCAGCTCACTGCAGCCTCGACTTCCTGAGCTCAAGCAGATCCTCCCACCTCAGCCTCCTGAGCAGCTGGGACTACAGGCGCTAAACACCACACCTGGCTAATTTTTGTATTTTTAGTAGAGATGGGGATTCGCCATGTTGCCCAGGCTGGTCTCAAACTCCTGCGCTCAAGTGATCCACCTGCCTCGGCCTCCAAGAGTACCGGGATTACAGGGGTGAGCCACTGCGTCCGGCCTTGAAAGATCTTCTAATGGTCCTCATAGTACTCCATTCTCCAGCATTTTCTACATCTGGCAAGCTCGAAAGTGAAACCCTAGTGGGCCATCATGCAGGTTTTGAGTTATTTACTGTTACAGATGAGGAAACTGCGAAGCTACATGGCCACAGTCAACAACGACAACAGAAGGCAACATAGTATGGCGGTTAAGAGCACCGACTCTGAAGCCAGCCTGAATCCTAGAGCCAGAGCTGTGCAACAGCAGGTAAATGACTTATCCTGTGCAGTTTCCTCCTTAATGGAAATAGTGCCCAGGCCACAATATCGCGAGATTTACACGTAAAGCTGGAAACAACTCCCGTCCTAGAGTAAGCACTGTTTACTATTAAGCAGCATCAGTAGGGCCCCTTTGCAACCTGCAAACCGCTCCCTCGACGTTACCTCATCTATGCCTCATTTCAGTGCCACTTCAGGCCTTTTCCAGGACAGTGAAAAACCACGAGACACAGCCAGTTAAGTCTGAGTCAGGACCCCTGTCCCACTAGTGCGCTGTGCTCTGGTGCGGCAGGGCAGTTTTCTGACCCAATCTCCTCTTCTGCTGTCCTCTGCAGCACCAAGATAACAATCACAGCCGGCCCCAACCGGCACCTACCGCGAAGGTCACAACTACACTCGCGGGTTTTTAAATCGCCCACTACTCACCAGTCCCGGAAACTTCTCTGCGTCACTTCCGGTCCCGCGTCGGCGCTCCGGATGCTGTGGCACTTGGCTCCCCGTAGCGGGAGAGCTGGGCGGAAGTGGTCCTTTCCGTTTGGCAGCCGAGTGTAAAGCATTGCTTGAGGTTGCCCAGGTAGTTTCGCCTTACACTTCTTGTCCCAGTGCAATTATTAGTAGAGCTCCCTTTCACTGTCAAATTTCCGGTTGGGGATAAATTGCATTGTCGTTTTGGTTTGAGATAGGAAGATGAGGGGAGGAAGGAGGTGAGGCGGTAAGGGGCGTTCTCTCTCTTGGGTCCCGCGCCCAACTTCCGCTGGCCCAAAGAAACTATAATTTTGAACCAACAGACCTCTGCTGGCATCTGCGATTGCATTTTTCCTGTTTTAACAACGGCTGTGCTAGACGAAGTGGTGAAGCCCAAGTATGGAGTAACGTCATTAATTCTTTCATTCACTTATTCGAATGCTTGCTGAGTTCTGTGTTGCTACTGGTTTAGTTCTTGGGATACTGCGAGTGAACAGTGGGCGGCGAGGCTGTTGTTGCAACGTCAGAGTAAAAGAAGGACCCTGCACGGCGGCCTCCCAGCACTTCGGGAGGCCGAGGCGGGCGGATCACCTGAAGTCAGGAGTTCGAGACCAGCCTGGCCAACACGGCGAAACCCCGTCTCTACTAAAAATACAAAAATTAGTCGTGCATGGTAGCGCGCGCCTGTAGTCCCACCTACTCGGGAGGCTGAGACACGACAATCACTTGAACCCGGGAGGCGGAGGCGGAGGTTGCAGTGAGCCGAGATCCTGCCGCACTGCACTCCAGCCTGGCGACATAGCGAGACTCCGTCTCAAAATGAAAAAAAAAGAGAAGTTCATAGTATATTAGTGATAAGTGCTGTGGTGGAAAAAAAAAAGTTCATAGTATATTAGTATAAGTGCTGTGGTGAAAAAAAAAAAAAGCGAATTTCATAGTATATTAGTGATAAGTGCTGTGGGAGAAGGAAATAGGAATGTCCTAGGGCTGAAGGGCTAAAGCAGTTCTGTGTAGGATTGTCAGGTCAGTTAAACTTGACATTTAAGCAGAAATTTGGAGGTGAGGAAATTAGCCGTAGAGATGTCTGAGTATAAGAATTCCAGGCAAAAGGGACACCCAATGCCTGGACCCTAAGGGAAGGTATCTGGGTTATTGGGGGACTTGCAAGGAGGCTCTTGAAGAAGAGCAAGCCGGGCAAGTAGGAGATTGGGAGGCTTGAATCGGGTAGGATATCTTCTATAGCCGGGTTTTTATTACCTAGGGGATGCCATTAGAGGATTTTTTTTTTTTTTTTTTTTGACGGAGTCTCGCGCTGTCACCCAGGCTGGAGTGCAGTGGCGCGATCTCAGCTCACTGCAGCCTCCGCCTCCTGGGTTCAAGTGATTCTCCTGCCGCAGCCTGCTGAGTAGCTAGGACTACAGGCGCCTGCCACCACACCCGGCTAATTTTTGTGTTTTTAGTAGAGACGGGGTTTCGCCATGTTGGCCAGGCTGGTCTCGAACTCCTGACCTCAAGTGATCCACCCGCCTCGGCCTCCCAAAGTGTTAGGATTATAGGCGTGAGCCACCACGCCCGGCGAGGTTTTTATTTAAAATGTTCAGTAAAGATGAGCGTGTGTGAGTTAAGACAGGAAAATGAGCCTAATTCTTTTTTTCTTTTGGGACTAGAGACTTATTTTTGAGCTCGCTGTAAGACTGAGAAATCACGTAGTCCTTCCTGAAACCACTAAGAGGAAAAATGGTAAGTTTTGAGCAATTTTTATCTAATGTCTTTCATTATAAGTAATTTTTAGAAATTCAGTCAAGGGCAATAAAAGTTCATGGAAATTGCAGTGGCAAGATGGAGAAATTGTATAATATAGAAGCACTTAATATGGAATAATTCTTTTAAAAAATACACAAAATTGCTTTAAAATTCTTTAATGTTGTCACTTAAAATGCACAGAATTTACCTTTTTTTTTTTTTTTTTTTTTGAGTTTCACTCTTGTCTCCCAGGCTGGAGTGCAGTGGTGTAATCTCGGCTCACTGCAGCCTCTGCCCCTGGGTTCAAGCGATTCTCCTGCCTTAGCCTCCCCGGTAGCTGAGATTACACGCGCCTGCCACCACGCCCAGCTAATTTTTTGTATTTTTAGTAGAGATGGGGTTTCGCCATTTTGGGCAGACTGGTCTCGAACTCCTGACCTCAGGTGATCTGCCTGCCTTGACCTCCCAAAGTGTTGGAATTACAGGCGTGAGCCAACTCGCCCAGCCAGAATTTACCTTTTATGGAGAAAGATTGATTACAAGATAGATAGAAATGGAAAGGGAGAGTTGAAGGAGCAGAAGAGAATAGACAGGTCTGACAATTTTAATTGGATTATTTTGCTCTAGATCTAAAGTGGGCAACTAGGCTGGGCACAGTGGCTGACACCTGTGATCCCAGCACTTTGGGAGGCGGAGGTGAGAGGACTGCTTGATCCCAGGAGTTCAACACCAGCTTGGGCAACACAGTGAGGCCCCCGTCTCTACTTTTAAAAAAACAATTAAATAAAGTGGGCAACTAGAACCTGAAGTAGAAAAAGGCAATGAGAATAGTGCCCTGCTTCTCCCACACACATCTTTAACCTGCTCATACTCTCTAACTGCTAGGCCAGGCGCGGTGGCTCACGCCTGTAATCTCGGCACTTTGGGAGGCAGAGGTGGGCCAATCACTTGAGGTCAGGAGTTCGAGACCAGCCTGGCCAACATGGTGAAACCCTGTCTCTACTAAAAATACAAAAATTATCTGGGTGTTGTGGCATATCCCAGTAATCCCAGCTACTTGGGAGGCTGAGGCAGGAGAATTGCTTGAACGCAGGAGGTGGAGATTGTAGTGAGCCGAGATCACGCCACTGCACTCCAGTGTGGGCGACAGAGCAAGACTCCACCTCAAAAAAAAAAAAAAGGAGAAATGAAAAAGGAACCCTCCAAATTGTTTTCTCCCTCTCTGGAATACAGTATCATATCAAGGGGTATACAGGTTACAGAAAAACAGGTACAACAAAAACAAAAAGCAAGCAAGAAAGCACTGTGGTTATCTCTGCACATTTAAGATTTAGAAACACTGACACTTGTTATATTTTTGTTAGTCGAGAAAGGAATTATTTTTTAACCCTATTTCTCAGAATTAAATTACCTAAGGAAAATGGTGGAAATTATGTTTTGAAAAATCATTTTCTCATCATTTTTCTATAAATAAGGATGTTGGTGAATTGCCATGTACATCAATAATACATAACAATTGTTTTTATTTTTCTTGATAAAAAATTCAAAGTTAAAATAATTCTTTCCATCAAAATATTTACTTCCAAATTTTTGTCATGGATACTACTTAACCCTAACATTTATATTCTGGAGTTTTTTCTCTACTGTTGGGATCAATTTTGAGAAAAAAGTACAACTTAACCTCTAAGAGCTGCTTTGTGGATGGGTCATCTCTGAAGCAGTATTTCTGTCTGTTTTTATTCAGATTATCATCTTGAATATCCACACAGGGAAATAAACAATGCATAAAGTCACCTAAATAAATTTCATTTGTTCTCACATTTTCTCTCCTTTTTAGTCTGTGACACTGCATACAGATGTAGGTGATATTAAAATTGAAGTCTTCTGTGAGAGGACACCCAAAACATGTGAGGTAAGTACTATTATTTACATATTCAACATCAGTTAATACAACAAGATAAGCACTTTGGAATTGAATAATCTAACCTAAATAACAACAACAAAACTTTCTGTAAAACCATTGTTAGGGAAAACTAGCCATCCTAACTTCTGGCCTGATTTCCACTTATTTGTCCAATGTCAAAGGTGGATCAAAGAGAACGTAGATAATTTTTCGGTAACGATAGAGTAGCCAGTATCTTTTTCTTTTGAACTAATTTTCTTCAGGAAACGTAATCATTAGGACATTATATTACTTTTTTCTTTCTTTTTTTTTATTTATTTATTATTATTTTTTTTTGAGATGGAGTCTCGCTGTGTCCCCCAGGCTGGAGTACAATGGCGCGATCTCGGCTCACTGCAACCTCCGCCTCCTGGGTTCAAGCAAGTCTTCTGCCTCAGCCTCCCGAGTAAGTGGGATTACAGGCGTGCGCCACCATGCCTGGCTAATTTTTGTATTTTTAGTAGAGACAGGGTTTCACCATGTTGGTCAGGCTGGTCTCAAACTTCTAACCTCAGGTGATCCATGCACCTCAGCCTCCCAAAGTGCTGGGATTACAAGCATGAGCCACTGCACCTGGCCTTTTTTTTTTTTTTTTTTTTCTCAAGACGGAGTCTTGCTCTGTCACCCAGGCTGGAGTGCAGTGGCATGATCTTGGCTCACTGCAACCTTCGCCTCTGGGGTTCAAACGATTCTCCTGCCTCAGCCTCCCAAGTACCTGGGATTACAGGCACCCACCACCATGCCCAGCTAATTTTTATATTTTTTTAGTAGAGACGGGGTTTCACCATGTTGACCAGGCTGGTCTCAAACTTCTGACCTCAGGTAACCCGCCTGCCTCAGCCTCCCAAAGTGTTGGGATTATAGGCATGAGCCTCCATGCCCGGCAGGATATTATATTAAAGAATTGTTGTATACTTTTTTTTTTTTTGAGACAGGGTCTTGCTCTGTCGCTCAGACTGGAGTGCAGTGGTGCAATCACGGCTCATTGCAGCCTCAACCTCCTGGGCTCAAGCAATCCTCCCACCTTGGCCTCCCAAGTAGATAGGACTACAGGCGTGTGCCACCATGCCAGGCTAATTTTTTTTAAATTTTTATGGAGACGAGATCTCACTATGTTGCCCAACTTGGTCTCGAACTCCTGGTCTCCAGCCATCGTCCCATCTCAGCTTCCTGAAGTATTGGAATTATAGGCGTGAGCCACCATGCCTGGCCTGTTCTATACATTATTTCGCCTGTTTATTTTTATTTATTTATTTATTTATTTTGAGACAGAGTTTTGCTCTTGTTGCCCAGGCTGGAGTGCAGTGGCCCAATCTTGGGTCACTGCAACCTCCGCCACCCAGGTCCAAGGGATTCTCCTGCCTCAGCCTCCCAAGTAGCTGGGACTATAGGCGCCAGCCACCATGCCCAGCTAATTTTGTATTTTTAGTAGAGATGGGGTTTCACCATGTTGATCAGGCTGGTCTCAAACTCCTGACCTCAGGTGATCCACCCGTCTTGGCTGCCCAAAGTGCTGCCCAAAGCCACTGCACCCGGCCTGTGTCACCTGTTTAAATGACAAGGATGGAAGGAAGAAGAGTCACCTGTATATATTCATTTATTCAGCAATTATTTATGGCTGGGCATGGTGGCTCACATCTATAATTCCAGCACTTTGGGAGGCTAAGGTGAGCTCAGAAGTTCTAGGCTTACCTAGGCAATATAGTGAGACCCCCATCTCTACAAAACAATACAAAAATTAGCCAGATGTTGTGGTGTGACCCTGTTGTCCCAGCTACAAGGGAGGCCAAGGTGGGAGAATTGCTTGAGCCTAGGAGGTCAAGACTGTAGTGAGCTCTGATCACACTGCTGCACTCCAGCCTAGGTGACAGAGCAAGACCCTGTCTCAAAACGAAACAAGAAACCCATTATTCGTGAAAGGCTATCTTGCCCCAGAGTCTGGAGATACAGTGATGAGCAACAGACATTCCTTACCCTCATGGAGCCAATATTTTAGTTGTAAAAATAAGCAGGGCAGGAAAATTAAGTAATTATATTTTTAAGAAATTATTTTCATTTATTTATTTTTTTTTTAAAGATAGAGATGAGGTCTTACTATGTTGCCCAGGCTGGTCTTGAACTCCTGGACTCAAGTGATCTTCCTGCCTCCCAAAGTGCTGAGATTACAGGTGTGAGCTGCTGTGCCTGGCCTAAAATTAAGTAATTCTAAAAGATGATAATGCCTTGAAAAAAATTAAGTGTTGAGATAGAGAATAATGGGAAAGGAAGAAGGTGAGGGCAGGTGTAGCCAATAAACTAATACTTAAATTAAATGCAAAGGTATGAGGGCATCTCCATGGAAAGAGGTATAGAAAGAATATTCCAGGTATTCAGATTCAGAAAAGGTTGTGAAATAAAATTTTAAAAAATTCCAAGACCAGGCACGGTGGCTCACACCTGTAATTCCAGCACTTCGGGTGGCTGAGGCAGGAGAATCATTTGAGCTCAGGAGTTCAAGACCAGCCTGGGCAACATAGGGAGACACTGTCTCTACAAAAAAAAAAAAAAAAAAAAAAGAACATTCCAGATATAGAAATCTCAGGTACAGAGTACCCCAGGTAAGAAAAGCTGCCCCTTTTGGATTAATTGTCAGAATGCTGATGGAGTTTAGGTAGTAAGCAACAAGAAAGCAGTTCTTAGTATATGTGATGAGGAGATGAGCCAGGTACTGCAGGGCTTGTTAGGCCCTGCTGAAGATTTTCTTTTTGTTTTTGGTTGTTTTTTTTTTTTTTTGAGACGGAGTCTCTGTCGCCCGGGCTGGAGTGCAGTGGTGCGATCTCGGCTCACTGCAACCTCCGCCTCCCAAGTTCACGCCATTCTCCTCCCTCAGCCTCCAGAGTAGTTGGAGGCGCCTGCCACCACACCCAGCTAATTTTTTGTATTTTTAGTAGAGATGGGGTTTCACCATAGCCAGGATGGTCTCGATCTTCTGACCTCGTGATCCACCCACCTCGGCCTCCCAAAGTGCTGGGATTACCGGCGTTAGCCACCATGCCCGGCGAAAGATTTTGTATTTTATTTCAAGAGGAGAAGGAAGCTATTGAAGTGTTGTAGGCAGGGAAATGACATCCAAAGTAATGACAACAGTCATAGTTTAAATATGCTGCTATCACGTTTTCAGTAAATATGATTGGTTTTTTGTCTTAACTGGGTTTCTGCTGCATCATTTCTCAATCATTTTTACTCCCTTCAGAATTTCTTGGCTCTTTGTGCCAGTAATTACTACAATGGCTGTATATTTCATAGGAATATCAAGGGTTTCATGGTTCAAACAGGAGATCCAACAGGTAAGTTATTCCATTAACCAAGATCTAAGGAACTGAATGTATAGTATGAAGAAGTGGGTAAAAGAAGAGGAATTAAATACGTGGAGTTTTTGTTTTGTTTTGTTTTGTTTAATAAGTTCTGTTCTACAAGTACAGAACATGCAGGTTTGTTACATAGGTATATGTGTGCCATGGTGGTTTGCTGCACCTATCAGCCTGTCCTCTAGGTTTTAAGCCCAGCATGCATTAGCTATTCGTCCTAATGCTCTCCCTCCCCTTGCCCCCACCCACAACTAGCCCTGCTGTGTGTTGTTCCCCTCCTTGTGTCCATGTGATCTCATTGTTCAACTCCCACTTATGAGTGAGAATATGCGGTGTTTGGTTTTCTGTTCCTGTGTTAGTTTGCTGAGAATGATGGCTTCCAGCCATCCATGTCCCTGCAAAGGACATGATCTCATCCTTTTTATGGCTGCATAGTATTACATGGTGCAATTTTAAAGCAGAAATTATTAGCAC
Source organism: Homo sapiens (assembly GCF_000001405.40). Classification (NCBI taxonomy): domain Eukaryota; kingdom Metazoa; phylum Chordata; class Mammalia; order Primates; family Hominidae; genus Homo; species Homo sapiens. The sequence continues at coordinate 200,881,846 of NC_000002.12, read as the reverse complement.
CTACCCCTAAAATGTGAACAATATTGTGCTCACTTTGGCAGCACATATACTAAAATTTGAACAATACAGAGAAGATTAGTGTGGCCCCTGCACAAGGATGAGACACAAATTTGTGAAGCTTTTCATACTTAAATATATATGAACAATATTTATAAGGAGGGTTATTCTTTTTTGTTTTTTGTAGGTCTGTTTTAATCTTCAGGTCTGTGAAGTTAAATTTGGGGAATTAGGAAAGGCCATATCAAATTTTATCTATATTTAAGCAGTCAAACTATAAAGTATTCCTTAAGTTTTGGGAAATGAACTTGTTTTCAATTTAATTAAATACTTCTTTTGATTTGCTTCACTTGTAATGTAGGAACTGGAAGAGGAGGCAACAGTATTTGGGGCAAGAAGTTTGAGGATGAATACAGTGAATATCTTAAGGTAAATCCTCAATGCTTTAAAAATCTATTTCTCATGCCTTGGTTATGCATGGAAACTTTGATACATGTGTCATAGTGATACAAGTTAACATCATTGCAAAATGAACATACTTTTTTATAGTTTTTGTACATTTGACAAATGATGTCGGGGAGACTTGAGAAATGGTGATCCTAGCCTGACATGTGTACTGGAATCCCACCACCACGTGGCTCTTGATAGTAAGTGAGTTCATCTTTGAATCTAACCTGAAATGTTTAACTAGTAGTGTACCAAAGAGACTTAATATCTCACCATAAAATTCATGTTGAATGACATGAAACAGTGGCCTTTTTTGAGAGTGGGGAGGAAAGACTATCAAACTTCCTGGTTGCAATGTTGCCCATTATCAGTACCCAGCTTTTATCATCTTCTGTTAGATGTTTGAACATCCCTGTATTAATATGACTTAATACCTATGGTAGATCACAACTAGGTTAAAGAGTAGTACATATAAATAGTCTTTAACATGGTAAAATTAGGGATTTTTAATTTTCTTTGTTATATTTTTCTGTGTTTTTCAAACCTCTGTGGAGTCATTTTTTTTTTTTGTCTAAAATTAAAAATTAGTGCATGCCTAGTTTTAAAAATCAATCCCACTTCCCAGAGATAACTTCAGTTGATGACTTATTATGTGGTCTTTCAAACTTTGTATCTCCATAGAATGATAACTTTATGATTAGAAAAAGAGCAATGAAGTATCCTCAACCAGGGCCGGGTACAGTAATCCCAGCACTTTGAGAAGCCCAGTAAGGAGGATTGCTTGAGGCCAAGAGTTTGAAACCAGCCTGGGCAACATAGTGAGACCCCCATCTCCACAAAAAAATACAAATATTAGCCTGTTATAGTGGCGTGTGCCTGTAGTCCCAGCTACTCAAGAGGCTGAAGTGGGAGGATTGCTTGAGCCCAGGAGATCAAGGCTGCAGTGAGCCAAGATCATGCACAGAACGAGACCCCACTCAAAAAAAAAAAAAAGTCTACTCAATCAAAATATGCAGTTTAAGTGTATTATTATATTTCCATTACATTAAAATGTACCCACAAAAATTCTGAAAAAAATTCATTGCAGTGTTTATCTCTGGATGATGAGACTAGGAGTAATTTCTTTTCTTTTTGCTTTTTTTAAAACCTTTTTTTAGAGACAGGGTCTTGTTCTGTCCCCTGGGCTGGAGTGCAGTGATGCATTCTTGGCTCACTGCAGACTAAATTTTCTGGGCTCAGGTGATCCTCCCACCTCAGCCTCCAGAGTAGCTGGGACTACAGGTGCATGTCACCATGCCTGGCTAATGTTTGTATTTTTTGTACAGATGGTGTCTCACTATGTTGCCCAAGCTGGTTCATTTTACTTTTCTATTGTAAGGAAATGTATTAGTTTTGTTACAGGAGTTGAGGCTGGGAGGTGATAAACTTTTTGAAAAGTCAACTTTTTCCTGAATGAATAACTAAACAATTTTTTAGGTATTAATTATTACATTAATGACTGCTTCCATATACCAGCTGAAAACCAGAGACTGGCTATGACAGAATCACCTGTGGAACTTTGTTGTTTGTTTTTGAGACTGGGTCTCACTCTGTTGCCTAAGCTGAGTGCAGTGGCCTGATCACGGTTCACTGCAGCCTTGACCTGAGCTCAAGCAGTTTCTCCTGCCTCAGCCTCTCAAGTGGCTGGACCACAGGAGTGCACCACCGTGCCCAGCTAATTTCTGATTTTTTGTAGAGACGAGGTCTTGCTCTGTTGCCCAGTCTGGTCTGAAACTCCTGGACTAAGATGATCCTCCTGTCTTGGCCTCCCAAAGTGTTGGGATTATAGGAGTGAGCCACTGCACTTGGCTGGAAGTTTTAAAACTATAACAGATCATGGCCTTGCCCTCCTAAAAATAAAGTCAGTAGGGCTGGTTAGGACTTAGACTATATTTTAAGGTTCCTAGATGATTCTTTTGCAGGCAGAGTTAAGAACCATTATATAGGCCGGGCGCGGTGGCTCACACCTGTAATCCCAGCACTTTGGGAGGCCGAGGCGGGCGGATCACGAGGGCAGGAGATCAAGACCATGCTGGCTAACACAGTGAAACCCCGTCTCTGCCAAAAAATACAAAAAATTAGCCAGGTGTGGTGGTGGGTGCCTGTAGTCCCAGCTACTTGGGAGGCTGAGGCAGGAGAATGGCCTGAACCCGGGAGGCAGTGCTTGCAGTGAGCCGAGATCGTGCTGCTGCACTCCAGTCTGGGCGACAGAGCGAGACTCCGTCTAAAAAAAAAAAAGAACCATTATATTATACACCTTATACACCAAGATTGTGGATATGTATTGACTCTTCATATATTCTGGCCCAGGAATTCCATTCCCAAATGTTTACTCAAGAGAAACTTGTAAGTTTGCACCAAGAGACATGTACAGGAGTGTTCTGATGTACTGTTTGTAATAGCAAAAGTCTAGAAACAACCCAAATGTCCACTGATTGTAGATGAATCACTATGTAGATTGTGGATAAATTGTAGTATATTCAGTAGTGAAATATCACATAGTAGTAAAAAAATAGTAATAAACTATGGCTATATGTACATGTATAACCTTAGAAATGTAACAATGTTATTTGTAGAAAGCATTTCCCAGAAGACTAAAATGTTACGATGTAATTATATTCAGAAGGAAAAGGAAAGAATGTGTTGTTTAGGCATGTGTAAATGTGTTAGGGCTGGGCACAGTGGCTCACTCTTATAATCCCAGCACTTTAGGGGGCCGAGGTGAGAGGAACAAGTACTTGAGGCCAGGAGTTTGAGATCAGCCTGAGCAACATATTGAGCCCTCATCTCTACTAAAAGTTAAAAAATTAGCCAGGTATGGAGGTGTACATCTGTAGTCTCAGCTACTCAGGAGGCCAAGGTGGAAGGATTGCTCAAGCCTAGGAGGTCAAGGCTACAGTGAGCTATGATTGCACCACTGCACTCTAACCTGGGTGACAGAGTGAGACCCTGTCTCTAAAAAAAAAAAAAAATGAAAAAATGAAAAAAAAAAGGTATTAGAATAGTGGTTACCTCTTGTAGAGGCTGAGGTAATAAATGGAGAGGAGCACATGGATATATGTAATTAATTGGTAACTTTTATTTTTTCTTGAGCTCCCATTATTCAATGAATTGGTAAATTTTAACTCTGAAAGCTGGGAAATATGTTAATGGGTGCTTATTTTATTAACTTACATTTTTATTAACTATATTTTTGTGTATGTATTAAATATTGTGTATGTATTAAATATTACATGTGTATTTAATATTACATTTGATTGGTGGACACCTTTTAGGGAGACAAGCATTAATATTTTGATATAGGTGCTTCTCTATGACTTATTAGCGTCACCCAATGAATAGCTAAAGCTAGAGTAATTGGTGGAGTTGTAGTGTATTACAGGCACCTCCCTGTAACATAGTTCACAGTTACATCTTCATTCTTATCAGTAAGGTCCTTTTAATTTCTATACACTGTCTCTTGTAAACAAATACTATCATGATAGTAGAGCTAGGTGAGACCTTTCTTAGATCGTTCAGTCCTGGGGTTATAAACTGACTGCCCATGAGTGGAACACCCACAGATGCATTATCTGTGGCCCTTAGTTAAAAAATATATATTTAATGTCATTAATCAAGAGATAGCCTATTCATTTTGCCAGACTTCATCTCTCTCTAATGTTTACATTCTGCCCAATTGTCAGTTTATCTGCTTGACCCTTGTGAGCATCTGAGTTATAAATAGACCCTTGAACTAGTCCAGCCTCCCTTGTTTTACAGATAAAGAAACTAGCAAGAGTCCATTGTATGTGAGAAGAGATTGTGGGCATTTTGGTTTTGTTGCCTGCCTGATCATTTCATTCCAGCACACTATTCCTTAATATAAATGTAAGGATTATTTCTATTATTTGTTGGTATTGCAAAAAGTGTCCATGGCTGTATTTCTTCAAAGTGAAAATGAAATTAATTGAGAAATATTATTTGATATATTAACCTTTTACATACAAGTTTTCAAAGGTACAGAAAAGGCAGAAACTGAACATTTGGATTATCCCTAATAGAGAGAAGTTGGTTAAATGTTTTCTTGCTCCCTTAAATATTGTGAAGGTAAAGATTGAATGTCTTGGCTGGGTGTGCTGATTCACACCTGTAATCCCAACACTTTGGAAGCTAAGGCAGGAGGATCACTTGAGCCTAGGAGTTAGAGACCAGCCTGAGCAACATAGTGAGACCCCAATCTCAAAATATTTTTAAAAAAGAAAACAAAGGTGTGCCTGTCTTGTTTCAATACTATATTTGGGATGGTTATATAAAAACACAGTTAATACTTTGATGTGTCTTTTTCAGCACAATGTTAGAGGTGTTGTATCTATGGCTAATAATGGCCCGAACACCAATGGATCTCAGTTCTTCATCACCTATGGCAAACAGCCACATTTGGACATGAAATACACCGTATTTGGAAAGTGAGTATTCTGGTTATGGTTTTCTTTTAGCATTTCAATGCAAGTGGTGCATATGCTTAGCTGTGACAGTAGCATAACTAATATTGAAAAGAGTGAGGCCGAGCGCAGTGCCTCACACCTGTAATCCCAGCACTTTGGGAGGCCAAGGTGGGCAGATTGTCTGAGGTCAGGAGTTCGAGACCAGCCTGGCCAATGTGGCAGAACCCCTGTCTCTACTAAAAATATTTTAAAAAATTAGTTGGATGTGGTGGCACACACCTGTAGTCCCAGCTACTCAGGAGGCTGAAGCAGGAGAATTGCTTGAACCTGGGAGGCGGAAGTTACAGTGAGCCGTGATCATGCCATTGCACTCCAGCCTGGGCGACAGAGTGAGACTCTGCCTCAAAAAAAAAAAAAAAAAATGAAAAGAAAAGAAAGAAAAGAAGAGTGGTGTGAGAGCTAAACGTACCTGGAGTTTAAGTCTACCACTTAGCAACCCTGTGACCTTGGGAAAGTTATAATCTCCCTGAGCTTTATTTTCCTTATTTTGTAAAAGAGGCCAGTAATTTTTCAATATTGTTATGCAAATTAACATAGTATATCTATTTTCTTTTTCTTTTTCTTTTTTTGAGACGAAAGGCTCTGTCGCCAGGCTGGAGTATGGTGCAGTAGCACAGTCATGGCTCATTGCAGCCTCAACCTCCTGGTCTCAAGTGATCTTCTCACCTCAGCCTCTTGAGTAACTGGAACCACAAATGTGTACCATCATGCGCAGCTACTTTAAAAAAAAAAAAAACAAAAAAAACACTTTTTTTTTAGAGACATGGTCTCACTATGTTGCCCAGGCTGGTCCATTTTCATTAATGATAGCATTTCACAGCAACTAACAGATCTGAAAAATAGTGGCTTAAACAAGATGGACTGGCATGGTGGTTCCATTTTGTTACCAGTGTTCTAGGCGCCTCTGTCATAATATTGGCAGCACAGCTCTTATCAAAACTTCTGTGTATCAGGGAGGAAAGGGGAGGAAAGACAAAAGGTGCTTGCCAGCTGATTCACCTTTTTTAATTAACAGAACTTTCCCAGGCCTGTAATCCCAGTGCTTTGGGAGGCTGAGACAGGAGGATCACTTGAGGCCAGGAGTTCAAGACCAGCCTGTGGAACATAGCAGAACCCATCTCTATAAAAAAAATTTAAAAATTAGCCAAGTGTGGTGACACACACCTGTAATCCCAACTACTCAGGAGGCTGAGGTGGGAGAATCACTTGAGCCCAGGAGTTCCAGGCTGCATGAGCTGAGATCACACTTCTGTACTCCAGCCTGGGCAACAATGATACCCTATCTCTAAAAAAAAAAAGATAGAAAAAAAGAAAAGCCGGGTGCGGTGGCTCACACCTGTAATCCCAGCACTTTGGGAGGCCAAGGAGGGCAGATCATGAGGTCAGGAGATCAAGACCATCCAGGCCAACATGGTGAAACCCCATCTCTACTAAAAATACAAAAATTAGCTGGGTGCGGTGGTGCGTGCCTGTAATTCCAGCTACTCAGGAAGCTGAGGCAGGAGAATGGCTTGAACCCTGGAGGTGGAGATTGCAGTGAGCCAAGATTGCGCCACTGCACTCCAGCCTGGTGACAAAGCGAGACTCCGTCTCAAAAAAAAAAAACTTTCCCAGAAGACCCAGAACTTAGTAATGTGACCACTCCTTACCTACAATGGAGGGTAGAAAATGTATTTCAGCCACATTGCCACCCTTACTAAAATTAGATTTCTCCGAGTAAGAAGAATGGCTCCTAGGAAGGTATTTCACAGTTTCTGCCAGGGTATCTATTAAGAGTACTATGTCTGGGAGTTGCTTTTATAAATCAGTGGGAAGTCAATTTGTCTGTTCGTTCAACAAATAATTATCATGCTTAATAAACCAAGGCACAATTCTAGAGTTTGTTCTATTTAATAGTTTGGATGCCAAATTAGGTTAATTAAAAATAGAGGACTCCCAGTCTAGGTAACATAGTGAAACCCCGTCTCTACAAAAAAATTTAAAAATTATCCAGGTGTGGTGGCTCACACCTATGGTCCCAGCTACTTGGGAGGCTGAAGTGAGAGGATTGCTGGGCTCAGGGTGTCAAGGCTGCAGTGAGATCTAGACAGATCTTTTCTTTTTCATTCCATATACATGTATCTAATTTACACATTAATAATAATCAAGGAGAAAAGAAATATTACAACATCTAGTAGTTTTTTTATGTTTGTAAATAACCCAGTTTCCCTCTTATTTTCTCCCTTAACCAACATCATTCAAAATTATTGTTCAGTTATTACCAGGACTCATTTTACTGGATTTGCGACAAAACTGTAGAGTTTAGAACAAAGATTAACCTTAGGTTCATTAATTCCTTGTTTGTTGTATACAGATGCACACACATTTTTCTGGGAAGATGATCCAGTAACTTTCCTCTAGTTCTCCAAGGGGTCCGTTTCCCATATACTTGACTCTACTTAACTGCCTCAGTTCTACCTGCTGGGTTTTTTTAACTTTTTACCTGAGACCTATGTTTTCTACCTCCTCTGTTTCTCTTACTGACCTAGAAGGTGGGATAGCCTTTAAGACTTATAATTTAAAGACTTAAATGTCTATATTTAGGGGTAAAATCAAAATGTTTTGGTTGAAGTACCCATTTTGTGAAAATGCAAAATAAAATGCAAATCTGCTAATTTTTTTTTTTTTTTTTTTTTGAGACAGAGTCTCACTCTGTCGCCCAGGCTGGAATGCAGTGGCGCCATCTCAGCTCACTGCAAGCTCACCCTCCTGGGTTCACGCCATTCTCCTGCCTCAGCCTCCCAAGTAGCTGGGACTACAGGCGCCCGCCACCGCGCCCGGCTAATTTTTTGTATTTTTAGTAGAGACGGGGTTTCACCATGTTAGCCAGGATGGTCTCAATCTCCCGACCTCGTGATCCGCCCGCCTTGGCCTCCCAAAGTGCTGAGATTACAGGCGTGAGCCACTGCGCCAGGCCTACAAATCTGTTAATTTTTTAAAGTACATACCAGTGGTTGAGAATCCCTAATCTGAAAATTAAAAATTAGGAACTTTTTGAGCACTGACATGATGCCACAAGTAGAAAATTCCACATCTGACCTCATGTGACGGGTTGCAGTCAAAATGCAGTCAGATGACCAGGTGCAGTGACTCACGCTTGTAATCCTAGCACTTTGGGAGGCCAAGGCGGGCAGATCACGAGGTCAAGAGATCAAAAGCCACTCTTTCTTAGCAAATGTTTTAGACTGAAATTTCCAAAACTTGTATTTGAAGAATAGCTCTCAATATATTTTTTCTTGGTGGTAACATGAAGTGGGATTGCTGGAGGCTGTTAACTGTCAGTCTTCTCTTCTCCTATTTTTATTACTTCTTGTTGTTATCCAGAAGCAAAAAGTAGAAATGCCATAATTAGGCCAGACGTGGTGGCTCATGCCTATAACCCCAGCACTTTGGGAGGCTGACGTGGGCAGATCACTTGAGGTCAAGAGTTTGAGACCAGCCTGGCCAATGTGGTGAAATCCCATCTCTACTAAAAACACAAAAATTAGCTGGGCATGGGGGCATGTGCCTGTAGTCCCAGCTGCTTGGGAGGCTGATGCAGAATTGCTTGAACCTGAAGGAAGAGGCTACAATGAGTCGAGATAGTGCTACTGCACTCCAACCTGGGCAATGGAAGTGAGACTCCATCTCAAAAAAAAAAAAAAAGAAAGAAATACTATAATTAAACAATTAACTGCTGGGCTTGGTGGCTCATGCCTGAATCCCAACACTTTGGGAGGCCAAGGCGGGCGGATCACCTGAGGTCAGGCCAGACCAGCCTGGCCAACATGCTGAAACTCCGTCTCTACTAAAAATACAAAAATTAGCCAGGCGTGGTGGTAGGCTCCTATAATCCCAGCTACTTGGGAGGCTGAGGCAGGAGAATTGCTTGAACCCAGGAGGAGAGGTTGCAGTGAGCCGAGATCACACCATTGCACTCCAGTCTGGGGGACCAGAGCGAGACTTCATCTCAAAAAAAAAAAAAACAAGTACAAAGTGGAGTGGTCACCTACTTTAGGACTCTCATTGTAGGGCAGTATTGCTAATAGTGTCATCTACATACTTTCTCCATGTATTTCCTGTAGCAAAGAAATCTTTATGACTAGTGTGTTGTAATAAGACATACATATTTGGACTTCATCCGTGGTTTCCAGCATAGTTCTTTTAAAAACCTTGCAATTTCCTGAGTGACAGGAGTGAAAGGAATATTTTATTGTTCATAATAAACCCCATTCAACCATACCTGAGTTTATGCTAATGAGGTGACTCTTGGTGGGGTTCTAGATAGCTTCAGTATGGAGGGCTGGTTGCCAGAGGAATCAGCCATGTATTTTTAGAGGGGTGGAACATTCAGTGACCTCCTATTCTTGACCTCTGGGAAGGAGAGAAGGGCTGGAGATTGAGTTCCAGTCACTAGTGGCCAGTGATTTAATTAATCGTGCCTACCTAATGTGCCCTCCGTAAAAACCCTAAACAGGGTTTGAGAGCTTCCAGGTTGGTGAACACAAGTAGATACTAAGAGGGTAACACACCCCGAGAAGAGCATGGAAGCGCTGTGCCCCTCTCTCAGACTTTGCCCTATGCATCTCCTCCATTTGGTTGTTCCTGAGTTGTAACCTTTATAATAGCCCATAGTAATAAATAAAGTGCTTTCCTAAGTTCTATGAGCCATTTTTGAAAATTATTGAACAGAGCTGGGGGGCATGAAAAATCCCAAATTATATCATGGTTAGTCAGATAGTACAGATCACAATCGGGACTTGGAACTGGCATCCGAAGTGGTAGGGGCTGTCTTGTGGGATTAACCGGGGTCTCTGTTCACTCCTTGTAGTTAGTGTCACAATTAAATTATAGGGCCAGGTGTGGGGGCATGCATTTGTAGTCCCAGTGAGATCCTGTCTTTAAAAAATTAAATAAAATTTTGAAAAAATAATCAAGTTGTGGGATACCCAGAGAATTGGAGAACTGGGAAAACCCACACATTTGGTGTTGGAAGTATGAAAGTGTAGAAAAACAGTTTGTTTTCCCTTTAACTGGTTATATTAGTCCCATTTGTAGCTGTTCTCTGTCACTGTATGAATGGGGTAGAATATAATTTTAGGTACTATGGTGGAAATATTCCTACCCTTTGTATTGTTGACTAAGGGCATAAAAGTAAATTATTTCTGAATTTTGATCCATATCTATGATGGAAAATCAACATTTTGTTGTACATTCAACTAGAGAACTCAGAGATCTGTAAGACTTGATTATTTTTTAAGGAGACTGTAATTGTCATAGATATGGATATCATGTTTCAATTTAAGGAAATTTTCATATGTTATGTTGTTTCTCTTTCAGGGTAATAGATGGTCTGGAAACTCTAGATGAGTTGGAGAAGTTGCCAGTAAATGAGAAGACATACCGACCTCTTAATGATGTACACATTAAGGACATAACTATTCATGCCAACCCATTTGCTCAGTAGCTATGATAGACCTGGACAAATAACTTGACAAATTGCTGGAACACACTTATTGTGGTTTACCCGGTTTTAATTATGTCAGAGATTGCATCATCCTTCTGCTTGTTTACAACTATGATCTTCTATGAAATGGTGGTACCAAGGGGCGCCCAACAGCTTTTATCCCCATTCTTAGAGCATATTCTTTATTATAATGATTATCCAACATATTTCTTTAATTTTAATACAAAAAATACATCATTTAATTTTTGTTACATATGAACATTCATTTTTAAATGCTCAGCCTCAAGTGCAGGCATTTTTGAGTGGCCTGATTACATATTCCTCCCACAGCAAGTCCGTATCCTGGAAGTGTTATTTTATAATAAAATTTAAAAAGTTTTAAAGAATTAAATCGTAGGACAAATTAATTAAAATATTGTGTAAAATTACCTTCAGGCTATGTGTATAAGGTATATATGAAACGTAAATGAACTTCATGTTTAAATTTGGGTCTCATCTCCAAGATATCTTATTATGTATATGCAAGTATCCCCAAATCTGAAAATTTGGGTATTCCTGAAACTGATACTAACGGTAAGAGCTCTACCATTAATTATTCACTTTATACAGTTAGAAAGAGGAGGGACAGGATAAAAAGTTAGTCTGGAAAGGCCAGCCAATCCATTTGCTATTTTCTCTGATTTTTTTTTTTTTCTTTTTGAGACGGAGTCTTGCTCTTTTACCCGGGCTGGAGTGCAGCGGGTCACTGCAACCCCTGCCTCCCAGGTTCAAGTGATTCTCCTGCCTCAGCCTCCCAAGTAGCTGGGACTACAGGTGCACACCACCATGCCCAGCTACTTTTTGTATTTTTTTTTTCAGTAGAGACGGGGTTTACAGAGACCATGTTGGCCAGGATGGTCTTGATCTTTTGACCTCATGATCTGCCCACCTCGGCCTCCCAAAGTGCTGGGATTACAGGTGTGATCTTTAGGTTTACAGTAAAGGCTCTCAGAGGTCCTGGAGGCCGAGTGTGGTGGCTGACGCCTATAATCCCAGCACTTTGGGAGGCCAAGATGGGCAGATCACGAGATCAGGAGATCAAGACCATCCTGGCTAACATGGTGAAACCCTGTCTCTACTAAAAATATAAAAAATTAGCTGGGCATGGTGGCGGGTGCCTGTAGTCCCAGCTACTTGGGAGGCTGAGGCAGGAGAATCACTTGAACCCGGGAGGCAGAGGTTGTAGTGAGCCAAGATCGAGCCATTGCACTCCAGCCTGGGTGACAGTGGGAGACTCCATCTCAAAAAAAAAAAAAAAAAAAAGATGTCTTGGAATACAGTAAACACTCAACATTTCCCAACTGATTTGCTCATGGACTTTTTTTTTTTTTTTTGAGACATAGTCTCACTCTTGTCACTCAGGCTGGAGTGCAATGGCACAATCTCGTCTCACTGCAACCTCCGCCTCCCGGGCTCAAGTGATTCTCCTGCCTCAGCCTCCCGAGTAGCTGGGATTACAGGCATCTGCCACCATGCCTAGCTATTGTTTTTTTGTGTTTTTAGTAGAGACAGGGTTTCACCATGTTGGCCAGGCTGGTCGTGAGCTCCTGACCTCAGGTGATCCGTCCACCTTGGCCGCCCAAAGTGCTGGGATTACAGGCGTGAGCCACCACACCCGGCCTGCTCATGGACATTTTTTAAGGCATATCTTTTTTTTTTTTAATTTTAGATTCAGCAGGTACATGTGCAGGTTTGTTACAAGTGTATAATGCATGGTGCTGAGGTTTGGGCTTCTACTGATCCTGTCACCCAGACAGTGAACATAGTGCCCAAAAGGAAGCTTTTCAGCCCTTGCCCCTGCCCCTTCCTCCTTTTTTGGAGTCCCCAGTGTCCACTGTTCCCATCTTTTTGTCCATGTGAATCCAAGATTTAGCTCCCATTTATTGTAACTGAATGCAGGCTGGGCTGCACGCCACTTGCAAAGTCAACAACAAGGAGGAGATGCAGGAAAAGGAAAGTGACTTTATTCCAGAGCTAGCAGTGGGGAAATGGCCAAAGCTAGTACCTTAAAGAAATCATTTTGAACTTTAGGCTGGGGAGAGGTGCTTAAAAAGGGAACTTAGAATGGGAGGCATGCGGGAGTGGTGCAGGGTTTCAGATCTCTGTGGCTTGCTGTAGTGGCTATCTTGAGTTGTGGTCCACCTGGAGTGGGGGCTGGCATCATCTCAACAATGGCTGGGTTGTTGACTAACCACCTTAAGGTAATCTCTGGAATTTTGCAGCTGGGTCTCCAAGCCTGGTATATGTCATGATTAGCCCTTGATGGGCCAGGCACAGTGGCTCACACCTATAATCGCAGCACTTTGGGGAGGCCAAGGTGGGAGGATCACCTGAGCCCAGGAGTTTTAGATCGGCCTGGGCAACGTAGTGAGACCTTGAATCTACTAAAAATTGAAAAAAAAAAAAAAAAAAAAAAAAAGCCGGATGTGGTAGCCCCAGCTACTTAAAAGGCTGAGGTGGGAGGATTGCTTGAGCTAGGGAAGTAGAGACTGCAGTGATCCATGGTCGTGCCACTGGACTCCAGCCTGGGCAAGAGAGTTAAGACCCTATAGATAAGAGTGTATAGTGTAAGTTTAACAAGTGTACAGTTAGATAAATGTGCATAGTATAAGGGAGTGTGAGGCGGGAAAGGGAGGGAAACGGTTTTAACAAGACTACATTCTGAAATTAAGAAAGAAAGGGCCAGGCACGGTGGCTCACGCCTGTAATCCCAGCACTTTGGGAGGCTGAGGCAGGCGGATCATGAGGTCAAGAGATCGAGACCATCCTGGCCAACATGGTGAAACCCCGTCTCTACTAAAAATACAAAAATTAGCTGGCCGTGGTGGCACGCGCCTGTAGTCCCAGCTACTTGAGAGGCTGAGGCAGGAGAATTGCTTGAACCTGGGAGGCAGAGGTCGCAGTGAGCCGAGATTGCACCACTGCACTCCAGCGTGGAAACAGAGACTTCTGTCTCAAAAAAAAAAGGAAAAAAAAAACTTTAAAATGCATTTCAAGGCTAGGATACTTGGTTATATTACAAGTGAGAACATAAGGCATATCTCTGAAAATATTGAAGAGTGGAGCTTTACAGAATATCCATTTGAAAAATGCAATGAACTAGTTAAAGGCACCAGTTTGTGGAGTTCTGGTCTGTGTTTGAATCACAGCTGTGTCCCTTACAGTGTAACTTTAAGCAAGTTAACATCTTCAAGCTTTAGTATTCTCATCCATAAATAATACCTCAGAAGACAATTGTGAGGGTTAAATGTGTGTAAAGCTTCTGGCATGTAGTAAGTAAGTAGAAGCTGCTGTCCTAACATTCATGTCCACCACAGGGCTCTCACCTCATCAAGCCATTCATTGGGTTCTACCACTGATTTCATCAAGACCATATTCTGCCCACTGCCTAGATCACAGTGGTTGGATTTGGGTGTTCCTAAAACTTATACCAGCCGAGCGTAGTGGCTCATGCCTGTAATTCCAGCCCTTTGGGAGGCCAAGGCGGGCAGATCACCTGAGGTTGGGAGTTCGAGACCAGCCTGACCAACATACAGAAAACCTGTCTCTATTAAAAATACAAAATTAGCTGGGCGTGGTGGCACATGCCTATAATCCCAGCTACTCGGGAGGCTGAGGCAGGAGAATTGTTTGAACCCCGGGAGGCGGCGGTTGCGGTGAGCTGAGATCGTGCCGTTGGACTCCAGCCTGGGTGACAAGAGCAAAACTCCGTCTCAAAATGTTTGTCTTGGCATCAGTTCTTGGTTTGTCTCATTTCTTCCAATGGCTGGTCTAATTAATGTTTTGATTCTTTCTTGACTAGTTTGGAGTTAGCTTACAGCTATCCTCTTGTCACCATTTATATCTTCCACTAAACTGAGGTGCTTTTTACTAGCAGCGAATCTGTATCCGTACAGGTCTGCAGCAACCTCAATTCTTGCCTCCTCAGAAGAAAGAATTCGACTGAGGGGCAGAAGGAGAGGGTGAGGCACGTTTTAGAGCAAGAGTGAAAGTTTATTAAAAAGCTTTAGAGGAGGAATGAAAGAAAGGGAAGTACGCTTGGAAGAGGACCAAGCGGGCGACTTGAAAGATAAATGTGTGGCTTGAGCTTTTGACTTGGCGTTTTATACACTGGCATACTTCCAAGGTCTTGCATTACTTCTCCCCACTTGCCCAACTCCTGAGATCTTATTGGGAAGCTGCTGCTCACCAGTTTCAGGTGTTTTCTATTAGGAGACTGCCGTTCCCTGGTGCCAGCTGTGACCAATTACTACTTCAGCAAGAGAGTTAATAACCGCCTGACCATCTCACCTGATGGTTGCCCGACACTCCTAGTGTGTGTTTGGGGGAGCCATCTCCTGCTTTGTTCATACCTGACTAGCTACCCACCGTAACAGTGCCAGTTATACTAGTGACTTTTTTTTTTTTTTGAGACAGAGTCTCACTCTGTCGCCTGGGCTGGAATGCAGTGGCGCAATCTCGGCTGACTGCAACCTCTGCCTCCAGGGTTCAAGCAATTCTTTTTTTTTTTTTTTTTTTTTGAGATAGAGTCTCACTCTATTGCCCAGGCTGGTACGCAATGTCGCGATCTTGACTCACTGCAACCTCCATCTCCCGGGTTCAAGCAATTCTGCCTCAGCCTCCCAAGTAGCTGGGATTACAGGTGAGCACCACCACGCCTTGCTAGTTTTTGTATTTTTAGTAGAGACAGTTTCAGCATGTTGGCCAGGGTGGTCTCAAACTCCTGACCTCATGATCCACCCACCTTGGCCTCCCAAAGTGTTGGGATTACAGGCGTAAGCCACCGCACCCGGCATACTAATGACTTTACATTTTGTTTCACTTTTAAAATTTTAATCATTTAAGTTTCTAGACTTAGTATTAAGGCCTTTCTTTGGCCAGACCTTGTTTTGCCACTTTTTTTTTTTTTTTTTTTGAGACGGAGTATTGCTCTGTTGCCCAGGCTGGAGTGCAATGGTGGATCTCGGCTCACTGCAACCTCTACCTCCTAGGTTCAAGCAATTCTCCTGCCTCAGCCTCCCGAGTAGCTGGGATTACAGGTGCCTGTCACCACGCCCGGCTAATTTTTTGTATTTTTAATAGAGACGGGGTTTCACCATCTTGGCCAGGCTGGTCTTGAACTCCTGATCTCGTGATCCACCCGCCTTGGCCTTCCATAGTGCTGGGATTACAGGCGTGAGCCACTGCGTCTGACCTCCTCCAAGTTTTATTCTAAACTCTGCCACTTTTAATTAGTGGTGCAAATATGTTTTTTTTGATTTTAGGAGTGTTAGTCCAAACTGCACCATTTTGTAAATCCTGCCCCCCCACCGCCCTGCCCCGTTTCCCCAGCCCTGCCTGGTCTCCCCCACCCTCTATTTTGCAGACCTTGGTCAAAGTGAAACATTCCACAGGGGTTCGGGCTGTGAGAAACATCCTGCCTAACCACCTGACCACAAAACGGACAAAGGCGCAACTAAAGAAACACCCCTATCATATTCTGCCGGGAGAAAGTGCAAAGAACACCACATTCCCGGGGGGTCGTGGTGGCTCACGCCTGTAATCCCATCACTTTGGGAGGCCGAGGCGGGTGGATCATCTGAGGTCAGGAGTTTCTACTAAAAATACAAAAAGTAGCGAGGGGTGGTGGCGCACGCCTGCAGTCCCAGCTACTGGGGAAGCTGAGACAGGAGAATCGCTTGAATTCAGGAGGCGGAGGTTGCAGTGAGTGGAGATCGCGCCACTGCACTCCAGCCTGGGCGACAGAGCAAGACTCCGTCTCAAAAACAAAACAAAACAAAAAAAACTACCACCACATTCTGCGGGAACAAGGGCCAGAACCGCCTCATTATGGGAACATCTTAACATCCTGCAGGGCAGCAAGTCAGCAAGCCATATGGCCCAGGCCCCTCCCGCCCTTACCTAAAAGTACCCCACTGGTGGGCACTGGCATTAGGCTGGTTCCCCACTTCTGTAGGTCTTAGGCTGGACATAAAGCCCGCAGTTGCTGTAGAGCTGCCACTCTGTATCTTTAACGCTGGCCTTCCCTTCAAAACTTATCAAGGAGCTTATTTTTAGAATGTGTGCTCAGTTACGGCCATAAAAGTATCATAGACAGGGAGGTATGCTGGCTGCCCACGTTGGGCCTGATGCAGGCACCATGAGGATCAAGGTGCAGAACATTGATTTCTGTTGGCTCACACTGATCCCATTAGTAATTTGAAGCCATCTGACGCTAGTGGTATATTTTATTTATTTATTTATTTTTTAGAGACGGGTCCCGCTATGCTGCCCAGGCTGGTCTCGAAATCCTGGGCTCAGCGATCTGCTCGCCTCGGCCTCCCAAAGTGCTAGGGTTACAGGCGTGACCCACCGCGCCGTGAAGTATTAGTTTTAAAGCAATTGTTTTAGTGGTCGCTAACAGGGTACATGCTACTGTGTATACTGATTCCCTCACTTTTCCTTGTTCACAAGTTGTTCCTTGTTCTAGAGTTCAAAAACTATCAGTGAGTGGGGACAACACGCCGACGGCTTCCTTTCATCCGCCACAGCGGGCTCTGGTTCCCTCCCTGGCGCCTGCGCCCACGATGGTCGCGCGCGCGACACGCCCGCCCTTTCCGCCTGCTCGCCCCGTGCATGACCCGCCCCGCGGCGGAGACGCGCTCGCTGCGTCATCAGTGTTTTCGAGACGAGTCTCGACGCAGCAGCTGTCAGCTCCATTTTGTTGTTGGTGCGCGACGCAGTCAGCTGCGTGATTCCCGTGATTGCGTTACAAGCTTTGTCTCCTTCGACTTGGAGTCTTTGTCCAGGACGGTAAGACGCAGGAGGGAGCGGACTAGGTGACAGGGCCGTTCCTGTGAGCCTCGCGGGCGCCTGGCGATGCCCCCTTTTCCTGCTTGTTTGCTGCCCGCCGTCCCCGGCGCGACGACTGCCTGCTCCCTTCACTCCCAGGCTGCACAGTGGCGGCGCGCCCCTCTTTCCTGCGCGGCCGAGCCTGTCGCCGCCGGATCCGGCCTGCGGGGGTAGTTACGGTGTTTGCTAGGCCGGCCGCCCTCTTGGAGCTTCTGCCCTCCGCTGAGGAAGCGGCGCCGCCTGACGCGGGACGGTCGGGCGGGCGCCATGTTGTGAACCGCCTCGGCGGAGCTGTAAGATGGCGGCTGGGCGGAGGCCGGCTTCGGCCCTGTGGCCGGAAAGGCGAGGCTCCCCGTTGAGGGGGGATTTGCTGGGGTTCCAGAATGTGCGTGAGCCAAGCAGCTGTGGGGAAACGTTGTCTGGAGTAAGTGGAGAAAGAGACGGAACCCGTAGGGGTTACAGTTAATGTCTAATGATGAAAGTGTCGGCGTAAACATCGCGAGTGGCTTTGTCCTCAGTGGTGTTAACAAAAACCAGATTTAGGAACCCAAGGAAAGAGAAATGCTGGGGTGTATTTGAAGGAGCGTTGTGACAGAAGTCAGGTGACCGAGAATTTTATGCGATGGCGTTTCAGCCACTCCTCTTGGGTTAGCAGTTGGAGCTTTTTTCTTTTCTTGGAGTCTCGCTCTGTCGCCCAGGCTAGAGTGTAGTGGCGCGATCTCGAGTCACTGCAGCCTCCGCCTCCCGGGTTCAAGCGATTCTCCTGCTTCAGCCTCCGGGATAGCTGGGATTACAGGCGCCCGCCACGACGCCGGGCTAATGTTTGTATTTTTAGTAGAGACAGAGTTTCACCATATTAAGCTGGCCTCAAACTGTTGACCTCAGGTGATCCATCCGCTTCGGCCTCCCAAAGTGCTGGGATTACAGGTGTGAGCCACTGCGCCCAGCCTCCTTTTTTTCTTTTTTGAGACAAGGTCTCGCCCCTGTCGCCCCGGCCGGAGTGCAAGTGGCGCAATGACGGCTCACTGCAGCTTCGACATCTGGGCTCAGGTGATCTTCCCACCTCAGCCTCCTGAGTAGTTGGGACTACAGGCGCGCGCCACCACTCCTGGTTAATTTTTTATTTTTTATAGAGGCGGGGTCTCTCTATATTACCCTGGCTGGTCTCGAATTCCTGGGCTCAAGCAGCCCTCCTGCTTCGGCCTCCCAAAGTGCTGGGGTTACAGGCATAAGCCACGGCCCCCGACCCAATTGGAGGGCTTTAAAAATTATACTCAGGCTGGTCCAATGGTAGTGGGTTATCAGAACTTAATAGTTATTAGTGTCACGAAAATTAGTATACAACCCCTACCGCTAAATTTGACTGGCGTTAAAAAAAAAAGAATTGTAGCGGAAGACACAGAGGGGTCCCGCCGGTAAGAAAGAACGGCAGTTGATGAAGTAATTTCTGTATAATGTCTTTTTCAAGTTGTTAGGTTAGAGATTTTCGATTTTGCTCGAAGCATTTCTGAAAAGAAGGTGGCTCCTACCATTCCCAAAAAGATTGTGTTAACATTGCGTTTAGGATAAATTATGTTGTATGTGCTTGGGAGTGGTACTGGAAAGATGGTGTTTTGTTGTTTTTATATTCTGATGCCACCGTTGCCTTCGTGTGTGATTAAAGTCCTTGGTAGTTTCATTTGTCCGTTTACGGAAATGCTCTGTAATGATGATTCTGTCAGCAACTCAGATATAACTCTGATTACGTTTGCAGTAATCAGTAATGCGGTGTTGGTGAGGAACATTTATGATTGCATTTGAGTTGGAGACTAGTTTCTGGTACACGTTTAAACGGGGAGAATGACGTGTGTTTCACGTGTCTGTGAAGAGACCACTAAAGGCAGGCTTTGTGTGAGCAACATGGCTGTTTATTTCACCTGGGTGCAGGCGGGCTGAGTCAGAAAAAGGAGTCGGCAAAGGGTGGTGGGATTATCATTAGTTCTTATAGGTTTTGGGATAGGCGGTGGAGTTAAGAGCAATGTTTTGGGAGCAGGGGGCGGATCTCACAAAGTACATTCTCAAGGGCGGGGAGAATTACAAAGAACCTTCTTAAGGGTGGGGGAGATTATAAAGAACCTTCCTAAGGGTGGGGGAGATTACAAAGTATATTGATCAGTTAGGTTGGGGCAGAAATAAATCACAATGGTGGAATGTCATCAGTTAAGGCTATTTTTACTTTTTTTGTGGATCTTCAGTTGCTTCAGGCCATCTGGATGTATACGTGCAGGTCACTGGGGATATGATGGCTTAGCTTGGGCTCAGAGGCCTGACAGCGTGGACTTCTATAGTGCTATATTTGTACTACTGGGAGGGCAGGGGTAAAATGTACCAAAATTAGTAAATTGTGATTCCTCCCTCTACTTTTTTCACTTTTTTTTTTTTTTGCATTCTTCCAATAAATCTGGGCATGATATGGCTAATGCAGAGTGCCTGTGAATGAAGTTCAAACTGCAGAATATGGGACAACACAGTAATTGGATTTATCAGTGATTTCAGATTGGGTGATAATGATTCTTGAATTTTGGTCTTAAAACGAGGTCACGAGGGGACCTTTGTAATTACGAATTTTAAACAGCTCAGTGTGGGGTACAATTTAACTAGGAAAAACTTGCCTTTTATGTAGATGAGACACTCAAAGAGAACTTACTGTCCTGATTGGGATGACAAGGATTGGGATTATGGAAAATGGAGGAGCAGCAGCAGTCATAAAAGAAGGAAGAGATCACATAGCAGTGCCCAGGAGAACAAGCGCTGCAAATACAATCACTCTAAAATGTGTGATAGGTAAGGAGGATACTTAAAATGTCTGAATATAACAATACATTACTAGACAAAACTAGTATCACTTAAAATAAGTACCTGATTACTACCATTCGTTTGTTTCCAATGAGAGATTTTGATGGTTTGTAATGTTTGTAAAATTAAGCTGCTTGTGGGGGAGTCTAGGTGCTGTCTTGAAGAGAATGTGAGGATATTTGGTCTTAGCATAAAACATTGAAAATAATTTTTATTTCTCTAGCCATTATTTGGAAAGCAGGTCTATAAATGAGAAAGATTATCATAGTCGACGCTACATTGATGAGTACAGAAATGACTACACTCAAGGATGTGAACCTGGACATCGCCAAAGAGACCATGAAAGCCGGTATCAGAACCATAGTAGCAAGTCTTCTGGTAGAAGTGGAAGAAGTAGTTATAAAAGCAAACACAGGATTCACCACAGTACTTCACATCGTCGTTCACATGGGGTATGAACGTTTTTAAAACATTTTGGAAATTTTATATCCCATGTGGAACAGGGAAACTTGAATTTTTGTGTTTGATTATTTGAGAAAGTTTTAAGATGAAATCATCTCAGTTTTAACCTGCAGGATTTTTTCTGTGTTTGTGCATTGGATAGGAAATTCCGGAAATAAAGTACACATTTAGTTCTATAATTTAATTATTGGTTGGCTCCTAATTGACATTCCAGTGAAATGATGGGAGTTAATTGATTTAATTTAGATTAGTTGAAAATTATTACAAAATATTCTAAAAGGGTTTTTTGTGGTACTTCAAGAAACCTGATTAGTTTTGATCTATTGAAATCACAAAAGTAGAACAGGGCATTTTATTTTTGTATAATTTAGGATTAGGTATGCTTCTTTGTTCTAACAAGTCATGTTTTCTAACCCTTCTTTCACTAAGCAAACCAGAACAGATTTGAACTGTTATGGGTTATATATTAGTATGGAGATCAGCTCAGATGACATTAAAAATGCCGTAGTGTTATTCTTGTATGCCAAATCTTTTTTTCCCCAAAATTAGCACTTTAATTTTATTTACTGTTATAATATTTGTTTTCTTAGATTAGGTAGGAAATCTTAATTTGGCCACCGCCTACTTTGACAAGTAAATATTACATCATACGATTTTGCAACATTAAATTAGAACACTAGAAACTAAAAAATTATGTTTCAGTGAATGCTACAACTAAGCATTTTTTTTTTTTAAGAAAAACAATTGTATTATGTTTTGTTGCCTTGCCACTTTGAGTATCTTATCTGAAAATCTGTTCCTTGCCATGTTTTTCTCCTGTTAACATAAACTATGTGCCCTGTGAATTTCTGGGGACTGAATTTGAAATTGCTCCTGCCAACCGTTTGTGGCCTGGCGTGTATCTGAATGCCTGAATATCTCCCCGCTGAATGAATTTCGTATTCTGCCCTGAATTCACTCGGGTATATTGATTGGCTGGATGATCTTGGTGCCGCCCACTTGACGTTTCCAGAAGAGTCACCGAAGGAAAAGAACCAGGAGTGTAGAGGATGATGAGGAGGGTCACCTGATCTGTCAGAGTGGAGACGTACTAAGTGCAAGATGTATAGAATATTTTTCAACACTTATTAACTTTTCAGATAACATAATCTATATATAGATTAAGCTTTCAGGGATTTGGAAATCTTTTTTTCTTTCTCTTTTTTGTTTTTGTTTTATTTTTCCATTTCTTTTGGTGGGGGGGATTGTATTTTTGCTTTCTTTAGAAATGTAATGTTTGTTATATAGAACTTCCAGAACAGTAATCAAATTAATGAAATTAGACCTAATAATTATGTTTTTTGATGGTGTTGACCAATAAAATATCTAGTGATAAGGAAATTTGTAGCATCAACTAGAATAATCTACATTGATAGCATTTATTGTGATAAGTACATTGTTTCCACTTCTTGATATGACTGAGATTTATTTCTCTCTTTTAGATGAAATTGTTGATACTTTAGGTGAAGGAGCTTTTGGAAAAGTTGTGGAGTGCATCGATCATAAAGCGTAAGTTTCCCATGTTGGGATTACTTTTAGGGAAGTTGGCAATACAGGTAATTGATTTAGCTTTAGAAAGTGGTCTGACCATGAGTTAGATACATATCTTTATACCCTTTTTTACTTGGATGTAAGACACTTCCAGTTAAGAGGTACTTGCCCCTTCATATTTTTTAAACAGCTACTAATAGTATGTATAATTTCTAATTTTAGGCTGAGAACACACTTTATATTGTTTTGAAAGTATTGTTTTGTTGTTCAACTGGACACTGTTGTTAGGCCATATTTTTTTCCCCCACCATATTAGTGGTTCTCAGCCTTGGTTTTATGTTAAGATCCTCCTCGAGAGGTTTGCCTACCCCAGACCTTTTCAGGGTAGTTACCTAGGAATCTATATTTTTAGGAAGTGCTGTAATTCATTCTGATAACATAGCTGGAGATAACTTGGTGTCCCAAGTTTAATTATGTATGTTTATCAAACTACTGATTGAAATTTTTTTTTTTCTCGAGACAGAGTCTCGCTCTGTCACCCAGGGTGGAGTGCAGTGGCGCAATCTCAGCTCACTGCACCCTCTGCCTCCCGGGTTCAGGTGATTGTTCTGCCTCAGCCTCCTGAGTAGCTGGAACTACAGACACGCGCCACCATGCCCAGCTATTGTTTGTATTAGTATTGTATTGTTTGTATTAGTAGAGACTATGTTGGCCAGGCTGGTCTCGAACTCCTGACCTCAGGTGACCTGCCCACCTCAGCCTCCCAAAGTGCTGGGATTACAGGCATGAGCGCTTGGCTCCAGCCATGAAATTTCTTAAGATAGTATAGAATTTTTTCCGTTACTCTTTTTTTTTAGTTCCCTGTTTGTTGTTGTTGTTGTTGTTGTTGTTATTGTTCTTCCTCTTCCTGAATGGCAAAGCATTTTTGAGGGGGCTTCCTACTATTGATTGGTAAGGACATGAGAGCTAGAGCTCTTTTTTTGTTTATTTTTCTTTTCCCTGAGATGGAGTCTTGGTCTGTCGCCCAGGCTGGAGTGCAGTGGTGCAATCTTGGCTCACTGCAACCTCCACCTTCCGAGTTCAAGTAATTCTCCTGCCTCAGCCTCCCAGGAAGCTGGGATTACAGGCACACACCACCGTGCCTGGCTAATTTTCATATTTTTGGTAGAAATAGGGTTTCACCATGTTGGTCAGGCTGGTCTCGAACTTCTGACCTCAAGTGATTTACTACCCTCGGCCTCCCAAAGTGCTGGGATTATAGGCGTGAGAGCCACTGCTCCCGGTCCTAGAGCTCTTTACTCTTTCCCCACTGTATCCTAACTCTTTTGGCAACCTGGACTAAAAGAACATTTGAGATAATGTTTGACAGTGACAGGTACCATATAGGAAGAAGTTGTTTAGCTGAAATACCAAAAAATAACTCATGTGAGTGGTGGTTTGATGAAAGAAATTTGTGTCATTCAGCATGTAATAGAATCAGAACTGAACACTAAACCATAAATTAAAAAAATACAGTGGGTCAGAGTAGTAGTACAGTTTGAAGACAGTAATACCTGGAATTGAGCATCATGTCTGTCATTCTTAAATTTGCATGCATCTTTCTAACAGGGGAGGTAGACATGTAGCAGTAAAAATAGTTAAAAATGTGGATAGATACTGTGAAGCTGCTCGCTCAGAAATACAAGTTCTGGAACATCTGAATACAACAGACCCCAACAGTACTTTGTAAGTATCAGATTAGAACTTGGGAAGTGGTATCAGGTATATTTAAATTAGGAGCAACTATACTTAGCTATTTTTCATGTGTTTGTAGCCGCTGTGTCCAGATGTTGGAATGGTTTGAGCATCATGGTCACATTTGCATTGTTTTTGAACTATTGGGACTTAGTACTTACGACTTCATTAAAGAAAATGGTTTTCTACCATTTCGACTGGATCATATCAGAAAGATGGCATATCAGATATGCAAGTCTGTGAATTGTAAGTTCTTGGTATATCTTCGTTAATTTGCTGGTTTTATCCATTCCACATATCAAAATGTGCATCCTAAGTGTGTACAATTTTTATTTGATTAAAAATAAAGGGGGAGGAAGAATAGGTATGAAGAGATTTGATTACAGGCTGTTGATCCAGCAGTGTACATTTCATTCAGCAAGTAGGATATCCACCATATAACAACGTACTTTGTTGCAGACTATGATTTAGACTTTTCTGATGCGCAAAAATAGTAACTTCGAATGCTGGGTAAAAATTAAGGCGTGATATATCTCATAAAAGAAAGCTTCATAAGAGGTAGTAAGTTTTAGTTACTGGTGATTTTCTAGCAGACTGGAATGTTGACCATTCTTTGGGAAAGGAATCAGAGGTTTTTTGTTGGGTTTTTTTGTTTTTTGAAATGGAGTCTCGCTTTGTTGTTCAGGCTGAAGTGCAGTGGCGCAGTCTTCACTCACTGCAAACTCTGCCTCCCCAGTTCAAGTGATTCTCCTGCCTCAGCCTCCCGAGTAGCTAGGACTACAGGCACACGCCACCACACCCGGCCAATTTTTGTAATTTTGGTAGAGACAGGGTTTCACCATATTGGTCAGGCTGGTCTCGAACTCCTGACCTCAGGTGATTACAGGCGTGAGCCACTGCACCCGGCCTGTTGTGGGGTTTTGTGATTTGGTTTGGTTTGGTGTTTTCTGATTACAGCAACTTTCTCTTTATTCTCAGTTTTGCACAGTAATAAGTTGACTCACACAGACTTAAAGCCTGAAAACATCTTATTTGTGCAGTCTGACTACACAGAGGCGTATAATCCCAAAATAGTAAGTCTTCCAAAATATTCATAAAGTATCTTATGCCTTAATAGCTTATGCCTTCTTAACCATCATTTATGATTTTCAGAAACGTGATGAACGCACCTTAATAAATCCAGATATTAAAGTTGTAGACTTTGGTAGTGCAACATATGATGACGAACATCACAGTACATTGGTATCTACAAGACATTATAGAGCACCTGAAGTTATTTTAGGTGAGTATTAATTGTCCTTTGAGAACCTTTGTATTTCCTTATTGAGACTTAAAATTTTTTTAGCAGTTTTAGGTCTTACTTGTGGGGCTTTATCATATTCTCTTTAAGGGATAAGTATCATGAAGTGCATTATGGATTTTAAGCTCTCAATTGTACCAGATAATTAGCTCTGGGAATTTGAGCAAGTGGCTTAACCTTTCTGGAATTGTTTTCACATTTGTAATATGTGGTAGGGTTTTTAAATGTAATTGTTTAATGCCAGGTGGGGCGCGGTGGCTCACATCTGTAATCTCAGCACTTTGGGAGGCCAAGGGTGGGGCGCGGTGGCTCACATCTGTAATCCCAGCACTTTGGGAGGCCAAGGCGGGCAGACCACATGGTCAGGAAATCGAGACCATCCTGGCTAATATGGTGAAACCCCATCTCTACTAAAAATACAAAAAATTAGCTGGGTGTGGTGGTACACGTCAGTAGTTCCAGCTACTCAGGAGGCTGAGGCAGAATTGCTTGAACACCGGGAGGCGGAGGTTGCAGTGAGCCAAGATTGCGCCACTGCACTCCGGCCTGGGCGACAGAGCGAGACTCCATCTCAGAAAATTGTTTAATGCCTATTTTATTCCAGACTATATATAACACTATATAATTTATTTATTTTTATCATTTATTTATTTTTTAGACGGAGACTTACTCTGTCGCCCAGGCTGGAGTGCAGTGGTGCAATCTTGGCTCACTGCAACTTCTGCCTCCTGGGTTCAAGCAATTCTCCTGCCTCAGCCTCCTGAGTAGCTGGGATTATAGGCACCCACCACCACACCCGGTTAATTTTCTTATTTTTGGTAGAGATGGGGTTTTTACCATGTTGGCAGGCTGGTCTCAAACTGCTGACCTGGAGCAATCTGCCTGCCTTGGCTTTGCAAAGTGCTGGGATTACAGGCATAAGCCACTGCGCCCGGCCATATATATTGTATTTAACCTTGGATTAAGTGATTGCTTTAGGATCTTCCAGCTCAAACATCACATTGCATATATATGTGTATATATATAATTTTTTGGGGGGGGGGCGGAGTCTTGCTCTGTCACCCAGGCTAGAGTGCAGTGGCGCGATCTCGGCTCACCGCAAGCTCCGCCTATGGGGTTCACTCCATTGTCCCACCTCAGCCTCCTGAGTAGCTGGGACTACAGGTGCCTGCCACCATGCCTGGCTAATTTTGTTTTTGTATTTTTAGTAGAGACGGAGTTTCACCGTGTAGTCAGGATGGTCTTGATCTCCTGCCCTCGTGTTCCACCTGCCTCAGCCTCCCAAAGGGCTGGGATTATGCCTGTAGCGTGAGCCACTGTGCCCGGCCAATTCAGATATATATATATCTTAATAGAGGTGGGATCTCGCTGTGTTGCCCAGGCTGGTCTTGAACTCCTGAGCTCAAGCAGTTCTCCCATCTTGGCCTCCCAAAGTGCTGGGATTACAGGTGTGAGCCACTGTGCCCAGCCTACATTACATGTGTTTTTTTTTTTAAAGTATTAGTGTTAACTAACTTTTTAATTTCTTTAACAAACATTGAGTATTTTTTTTCCTTAAATTTTGCTTTGCTTTGCAGCCCTAGGGTGGTCCCAACCATGTGATGTCTGGAGCATAGGATGCATTCTTATTGAATACTATCTTGGGTTTACCGTATTTCCAGTAAGTGACAATGATCTATTTCAACCTTGCTTTGCACAAGAAAGGTGCCTGTTTATATGAATAAATACTTTTGCTTCCCCCATTATAGACTATTAATTGTAGATAAGCATAAATAAACTAATTCATATTTCTTTCATAATTGTTTTATTTAAAACATCTTTCAGTATATAAGCAATTATCCGTGTCCATGTAGGGAATCATTGGCGAGTTTGTTCTGCAAGCCTTAATGTTAGTTTTTTTGCTGTCAGCTTTAACTGTGTCTGTTTTGGTGGTCATCTTCCCCAAGTCTGTTTTTATTTTATTTCTAGACACACGATAGTAAGGAGCATTTAGCAATGATGGAAAGGATTCTTGGACCTCTACCAAAACATATGATACAGAAAACCAGGTACGTTTTAAGAGTTAGTGACATCCTTAGTATCATTTGATCACATCTGCTGATTAGAACTTAATTTTTTTTTTTTTTTTGAGATGGAGTCTTGCTCTGTTGCCCAGGCTGGAGTGCAGTGGCGTGACCTCGGCTCAATGCAAGCTCTCCCTCCTGGGTTCACGCCATTTTCCTGTCTCAGCCTCCCGAGTAGCTGGGACTACAGGCACTCGCCACCACGCCCGCCTAATTTTTTTGTATTTTTAGTAGAGACAAGGTTTCACCATGTTAGCCAGGATGGTCTCGATCTCCTGACCTTGTGATCCGCCCACCTCGGCCTCCCAAAGTGCTGAGATTACAGGCGTGAGCCACCGCACCTGGCCAGAACTTAATTTTTTTTTTTAAATTTTCACTCTACCAAGTCTCAGGCGCTGATTAGGACTTTATAAATAATGAAGTCAAACTAATATTTTTTCAGTTAAATAGTAGATTACCTTGGTGCAAAGCAGGTAACATTTCTATCCCATGGCTGCCATTTAAATCTCTAGAAAAGTGATCTGGGAAAGCATAGTAATTGATACCTTTGCTAGCTGTTTTAAGTTTTCAGTGTTATAAACATGAATGGATATTGACTTATTTTTAGGAAACGTAAATATTTTCACCACGATCGATTAGACTGGGATGAACACAGTTCTGCCGGCAGATATGTTTCAAGACGCTGTAAACCTCTGAAGGTAAGCCTTTGAGACATTGCTCAAATAGTCAAAACTGAGTTTCTTCTGTTTGTCTTTTGAGACCGAGCCTTGCTTCGTTGTCCAGGCTGGAGTAGAGTGGCACGATGTTGGCCCAGCTCACTGCAACCTCTGCATCCTAGGCTCAAGCAGGTCTCAGCCTCCCAAGTAGCTGGGATTACAGATGGATGCCACCACGCTTTTTTTTTTTTTTTTTTTTTTTTTTCAAGTAAAGACAAGTTTTACTATGTTGGCCTGGCTGGTCTTGAACTCCTGGCCTCAAGTGATCCACCTGCCTTGGCCTCCCAGAGTGCTGGGATTATAGGCGTGAGCGACCATGCCTGGCCTCTTTTCTGTTTTTATGGTGGTTATATATATATGGTTTACTATACTGTTACATAGTGTAGTCAATGGTAGTGGAAAAGGCTGTTGAATGAATTTCTTTTTTTCTTCCAGGAATTTATGCTTTCTCAAGATGTTGAACATGAGCGTCTCTTTGACCTCATTCAGAAAATGTTGGAGTATGATCCAGCCAAAAGAATTACTCTCAGAGAAGCCTTAAAGCATCCTTTCTTTGACCTTCTGAAGAAAAGTATATAGATCTGTAATTGGACAGCTCTCTCGAAGAGATCTTACAGACTGTATCAGTCTAATTTTTAAATTTTAAGTTATTTTGTACAGCTTTGTAAATTCTTAACATTTTTATATTGCCATGTTTATTTTGTTTGGGTAATTTGGTTCATTAAGTACATAGCTAAGGTAATGAACATCTTTTTCAGTAATTGTAAAGTGATTTATTCAGAATAAATTTTTTGTGCTTATGAAGTTGATATGTATCTGAACAGTTTGTTCTAAGTACCATTTTTCTTCCTACTTCTATTAAAGAATGGACATAGATTTCTGTTTTTGGAGACTTCCTCAAGTCTTTGGGAAAATTTAGCTTCATTTCCATTTTAGGGATTGTCAAGATTGAGACATTGCCCCCTAAGTTAAATGTAATGAAACTAGATTATGGGACACACAGAACTTAAGATTAGCCGAGAAGAGTTCCATTTTATTCCTACTCAAACTTGGTATTGCGGTTTGCTGTTAATTGTTGCACAGGATCTGAAGTCATTTGCAGAATCACACTGTGGTGGAGCTTTCATTCCTTTGCAGCCTAGTCTGTGAATTTATCAAGTGTGAGTGTGTGTAATACAGCAGATTTTTGTCTGGTTTCATCTATGTTTGATCCATTTGGGATCCTGAGGCTTAGATCTTTCCACAGTTGTTTTTTGGGTTTGGGGGGCTTTCTTTTCCCTCTGTCTCTCTCTCTCCTCTCTCTCTCTTTTTTCTCTTTCTCTGTCTCTTTCTTTTTCCCTCAGCAGATTCTCATTCTCTATCCTCTCCCCTCCCCTCCCCACATTTCTTTCTTTCAGAAATTTTTAAATGCTGGCCAGGTGCGATGGCTCACAACTATAATCCTAGCACTTTAGTAGGCCGAAGTGGGCAGATCATTTGAGGCCAGGAGTTTGAGGTTTGAGACCAACATGGTGAAACCCCATCTCTACTAAAAAATTAGCCAGGCATGGTGGCAAGCACCTGTAATGCCAGCTATGTGGGGATGCTGAAGCTCGAGAATAGCTTGAACCCGGGAGGTGGAGTTTGCAGTGAGTCCAGATGGCACCACTGTACTCCAGCCTGAGTAATAGAATGAGACTGTCTCAAAAAAAAAATGCAATTAGGCCTCAGAGATTGTAAGCAGACAGAGTCTCGCTCTATTGCTCAGGCTGGAGTGCAGTGTCGTGATCTCAGCTCACTGCAACATCTGCCTCCCAGGTTCAAGCAATTCTTGAGCCTCAGCCTCCTGAGTAGCCAGGATTACAGATGTCAGCCACCACGCCTGGCTGATTTTTGTGTTTTTTAGTAGAGACTGGTTTTCACCATGTTGGCCAGGCCAGTCTGGAACTCCTGGCCTCAAGTGATCCACCCGCTTCGTCCTCCCAGATGCTGGGATTACAAGCCTCAGCCATGGCACCTGGCCTGAATCCTAAATTTTGTGTTAATGTAAATTGCCATTGTAAATGGTGGTGTGGCTAATCATTTGTACCAATGAGAATCAAAAGTACATTAGTTACATGTTTGACTAAAATGTGTTAGATTGGATTGACAAACCAAACCTTAAGGGCCTATATTTTCTTAGGTTTAAAAGGTAGGGAGTTAATTCCAGGCTTTGAGGCTTGTTCCTCAGGAATGGTGTCCAGAGCAAATTTGCTAACATCCCATTTGTTAGAGAAGTCACACAGCTCCATCCAGAATCATGGTACTGCAGGGTTGTAGGGCAAAAGAGGTGGAGAATTTGGGCCATCAAGGCAGTCAGTTCACCCACCCTACCTATCCCCAATCTATTAACATAGTAGCCAGAGTAAGCCGTTAAAACTATTATATCACTCATGTCAAAATCTCCATTTCATCCAGCAATCTGGGTATCTTACCCAGAGGAAGTCATATGAAAAAGATGTGTACAGCAGCATGATTTGCAATTGCAAAAATATGGAACCAGCCTAAATGCCCATCAACCAATGAGTGGATAAAGAAAATGTGGTATATCAGGCACATGTCCTCAGGACCTCCTGAGGGCTGTGTCACAAAAAAAAGTATGTATACACCAGGGAATGCTACTCAGCCATAAAAAGGAACAAAATATGGTATTCACAGCAACCTGGATGGAGCTGGAGACCATTATTCTAAGTAAAGTAACTCAGGAATGGAGAACCAAATACTGTATGTTTTCATTTGTAAGTGGGAGCTAAGCTATGAGGACGGAAAGGCATAAGAATAATATAATGGACTTTTGGGACTTGGGGAAGGGTGGGAGGGAGGTGAGGGATAAAAGACCACATTGGGTACAGTATACGCTGCTTGGATGACGGGGTGCACCAAAATCTCAGAAATTACCACTAAATAACTTACCTATGTAATCAAAAACCACCTGTTCCCCCAAAACTATTGAAAGAAAAAGAAACAAGGGGAAAAATCTTCAATGGCTTCAGATCCTGCTTTTGGGGAGAAAATGGAAAAAAAAAATCCTCCAATGACTTCCATGTCAGTTTTACGAAAGTATTTACAGTCACCTTTAAAAAGGTCTACAATATCGCCTGTGCCACTCCACTTTCCTGACCACGTGGCTACTTTTCCCCCACATGCGGCGCTATCGCCTCACCAAGTATAGTCCATCCTCTTAGATATCCACATTCCCCTCCCGTCATTCAAGAGTTTATTCGTTTCAGTGAAGTATCTATCCTCTGACTGCATTACTTAAAATTGCAATACCCTCCCGTGTCGACTCTACATCCTCTTCTTTGCTTCCCCCCACCCCTACTCTTAAGAGTTTTTACTGGGGTGGGGCGCAGTGGCTCTTTCTTGTAATCCCAGCACTTTGGGAGGCTGAGGCAGACTGATTGCTTAAGTCCAGGAGTTCAAGACCAGCCTGGGCAACATGGCGAAACTCCATCTCTACAAAAGATAGAAAAATTAGCTGGAGTTCGAGACCAGCCTGACCAACATGGAGAAACCCCGTCTCTACTAAAACTACAAAAAATATTAGCCAGGCGTGGTGGCACATGCCTGTAATCCCAGCTACTCGGGAGACTGAAGCAGGAGAATTGCTTGAATCTGGGAGGTGGAGGTTGCAGTGAGCTGAGATCATGCCATTGCACTCAAGCCTGGAAAACAAGAGCAAAACTCTGTCTCAAAAAAAAAAAAAAAAAAAAAAAAAAGGAAAAAAGAAAAATTAGCTGGGTGTGGTGGCATGCACCTGTAGTCTCAGCTACTTGGTGGGGCTGAGGTGGGAGGATCGCTTGAGCCTGGGAGGCGGAGGTTGCAGTGAGCTGGGACCATGCTACCGCATTCCAGCCTGGGTGACACAGTGAGACCCCATCTCCAAAAAAACGTTCACTGCCCAGATGCAGTGGCTCATGCCTATAATCCCAACACTTTGGGAACCCAAAACATTGCTTGAGCCCAGGAGTTCGAAACCAGCTTGGGCAATATAGGGAGATGCTGTCTGCAAAAAGTTAAAAAATAGTCAAGTGTGGTGGCATGCTTCTGTAGTCCCAGCTACTTGGGAGTTGAATTCATGGGCTCAAGCAATTCACCTGGGGGTAGTGGCTCACACCTGTAATCTCAATACTTTGGGATGCCAAGGCAGGCAGATTGCTTGAGTCCGGGAATTCAAGACCTGACTGGGCAACATGGTGAAATCTGGAGATGGCCTGGAAGCCCACGCACCTCCCTGGTACCTTGCCCTAGGCAGCTCTTCCACCTGGCTGTTCTTGAGTTGTATCCTTTATAATAAACTGGTAATCCAGAAGTAAACTGCTTTCCTGAGTCCTGTGAGCTTTTCTACCAAATTACTGAACCCAAAGAGGAAGTCATGGGAACTACAAACCTCCAGTTTATAGCCAGTCAGCTCTCAGCTGCCATTTGTAAATTCTCCCAATACTTTGAAGAGTTGACCCCTTTGGACCGCCCTTTTCCTTTCTCAGGGATCTTAGCCCCTCAAGTCATCACTGCCTTGGTAACTGCTTGGGGTTTTTTAACTTAAGTATTTTACATTTTGTCCAGGTTTTCTAGTTATTTTTAATGAGAGGGTTTGTTGGAATAAGTGATCCTACCATAGCTAGAAGCAGAATTCCCAGGCATACAATACTGAAGGAAGAAAAGTGAGCATAAAAAGGGTCCCTTGGGCTTTGTTAACAAAGACCAGCCAAATCAAAACCAGTCTATAGCCCTACCACCCTGAATGCACCTGAACTCAGAAGCTAAGCAAGCTCAGGCCTGGTTAGTCCTTGGGTGGGATTCCTACGGGGTGCTGTAAGCTTTTGACCCGCGACTCACTCTTGCCAGGTACAGTGACTTGCACCTATAGTCCTAGCTACTCAGGAGGATCGCTTGAGACCAAGAATTGGAGTCCAGCTAAGGTAACAGTGGGAACCCATCTCTAAAAACAAAAACTTGGTGTTTTATCCTAAATAGCAAGACTCTGGTTTTTCATTTTGTATGTCAATTGGCAACTAAGACATTCGTAAATCTACATCCATAAGCTTTGTTTCCTTGAATCTTGTGAAATTCACTCTACTTGCTAGGTTTATAAATTTGGCAAATGCCAACCATGGAATAACTCCCACTACATCACCTTCATAGAGCTTTTTTTTTTTTCAAGCTCACCCACCCCCAACCATAAAGCACTTTGGATTGTAGGTTCTAGAAGATTTCTCCTTGTGTGTCTCACATCTCTCTGAAAACCCCTGTGTTTCTTTTTTTTTTTTTTTTCCTCCCTAACCCACCACCTTCCTGGGTCAAACCCCTGTGTTTCTAATCCCTGGACCTTAATTAATGGCATTGTGTAGATTCATACTTATATACATGTTGCCTTAAATTTTTCTTTTCTTGGGAATTTGAAGGCATCCATAGCTTATATTATTTCTTGAGAACTGATGTTTTCAACATTGATATTTTGATAATTTTAAAATCAGCCTTCTTTAGGTGTAATTTACATACAATAAGTTTACCCATCTTAAGCGCATGGTACAATATTTTGACAGATGAACACATAGCCACCACCACAACCAATATTCAGTTACAACATTTTCTTAGCATATGGCTGATTAAAAAGAAGAAAAGAAAGAACATCTCCACAATGCCCATACGTTTCCTCATACTCCTTTTCCTTTCTTTTCTGTTTTCTTTTCTCTTTCCTTCCTTCTTTCTTTCTTTTTCTGTCTCTTTCTTTCTTTCCTTCTCTCTTTCTTTCTTTCATCTCTTTTTCCCTTCCTTCCTTCCTTCTTTCCTTCCTTCTTTCCTTCCTTCCTTCCTTCTCTCCCTCCCTCCCTCTCTCCCTCTTTCTTTCTTCCCTCGCTCGCACACAGGAGGTAGAGGTTGCAGTGAGCTGAGATCGCACCATTGCACTCCAGCCTGGGCAACAAGAGCGAAACTCGGTCTCAAAAAAGAAAAAAGAAAATCCCATTACTTTCTGGTTCTCTCTCTATGCATTTGCACCTGCCCATATGTACACATTGTAAAACTCTGCGAATGAGATTGCTGTAATTATTGTTCTGCCCCCCTTTTTACACTTAACAGATACAAGTATTCGTGTAAAAAGTCTGACAGATTGTATTTTCCAGAAATGTCTGCAACAATATCTCCCACTTCACATGCTCTTTGGAACTAGTAACTGCTTCAGAAAATGGACTATGGGAGACATCATTCTAGGTCATAAAAGGTCATGCAACTTCCATCTGGTCTTCATAGAACACCTGCTCTCTGGCAGCTCCCTGTTGGAGGGCTACCTTTTAGAATCCAGTCACCATGCTATGAGAAGCCTATCACATAGAAAGACTACATGTAAGTAACCTTTGGAAAGCCCTGATCTTCAAGTCATCTCAAGTCAGATGCTAGTGACTCCAAGCCTCTGTCATTTGAGTTACTTCCCTTATTGAACCACAGAATCTGTGAGCATAATAACATGGTTATTGTTTTATGCCACTGAACTTTAGCATATAGCAACATATAACTGAAATAAGTTCTTGGGATTGGAACAGCTGAATCAAAAAATATGTTCATTTTGGCCAGGCATGGTGGCTCACACCTATAATCCTAGCACTTTGGGAGACTGAGGTGGGTGGAATGCCTGAGCTCAGGAGTTCAAGACCAGCCTGGGAAACATGGTGAAACCCTATTAGCCGGGTGTGGTGGCGGGTGCCTATAGTCCCAGCTACTTGGGAGGCTGAGGCATGAGAATAGCTTGAACCCAGGAGGCGGAGGCTGCAGTGAGCCGAGATCATCCCACTATACTCCAGCCTGGGCAACAGAGCGAGACTCTGTCTCCAAAAAAAAAAAAAAATTTTTTTTTTCATTTATAATTCTGACCCAATGCCAATTGCTTCTCATCAATCATTGATTCAAAAATAAATAAGAAATCTGGCTGGGCATGGTGGCTCACATCCGTAATCCCACTTTTGGGAGGCTGAGGTGGGCTGATCACATGAGGTCAGGAATTCGAGACCAGCCTGGCCAACATGGCGAAACCCCATCTCTACTAAAAACACAACAAATTAGTCAGGCGTGGTGGCACACACCTGTAATCCCAGCTACTCGGGAGGCTGAGACACAAGAATTGCTTGAACCTGGGAGGTGTGGGTTGCAGTGAGCCGAGATTGCACTACTGTACTCCAGCCTGGGTGACAGAGTGAGACTTCATCTCACACACAAAAAAAAAAAAAAGCCTGGGTGCAGTGGCTCACGCCTGTAGTCCCAGCACTTTGGGAGGCCGAGGCAGGCGGATCACCTGAGGTCAAGAGTTCAAGACCAGCCAGTCTCTACTAAAAATACAAAAATTAGAATGGTGTCATTGTGCATGTCTGTAATCCCAGCTACTTGGGAGGCTGAGGCAGGAGAAATACTTGAACCTGGGAGGTGGAGGTTGCAGTGAGCCAAGACTGCGCCATTGCACTCCATCCTGGGCAACAGAGTGAGACGCCACCTCAAAATAATAATAATAAGTAAAATAAAAAATAAAAATAAAAACATAGAAAATTTGAATAGACCTATAACAAGAAATTGAATTTGTAATACAAAAATTTTGCACAAAGAAAAACTCAGGCCTAGATGCCTTCTCTGGTGAATTCTCTGGTCAAAGCCCTAATCTCCACAGTCTAGACCTACATGCTAAGAGCACACAGCTCTGCCTAGTGCTGACACCAGACCAACACAGAGGGAGGTGGGCAGGCAGCGACAGGCCCATGAGCATAGACCACAGCATCTGAGACTGTCAGTGCATGAGGAATTAAGGAAGCAAATATAGTATCAAAATATCAAAAGTGCACATGTTGATCAGATAAAAAAAGAACATTGTAACAAAGAGCCCCGTGTAACAGAGAGCCCCGTGTTTCTAGAGGGCTCTTGGCAAGCCTGGCAGCCAGGGAAGGATCTTCAGCCTGTACAGAGGCCTTTCCACGCAGCAGCTTTCGACATGCTCAACATTAAAGCTTTTTTTTTACTCTATTGCCCAGGCTGAGTGCAGTGGCGTGTTGATGACTCACTGCAATCTTGATTTGCAGGTCTCAAGTGATCCTCCCACCTCAGCCTCCCAAGAAGCTGGGACCACGGGTGCATGCCACCATGTCCCGCTACTTTTTTGTAGAGATACGGTCTCAGTCTCGCTATGTTGCCCAGGCTGGTCTCCAACTCCTGAGCTCAAGCCATCCTCCTGCCTCGGCCTTACAAAGTGTTGGGATTACAGGCATGAGCCATCACTCTGACCAACATTAAAGCTTTTTTTCCCTCCCATTAAAAACTCGGGGAATGGGCCAGGCAAGGTGGCTTACACCTATAATGTGGAACACCTGGTTGGTCAGCCCAGTGCCCTTGGCCCTGTCACTGGCGCAGGTGCAGGCATAACATAAGCTTGGGGTGGCCAGCTTGGCCTTGGGGGCAGCTTTGGTGGGGTCACACCAGGTCTGTGTGGTCCAGCTTGAGCAGCTCCAGCCACTGGGTCAGTGCCAGCTTCTGCAGGATGACCATGCACAGCAGTGAGTTCAGTGCCTTCTCATCCTCTGCAGCTGACAGCTGCTGCTGCGTCTCCTCCAGCTGTGATGTACTCATTTCACCTGGTGGCAAACTGGTGCACAGTGAGGAGAAGGTGGCCACGTCCTCCTCAGAGGCGAGCACCTGGAGCTCATTGCAGAGCTTCATCCTGGTCTTGGTAACCATGGTCTTCTTCTTCTCCTACTTGCCCTTCAGCTTGGAGAGGGCCACCTTGGCTGCCTGCTGGCTGGCCTGCAGCACAGTGTGCAGCGTGGTGAGCTGCTCCCACTTGGTGCTGAGCAGCGACTTCAACTTGAGGATCTTTTTCACGAGAGCCTCCTTGAACTTGTCCGTGGTTGGGCCCAGCTCTTGCGAGGCGATGCGCTGCCACAACAGCTCCATTATGTGGTTCACAGCTGCCTGCAGGTGCTTGATCTGGTGGCAGATGATACGAATCAAGTGGTAGATATTCATGGGCTCCCAGCATGGGTCACCCAGGGGTGATGGCAGCAAGGGGCTACATGAAGGGCTGATGTCCCTGGTCCTGCTGTGTGCTTGGCCTGCCTCTGTAGCCAGCAGCCCCCTGGGTAGGAGGATGGAGGAGTTGCCCATGGGGCTGGTGCAGCTGGCCCCGTCCTGGCCCTCAGGTAGTAGTCCCCCATGACAGAGCTGGGCCTCCAGTTGTTTCACATGCACACGTGATGGTAGAGGTTGGCCAGCTCCTCACTGAAGATCACCAGCTCATCCTGGGCCACACTCAGGCTGGCCCTGCGTCTCACCGGCAATGTTGCTCACTTTCAGCAACTTCTCCAGCTGGGCCAGTGCTGGCAGCTGGCCTTCTCCAGCAGGGAGACCTCCGCGGTGAGCGCCTGGACTTTGGCCTTGTATAGGCCCTCTCCTCAGCGTGCTGGGTCTCGCGGGCCTCATGCCTGCTGCGCAGTGCCCTGAGCTGCTCTTGGAGCTCGCCAGCCTCGGCAATGCCACAGCCACATGGTACCTGCAGGCCAGGATCTTGCCTGTTGATGTCCACCTCGTAGTAGTCACCATCCGTGATGTTGCAGTCCCTCTCGTTGTCCTGGGCTGTCTGCCACACCTTGCAGGTTCAAAATGGGTTATAGCAGTGGAGACAACTTGTAATGTTGACAACGCATTTGGCCCAGGAACTGCTAACAAACATACAGTGCAGTAGTGGTTCAAGAAGTTTTGCAAAGGAGATGAGAGCCCTGAAGATGAGGAGCATAGTGGCCAGCCATGGGGAGTTAACAACGACCAATTGAGAGCAATCATCGAAGCTGATCCTCTTACAACTACACGAGAAGTTGCCGAAGAACTCGACATCGACCATTCTTTGGTCTTTCGGTATTTGAAGCCAATTGGAAAGGTGAAAAAACTCAGTAAGTGGGTGTCTCGTGAGCTGACCAAAAATCTAAAAAATCACTGTTTTGAAGTGTTGTCTTTTCTTATTCTACTCAACAACAATGAATCATTTCTCAATTGGATTGTGATGTGTGATTAAAAGTGGATTTTATATGACAACTGGCAACAACCAGCTCAGTGGCTGGACTGACAAGAAGCTCCAAAGCACTTCCTAAAGCCAAACTTGCACCAAAAAAAAAAGGTCATGGTCACTGGTGGTCTGCTGCTGCTCTGATCCACTACAGCTTTTTGAATCCCAGCAAAACCATTACATCTGAGAAGAATGCTCAGCAAATCAATGAGTTGCTCTGAGAATGCAATGCCTGCAGTTGGCATTGGTCAACAGAAAGGACCCAGTTCTCCACGACAATGCCTCACCGCACGTCTCACCACCAACACTTCAAAAGTTGAATGAATTGGGCTATGAAGTTTTGCCTCATTTGCTATATTCACTGGTGAGAGTTGCCTCTCGCCAACTGACTGTCACTTCTGCAAGCATCTCAACAGCTTTTTGCAGGGAAAATACTTCCACAACCAGCAGGACACAGAAAATGCTTTCCAAGAGTTTGTCAAATACCAAAACGTGGATTTTTACACTACAGGAATAAACAAACTTATTTCTCATTGGCAAAATGTGTTGATTGTAATGGTTCCTATTTTGATTAATAAAGATGTGTTTGAGCCTAGTTATAATGATTTAAAATTCAGGGTCTAAAACTGCAATTACTTTTGCACCAACTTAATAGAATGAGTTTGGAAATATTCCCTCTGCCTTTATTTGTTGGAATAGTTTGAGTAGGATTGGTATTAGTTCTTCTGTAAATATTTGGTAAAATTCATAAATAAAGCCATTGGGTCCTGGGCTTTTCTTTGTTAGGAGACTCTTTTATTATGGCTTTGATCTCATTACTTGTTATTGGTCTGTTCAGATTTTGTATTTCTTCATGGTTCAGTCTTGGTAGGTTGGATGTGTCTAGAAATTTATCCATTTCTTCTAGGTTTTCCAATTTACTGGCATGTAGCTGCTCACGGTAGCCCCTAATCATCCTTTGAATTTCTGCACTATTAATTCTAATTTCTCCTTTTTCATCTCTGATTTTATTTATTTGGATTTTCCTTCTTTTTTCTTAGTCTGGCTAAAGGTTTGTCAATTTTTTTTAACTTTCCCAAACAACTTTTTGTTTCATTGATCTTTGGTATTGTTTTCTTCATTTCAATTTCATTTCTTTCTGCTCTGATCTTTATTATTTTTTTCCTTCTACTAATTTTGGGTTTGGTTTGGTCTTGCTTTTCTAATCTTTGTTTGTTTGTTTGTTTGTTTGTTTGACAGTCTATCACCCAGGCTGGAGTGCAGTAGCACCATCTTGGCTCACTGCAACCTCCCCTTCCTGGGCTCAAGTGATCCTCTCACCTCAGCCTCCCAAGGAGCTGAGACAAAAGGCATGTGCCACCACGCCGGGCTCATATTTGTAGTTTTTGTAGAGATGGGGTTTCACCAAGTTGGCCAGGCTGGTCTCAAACTACTGGCCTCAAGTGATCTGCCCGTGTCGGCCTCGCAAAGTGCTGGGATTACAGGCATGAACCACTGCGCCTAATTCTTTTTTTCTTTTTTTTTCTCTGAGACAGAGTCTCGCTCTGTCGCCCAGGCTGGAGTGCAGTGGCTCAATCTCGGCTCACTGCAAGCTCTGCCTCTTGGGTTCACGCCATTCTCCTGCCTCAGCCTCCTGAGTAGATGGCACTACAGGCGCCCGCCACCACGCCCAGCTAATTTTTTTGTATTTTTAGTGGAGACGGGGTTTCACTGTTTTAGCCGGGATGGTCTCGATCTCCTGACCTCGTGATCCGCCCGCCTCGGCCTCCCAAAGTGCTGGGATTACAGGCGTGAGCCACCGCGCCCGGCCCACTGCACCTAATTCTTTAAGATGTATCATAATTTGAAGTTTCTCTTCTTCTTCTTCTTGGTTTTTTTTTTTTTGAGCTGGAGTCTCAATCACTCTATTGCCTAGGCTGGAGTGCAATGCCACGATCTCAGCTCACTGCAACCTCTACCTCCTGGGTTCAAGTGATTCTCCTGCCTTCCTGCCTCAGCCTCTGGAGTAGTTGGGATTACAGGCGCACTCCATTATGCCAAGCTAATTTTTGTATTTTATAAGTTGAGATGGGGTTTCACCATGTTGGCCAGGCTGGTCTCAAACTCCTGACCTCAAGTAATCCGCCCACCTTGGCTTCCTAAAGTGCTGGGATTACAGGCATGAGCTGCTGCGCCTGACCTTTTTCTTTCTTTTTTTGAGACAGAGTCTCGCTCTGTTGTCCAGGCTGGAGTGCAGTGGCACAATCTTGGCTCACTGTGACCTCCGCCTCTTGGGTTCAAGCAGTCTGCCTTGGCCTCCCGAGTAGCTGGGATTATGGACGCCCACCACCATGCACAGCTAATTTTTGTATTTTTAGTAGAAATGGGGTTTCACCATCTTGGCCAGGCTGGTCTCAAACTCCTGATCTCAAATGCTCTGCCCGCCTCGGCCTCCCAAAGTGCTGGGATTACAGATGTGAGCCACCACACCCAGCCAATTTCTCTTGTTTTGATTTCTAGTTTTATTCCATTGTGATCACAGAAAATACATGATATCATTTCAATTTTTTCCATTTTTTTTTCTCGCTTTTTTTCACTTTTTTGTTTTCTTTTTACCTTTTTCTTTTTTTTTTTTTTTTTTTTGAGATGGAGTCTCGCTCTGTCCTGCAGGCTGGAGTGCAATGGTGCGATATTGGCTCACTGCAACCTCCGCCTCCCAGGTTCTAGTGATTCTTCTGCCTCAGCCTCTGAAGTAGCTGGGATTATAGGCGCCCACCATCACGTCCAGCTAATTTTTTTTTTTTTTTCAGGTCGGGTCTCGCTCTGTCACCAGGCTGGAGTACAGTGGCACGATCTTGGCTCACTGCAACCTCCGACTCCCTGGTTCAAACGATTCTCCTGCCTCAGCCTCCTGAGCAGCTGGGATTACAGGCATGTGCCAGCACACCCAGCTAATTTTTGTATTTTTAGTAGAGATGGGGTTTCACCATGTTGGCCAGGATGGTCTTGATCTCCTGACCTTGTGATCTGCCCACCTCGGCCTCCCAAAGTGCTGGGATTACAGGCGTGAGCCACCGCGCCCAGCCTAATTTTTGTGTTTTTAGTAGAGATGGGAGTTTCACCATGTTGGTCAGGCTGGTCTCAAACTCCTGACCTCAGTTGATCTACCCGCCTCAGCCTCCCAAAGTGCTGGGATTACAGGCATGAGCCACTGTGCCTGGCTTTTTAAACCATTTTTTAAGATCCTGCTTGTGCTCTATTCTGTATCTATTAACTTTTTTCCACTCATGTATATACCAATTTTTGAATGTTTTAAGACTTGTTTTTTTTTTTTGAGACTTTTTTAAGACTTCTTTTGTTTTTTTGAGGAATCTTGCTCTGTCACCCAGGCTGGAGTGCAGTGGCGCAATCTCGGCTCACTGCAAGCTCCGCCTCCCGGGTTCACGCCATTCTCCTGCCTCAGCCTCCCAAGTAGCTGGGACTACAGGCACCCGCCACCACGCCCGGCTAATTTTTTTGTATTTTTAGTAGAGACGGGGTTTCACCGTGTTAGCCAGGATGGTCTCGATCTCCCGACCTCGTGATCCGCCCATCTCGGCCTTCCAAAGTGCTGGGATTACAGGTGTGAGCCACAGCGCCCGGCCCAACAATTTTTCTTAGTACAGATCAAAATGGAGTTTCTTGTGTCTTCCTTTTCTATATAGACACAGTAACAGTCTGATCTCTTTCTTTTCCCTACACAAAGGCCCATGGGGAGCACTGCCAGTGTACCACCAATGTTTACTTAAGGCCCAAGGGCTCTTCAGTCAGCTTTTGGTGAATGTTACCAGGCTTGGGACTCACCCTTCAGGGTAGTGGGCTCCCCTCTGTCTCAGGGTAGGTCTAGAAATGCCATCCAAGAGCTAAGGCCTGGAATTGGGAACCCCAATAACTCACTTGCTACTCTTCCCCACTGTGCCCAAGCTGGTACCTAATTTGCAACACAAAGTTCCCTTTATTTTTCCCTCTGTATTGCTCAAGCAAGAGTCTCGCCTCATAGCCACCACAGCTGTGAATATGCTGGGTCACACCTGAAGTCATCAGTCGCAGCATCTCACCCAAGGCTGGCAGGTATTACCTGATTACCACTGCTGATGATTTAGGGCCTAAGGGCTCATTAGTCAGCAGGTGATAATTCCTGCGAGAACTGGGTTCTTCCTTTCAAGGCAATAGGTTCCCTTCAGGCTCAGGGTGTGTCTAGCAATGTCATCCAGGAGCTAGGGCCTGGTATGGGGACTTCATGGCTCTGCCTGGTGCCTTATCTTACTGTGGCTGAGCTGGTATCCAAGCTGCAAAATGAAGTCCTTTTTACTCTTCCCTTTCCTCTCCTCAAGTGGAAGGAAGGAGTCTCTTCTGGAGCTGTGAGTTGCACTACCTGGTGCTAGGGGATGGATGAGGCAAGCAATATTTTGGCTGCCCTGGTTGGTATCCCACTGGGTTGCATGGCCCCCCAAGTCCACTGGCCCTGAACCGAACACAGCACTAGAACTTGCCTAGGAATTGCAGTCCTTGTGGCCAAGATAGGCTTTCACGTTTATTTCGGACCCCAGAGTACTGTAGCCCATGGTGGTGAGGTTGGCTGAAACTCAAGTTCTGACTGTTGGGATGGGCAATTCCCCTCTGGCTAGGGCTGTTCTTTTTTTTTTTTTTTTTTTTTTTTGAGGCGGAGTCTCACTCTGTCACCCAGGCTGGAGTGCAATGGCGTGATCATGGCTCACTGCAACCTCCACCTCCTGGGTTCAAGCGATTCTCCTGCCTCAGCCTCCCGAGTAGCTGGGAATACAGGCGCCCACCACCACACCCAGCTAATTTTTGTATTTTTAGTAGAGACAGGGTTTCACCATGTTGGCCAGGCTGGTCTCGATCTCTTGACCTCATGATTCACCCGCCTTGGCCTCCCAAAGTGCTGGGTGAGCCAAGATCACGCCACTGCACTCCAGCCTGGGGGACACAGCGAGAATCCGTCTCAAAAAAAAAAAGAAAAGAAAAAGAAAAATTGTTTTGCCTTGAGATGCTGTTAATCTGTAACTTTAGCCCCAACCCTGTGCTCACAGAAACATGTGCTGTATGGAATCAAGGTTTAAGGGATCTAGGGCTGTGCAGGATGTGCCTTGTTAATAATATGTTTATAGGCAGTATGCTTGGTAAAAGTCATCGCCATTCTCCATTCTCAATAAACCAGGGGCACAATGCACTGCGGAAAGCTGCAGGGACCTCTGCCCAAGAAAGCCTGGGTATTGTCCAAGTTTTCCCCCCACTGAGACAGCCTGAGATATGGCCTCGTCTTCCCCTGGTCTCGAACTCCTGACCTCAGGCAACCCACCTGCCTCGGCCTCCCAAAATGCTGGGAATACAGGTGTGAGCCACCATGCCTGGCTGGCTAGAGCTGTTCTAAATGCTTTCTCTATGGGCATTGGCTGAGTTTTGCCCGGTGTTGGCATCACTGAGTTCCAATATAAAGTCCCACAAACTCTGCGCCCTCTCTCCCCCAAGTTCACAGATTATCTCTCCACACCCTGGGCCAGTGGCATGTGGCCACTACTGGGGGATGGGGGTGGGGTGGTGTCAGCAATTCAAGACCGTCTTTCCTACTCTCTTCAGTGCCTCTTCCAGCAATAATTTGAAGTTAAAACCAGATACTATGATCACTCACCTGATTTTTGGTTCTTAGGAAGGTGCTTTTTTGTGTAGATAGTTGTCAAATTTGGTGTTCCTGCAGGGAGGATGATCAGTGGCACCTTCTATTTGGCCATCTTGCTCTGTCTCCTTCCTCTGTTTAATACATTTTTGCTAATTGTTTTTTATACA
This sequence comes from Homo sapiens, assembly GCF_000001405.40. NCBI lineage: Eukaryota > Metazoa > Chordata > Mammalia > Primates > Hominidae > Homo > Homo sapiens. The sequence continues at coordinate 200,838,007 of NC_000002.12, read as the reverse complement.
TCTTTTGTGTTTCATTATGTCTTCTTTTATGTTAGATATTTTTTAGGGTGCCATTTTAGTTCTGTACTTTTTTGAATGATTTTCTTAGCAGTTGTCATAGTATCACCTTTAGCATCTTAATTTATAACAATCTAGTATATATGAAATAATGCTAGCCTAATCTCAATATGCAAAAACTTCTTATATAGCCCTGCTCCCTCCCTGCTACTTTGTGCTATTATTGTCACACAAATTACAACTTTACACATTATAAGCCCATCAAAACTGCTTAATAATTTAATTGGCGTATGTGTTATCTTTTTAATCACATAAAAGAAAAATTATGAACAAAAAATAATTCCTCATGTAAATTTGAGTTACTGTCTACTGGATTTGAGTTGTATCCTTTTGTTTCAGCCTGAAAGACTCTCTTTTGTATTTGCTATAGTCTGAACGTGTTCCCCACAAGTTCATATGTTGTAATCTTGACTACTGGAGTGATGGTATGAAGAATTGGGACCTAGGCCAGGCGTTGTGGCTCATGCCTGTAATCCCAGCACTTTGGGAGGCCGAGGTGGGTGGATCACGAGGTTAAGCATTCGAGACCAGCCTGTCCAACATAGTGAAACCCCATCTCTACTAAAAATACAAAAAATTAGCCAGGCGTGGTTGCAGGCACCTGTAATCCCAGCTACTTGGGAGACTGAGGCACAAGAATCACTTGAACCTGGGAGGCAGAGATTGCAGTGAGCCGAGATCATGCCACTGCACTCCAGCCCAGATGGGGTGGACTCCATCTCAAAAAAAAAAAAAAAAAAGGAAAAAAAAAGATTTGGGACCTTTTGTGAATTGATTAAGTCATGAAGGTTCCACCCTCCTATATAGGATTAGTGTCTTATAAAAGAGGCTGAAAGAAGTGTGTTCGCTTATTCTGCCATTTGAGGACACATAGAAGGTGACTTCCATGAGGAATAGTCCTTCACTAGACATCAAATCTGCTGGTGCCTTGATCTCAGACTTTCCAACCTCCAGAACTGTGAGCAATACATTTCTGTTGTTTATACATTTCTTGGTCTAAGATATTTTGTTATAGCATCATGAATGCACGAAGACAAAAATTGGTACCAGAAGTGGGGTGTTTCTATAACAAATATCTAAAAATGTGGGCCAGGTATGGTGGCTCATGCCTGTAATCCCAGCACTTTGGGAGGCTGAGGCAGATGGATTGCTTGAGGTCAGGAGTTCAAGACCAGCCTGACCAACAGGGTCAAACCCCATCTCTACTAAAAATACAAAAATTAGCTGGGCTTGGTGGAGGGTTCCTGTAGTCCCAGGTACTGGGGAGGCTGAGGCAGGAGAATTGCTTGAACTCGGGAGATGGAGGTTGCAGTGAGCTGAGATCACCCCACTGCACTCCAGCCTGGGCAACAAAGTGAGATTTCATTTCAAAACAAAACAAAACAAAACAAATAAAAATTTGGAAGTGGCTTTAGGATTGAGCAATGAGCACATCTTGAGTTGGAACAGTTTTAAAGTGCATGCTAGAAAAAGGCTACCTTGCTGTGAATGGAGTGCTAAGGACAATTCTACTGAGGGCTCAGAAGAAGAGGAGTGCCATGAGGAAATCCTCAGTCTTCCTAGAGATTACCTAAGTGGTACAAACATGGACAATAAAGGCTATTCTGATGAGGTTCATATAGAAATGAGGAACATGCTTTTGGAAACTGGAGGAAAGGCCATCCTTTTTATAAAGTGGTAAAGGGCTTGGCTGAATTGTGTTTATGTCCTAGTGTTTTGTGGAAAATAGAACTTTTTTATTTTATTTTATTTTTTTGAGACAGAGTCTCACTCTGTCATCCAGGCTGGAGTGCATGGCATGCTCAGCTAATTTTTGTATTGTTTGTAGAGACAAGGTTTCACCATGTTGCCCAGGCTGGTCTCAAACTCCTGGGCTGAAGAGATCCACCTGTCTCAGCCTCTCAAAGTGCTGGGATTACATGTGTGTGCCATTGCACCTGGCCCAGAAGACAGAATGTATAAGTAATTAAATAGAATACTTGGCAGGCAAAATATGTAAGCCAAGGTTGAGGGTGCAGTATGGCTCTCTTGACTGATTATAGTAAAATGTGAGAAGAGAGAAACAAAGATAGATTTTTAAAGTTATATAATTTCCCTCTTTTTTTTTTTTGAGACGGTGTCTCACTCTGTCGCCCAGGTTGGAGTGCAGTGGCGTGATCTTGGCTCACTGCAAGCTCCGCCTCCCAGGTTCACGCTATTCCCCTTCTCAGCCTCCTGAATAGCTGGGACTACAGGTGCCTGCCACCACCCCCAGCTAATTTTTTGTGTTTTTTAGTAGAGACGGGGTTTCACCGTGTTAGCCAGGATGGTCTTGATCTCTTGACCTCGTGATCCACCTGCCTCGGCCTCCCAAAGTGCGGGGATTACAGGCATGAGCCACTGCGCCTGGCCCATTTTTTTTCTTTTGAGACAGAGTCTTACTGTTACCCAGGCTGGAGTACAGTGGTGCAATCATAAGTGACTGCAGCCTCAAACTCCTGAGATCAAGCAATCTCACAGCCTTGTCCTCCTGAGTAGCTGGGACTACAGGTGCATACCACCATACCTGGCTATTTTTTTAAGAAATGGGGTCTTGCTATGTTGTCCAGGCTGGTCTTGAACTCCTGAGCTCAAGCAATTTTCCTGCCCTAGATTCCCAAGTACCCGGGATTACAAGAGTGCACCATTTGTCCTAAAGATGGAATTTGTAATAAAAAAGGAAGCAGAAGTTAAAGATTTGGGAAATTCTCAGCCGGCCAAGTTATAAAAATGAAAAAGTATGTTTAGGAGACAACATCAAGGATATGGCCAAAGCAACCATGTGATAAGAAAATCAGTATGGCTTAGAGGAAGCCAGGTGCCATTCATCAAAACAGTGGAAGATTGATCCTAGACATTTCAGTGGTCTTCAGGGGCTACCCTGCCTATCACAGGCCCGGAATGCCAGGGCCTTGAGGGCAGAACAATTTCAAATGATGGTTTCCCCAAAGTCGTATGTTGAAATCTTAACTGCCCATCACTAAATTGTGGGGCCTTTTGGGAAGTGATTAAGTCATGAGGATTTCACCCTCATGAATGGGATTAATGCCCTTAGAAGAGTCATAAGTGACCATTTTTGCCACTTCCACTAAGTGAGAACATATAGGAAGTACCGTCCATGACAATGGTCTCTCAGCAGAGACTGGATCTGCTGGCTGGCATCTTGATCATGGAATTCCTAGCCTCCAGAACTGCGAGCAACAAATTTCTGTTGTGTATTAAGTTACTAAATCTAAGGCATTTTATTATAGCAGCAGGAATGGACTAAGACAGTATCTGTTAGTGACAAATTTATAGTTTTTGTTTGTTTGAGTAGGAATGTCTTTATTATTTTCATGTTTGAAATACAGGTTTGCAGGATATAGAATTTTGTTTTTGTTTTTTTTTTTTTTTGAGATGGAGTCTTGCTCTGTCACCCAGGCTAGAGTGCAGTGGCGCGATCTCGGCTCACTGCAAGCTCTGCCTCCCGGGTTCATGCCATTCTCCTGCCTCAGCCTCCCAAGTAGCTGGGACTACAGGCACCCGCCACTACACCTGGCTAATTTTTGTATTTTTTTTCAGTGGAGACGGGGTTTCACCGTGTTAGCCAGGATGGTCTCAATCTCCTGACCTCGTGATCAGCCCGCCTCGGCCTCCCAAAGTGCTGGGATTACAGGCATGAGCCACTGCGCCTGGCCTTGCAGGATATAGAATTCTTGTTTGGCATTCTGTTTCTTTCAGCATTTTGAATATATCATCCCATTCATTGCTTTCTGGCCTCCATCATTTCTGATGATAAACCAGCTTTAAATATTATTGAGGATCCCTTGTACATGATGAGTCACTTCTCTATTGCTGCTTTCATGAGTTTCCCTTTGTGTTTGGTTTTTGACTTTTTGATTATAATGGAATATAGGTGTGGACCTCTGAATTTATCCTGCTTGAGATGGTTTATCTTCTTAGGTGTGCACATTAATGTTTTTCATCAAATTTAGGAAGTTTTAACTATTATTTCTTCTAGTATTCTTTCTGCCCATTACTCTCTCTCCTTCCGAGACTTCAAATGTGAATGTTTGTATTCTTAATGGTGTTCCACAGGTCTCTGAGACTCTCATCTTTCTTCATTCTTTTATCTTTCTATTCATCAGACTGGATAATCTCAATTGATATAGCTTCTCATTAACCAATTCTCTCTTTTGCCAGCTTAAAATCTGATGTTGAGCCCCTCCAGTGAATTATTTTAGTTACTGCAATTTTCAACCTAGAAATTTCTTTTCTTTTTTTTTTTGAAATAGAGTCTCGCTCTTGTCACCCAAGCTGGAGTGCACTGGCGCGATCTTGGCTCATTGCAACCTCCGCCTCCAAGGTTTGATTCTCTTGCCTCAGCCTCCTGAGTAAATGGGATTATAGGCACCTGCCACCATACCTGGCTAATTTTTGTATTTTTAGTAGAGATGGGGTTTTGCCATGTTGGCCAGGCTGGTCTCGAACTCCTGACCTCAGATGATCTGCCCGCCTCGGCCTTCCAAAGTGCTGGAATTACAGGTGTGAGCCACCACACCCGGCCTCAACCTGGCAATTTCTATTTGGTTCTTTTTGCAATTTCTCTCTCTTTAATGCTTATTCTATGTTTGGTGAAACATCATTATCTTACTTTCAGTTCTTTAGACTGTTTCTTTTAGTTCTTGGAACATATTTGGAGTAGCTGATTTAAAATTTTGTCTGGCTGGGCATGGTTAAATTTTCTATCTATTAGTTAGTCCTGAGGCTACACAAAATAAGATTCTTTTAGGGCAATCAGAGAAGCTCTCTGGTCTTATGAGCACGTCTTGAGTTGAAAGTTTAGAGACCTGAGCTTGTTATCTTCTTTCCATAGGTGCTCTTGTGTACTTGGATGCAACCATTCCAAGTCCTTGTAGTCATCATTACTGCAGTAATGGCCAAATGCAGCAGCCACTTGATCCCCCAAAGCACTTACTTCATTAAGTGTGTCATTGATAATTTGATTAATTATACGGTATTCCACACCATGAATTCCTAGCATTCCACTTCCCACTGGCAAAAAACTCAGCAGTGCATTTAAATTCAAACCAAACTACAAATACCCTCTTTGAGAGTCTTTTTTATAGGACCAGTCCTGGTACCAATTCTTCCTAGTCAGGAGACAGGAGAAACCTACTTATAACAAGGAGATCTAATAGAAAGTATTTAAAAACACGTACTGGAGAACTAGAAGGGCAAAGAGGGGATACTGACATATTACACAGGTAGTAACTGGAAGATGCAGTGACCATCTCTATGGCTGGTGGTGAAAAAGGGAAAGCATTAGGATTATTCAAATTTTAAGCTTGGAGAGAGTCTAAAGATGTGGAATTTAATTTAGGGAGGAGCCCTTTCTTGGCTGATACTGGAGCCTTGAACTCAGAATGAACCTCAGAGAGCTGGGAATAGACTTTTTGTTTTTTTTGAGACGGAATCTCGCTCTGTCACCAGGCTGGAGTGCAGTGGTGCGATCTCTGCTCGCTGCAACCTCCGCCTCCCAGGTTTAAGCAATTCTCCTGCCTCAGCCTCTCGAGTAGCTGGGATTACAGGCGCCCGCCAACATGCCTGGCTAATTTTTGTATTTTTGGTAGAGACGGGGTTTCGCCATGTTGGCCAGGCTGGTCTCGATCTCTTGACCTCATGATTCGCCTGCCTTGGTCTCCCAAAGTGCTGGGATTACAGGCGTGAGCCACCGTGCCCGGCCAGGAATAGATTTTTCAGAGGGAAATTCTGGCTGGCTGGTGCTGGTATTTGAGTGACAATGAGATTGACTGTGGTAGTGTGGACAAACTGCAAACTGGAACCAAGTGCCACTGCCAGGGTGAAGAACCATTGCTGTAGTGACACTGACAGGAAAAAGAAGCAAAAAGGAGCAAGCCCTTCTTCCTCTTTCATCATTCTAGTCTTCCTCTAGAATCACCTGTAGGAAGTCTAATTGGGAACCAGATGGCATAAGAAATCCAGTCTGCAGAGTTCCAGCCCCAGCATCGCAGAAGACAAAATGGTGTGTTTGAAGCTGAGAGATAATAGCTTAATAATCGATGGCTTAATAATACTTGCTTTTATTCCCTCTATGATGATGTATTCAGGTTTTCTCCTTCTTAAGTCTATTTTGACTGTTTGTTTTGCTATTTTCCTCCATATTTCTAAATGACCATTCAGGATTGAACCCAGCAATCAGTAAAAATAAACAGGTTTTTTTGTTACCTGAAAAAAGTCTAGGGATGTAGGTTGTCCAGGGATGGAATGCCGAACTTTAATGTCAGGAACTCAGGCTCTATTTTGTTGCACTGCAATTCTCAGCAAATGATTCTTCATCATGTCTACTTCCCAGCTAGCAGGAAGAGGGAAGGGAAAAGACATGACCTCTCTTTTTTTTTTTTTCTGAGACAGAGTCTTGCTCTGTCTCCAGCCTGGAGCGCAGTGGCATGATCTCAGCTCACTGCAACCTCCAACTCCCTGGTTCAAGTGATTCTCCTGTGTCAGCCTCTCAAGTAGCTGGGATTACAGGCACGTGCCACCATGCTCAGCTAATTTTTGTATTTTTAGTAGAGACGGGTTTTCACCATGTTGGCCAGGATGGTCACTATCTCCTGACCTCGTGATCCACCAGCCTTGGCCTCCCAAAGTGCTGAGATTACAGGCGTGAGCCACCACGCCCAGTCTACGTGACCTCTCCTTTTAAGGGCACTAGACGTGGCCCATCCCAATCTTTTTTTTTTTTTTTTTTTGAGACAGAGTCTTGCTCTGTCACCCAGGCTGGAGTGCAATGGCACGATCTTGGCTCACTGCAACCTCTGCCTCCCAGGTTCAAGCGATTCTCCTGCCTCAGCCTCCCAAGTAGCTGGGATTACAGGTGCCAGCCACCATGCCCGGCTAATTTTTGTACTTTTAGTTTCGCCATGTTGGCCAGGCTGGTCTCAAACTTCTGACCTTAGGTGATCCACCTGCCTCAGCCTCCCAAAGTGCTGGGCATGGGCCACCATGCCCAGCCTTTTTTTTAAGAGACAAGGTCTTTCTCTGTCACGGAGTTCGGTAGTGTGATCATAGCTCACTGCAGCCTTGAATTCCTGGGCTCAAGCAATCCTCCCTCCTCAGCCTCCCAAGTAGCTCACTTGATTACTTTTTTTGTAGAGATGGGGGTCTCCGTTGCCCAGGCTGGTCTTGAACTCCTGGCTTCAGGCAATTCTTGTCTTGGCCTCCGAAAGTGCTGGGGTTGCACGTGTGAGACACTGTGCCTGGCTTTATTTTAATTTTTATTATTAATTAATTTATTTTTTGAGACGGAGTTTTGCTTTTGTTGCCCAGGCTGGAGTGCAATGGCGCGATCTCGGCTCACCGCAACCTCCGCCTCCCGGGTTCAAGCGATTCTCCTGCCTCAGCCTCCTGAGTAGCTGAGATTACAGGCGTGTGCCACCACGCCCGGCTAATTTTGTATTTTTAGTAGAGACGGGGTTTCTCCGTATTAGTCAGGCTGGTCTCGAACTCCCGACCTCAGGTGATCCGCCTGCCTCGGCCTCCCAAAGTGCTGGGATTACAGGTGTGAGCCATCGTGCCCGGCCATTATTTTTATATTTTTTAAATTAAATTTTTTTATTATACTTTAAGTTCTAGGGTTTGCACAACGTGCGGGTTTGTTACATCATATGTATACATGTGCCATGTTGGTGTGCTGCACCCATTAACTTGCCATTTACATTGGGTATATCTCCTAATGCTTTCCCTCCCCACTCCCCCCAACCCACGACAGGCCCCGGTGTGTGATATTCCCCTTCCTGTGTCCAAGTGTTCTCATAAAAATATGGAACGCTTCACGAATTTGCGTGTCATCCTTGCACAGGGGCCATGATAATCTTCTCTGTATCGTTCCAATTTTTAGTATATGTGCTGCCGAAGTGAGCACTATTTTTTTTTTTTTTTTGAGACACAGTCTCGCTGTCACCCAGGCTGGAGTGCACTGGCGCGATCTCGGCTCACTGCAAGCTCCGCCTCCCGGGTTCACGCCATTCTCCTGCCTCACCCTCCCGAGTAGTTGGGACTACAGGCGCCCGCCACCACACCTGGCTAATTTTTTTTTTTTTTTGTATTTTTAGTGGAGATGGGGTTTCACCATGTTAGCCAGGATGGTCTCGATCTCCTGACCTAGTGATCTGCCCGCCTCTGCCTCCCAAAGTGTTGGGATTACAGGCGTGAGCCACTGCGCCTGGCTTTTATTTTTAATACGGCACTTTTTTACTCTGTCTGGTATCCCCCAGTCCATTATCACCCTCTCCTCCCCTTTTTCCAACTTTTGCAGATGGTGAAACTTCTGTTTTCTGCTGAATTTGTGCAGGGGCACTCACCTGCCAGCATAGGGGGAAGGGATGGCCTAAGACATTCAATAAACTTGTTTTCAGCTCCACCATACTCACACCCACTCTCAGAAGAAATTAGCATCCCTGACTCCCAAGACCTTGCGGAGTTTGGCAGTTCCAATCAACTTCCTGGGTTGTTGTTAGCAACCTGCGACACCACAAGGGCTTAGCAGAACAGAGAAAGCTAAAACCAAGCTGGTTGTTGGTCATATCTGCTTGCCTTCTTCCAACAGTTGGATATTTTTCATTTGCCATTAACTCTCCTCTCTTGTTCTTAGAAGTTGATAATATTTATACTGTTACTACAAAGGATTTTGTGAGATTCACTGAATACTTGACCAGTCACACAAAGCATGATTATCATTCACTACTGGGCTATAAGGATTTCAGCTACTATCTTGCTTCTCCTTTTTTATAGTTGCTAAAGCAGGCATCATAATGATGGCTGCTGGCACTTAAATTACCTTCCACCAGTTCCTATCAAACATAAAAACCTGTATTTATGGCTGGGCGCGGTGGCTCACGCCTGTAATCCCAGCCCTTTGGGAGGCCGAGGCGGGTGGATCACCTGAGGTCGGGAGTTCGAGACTAGCCTGACCAACATGGAGAAACCCCATCTCTACTAAAAATACAAACAAAATTAGCCGAGTGTGGTGGCACATGCCTGTAATCCCAGCTACTTTAAGTAGAACTTCTCAACTGCCCCATGTAGTTGAGACTGTCATTTTATCACTGGGTAAAATGATACCATTTTTTTCCCCCAGAGATGGGGTCTCACTATGTTGCCCAGGCTGGAGGGCAGTGGCTATTCTCACATATGATCATAGCTCACTATATCCTCGAACTCCTGGACTCAAGCAATTCTTTATCTCAGCCTCCCCAGTAGCTGAGATTACAGGTGTGTGCCACTGTGCCCAGCAATGATATCATTTAATCAAAATTAGATTGCCATTCTCATTTTACAGGTTCAGGAAACAAGATTCAGAGGCTAAATTATTTGCCCAGTCACACAGCTAACAGATGGAGACAGATCTTTCTCCATTAGACTGTAGGTATGCACTGTTTTGTTCAGATATTAGGCATTTGCAAACCATATTTTATCAGCAAGTGCAATTTGTCTTTCACGGTATCCTAATAATTTACAGATTATATTCTTGAGACTGGACTCTCCAATTTGCCAGTCCCTCCCACATCCTTTCGTTTTGCATTCAGCCTACTCTTCCTTTCCTATCTCCTCCTATGGGCTTGAATCTTGGGGTCCAGTGCTGTTCATTACCATAGTCTTAAAGCTCAGCAGAGGGCCTGACAGTGTATGTTTCACATTTGCTGACTGCCAGCTTCTCATCCTGTCTTGGTCACATCAAGCAATACTAACCACAGGGCACAAATAGCTTTCATCTAATCTTGTCTAAGAAAAGTTGCTTCCTAATACTTGGAATTCACATAACAGTTTTCATTCTACAAGCAAACATCCCTCCTAGTTGTCTTTTTAATAACAGTATTAAGCGTGACACCTACAGTCCCAGCCACTGAGGTGCGAAGATTGCTTGAGCCCAGGAGTTTGAGGCTGCACTCAGCTATGATCATGTCAGTCTGGGTGACAGGACAAGACCACCTCAAAAAACAAAACACAAATGGTATTAACTGATGGGCTTTATAATCTTTTTCCTATCTTCACTATTCCCTGGATACTAATCCAGTCAGTAACCAGCTTGTTCAATTACCTGCAGGTTTGGATGTGACAAGCTCTGCCAACTACACAGCACATAGTGACGAAGAGGAAAAGGCAGATGAAGCTGAATAGTTCATGAAAGACCACCTAGGCAAAGACAAAGATTTTAAACTGGTAAACTACATCCAAAGACCACTCTTGCTGTTAAAAGATGAGATACACAAAAGTGGATGCAAAAATCACTTAGTAACTAGGTAAGATGCTGGTGGCCTGAACTGCGGTGGCATTTGAGATTACTTTGGAGTTAAAGTGGACAGGACTTGAAGCATTCTGGAGTAGATCACATTCATCTCTTTTGAATTAAACACTGGCATTTTTGGAACATGTACCAACAGTTTGAAGTACATGAGCCATACAAATGCAAAAATGAGACTGGAGAAAAAAATATCTGGAAGCACAGGCCCTTACATCATATTTAAAACACTGAGCAAAATGGGAAAGGTCAAGGACTGAGGCCTTAGTGTACAACCAACTGAACAGTCATTGCTTTTCTCTACATTAACAAGGAGTCTCATGAAATTTTATTCCATTTCAAGGGTACAGACAAGAAGCAAGTTTCACAGTTAAACACAGAAATAACGCAGCAATAGAATTACTGGCTTGGATGGCTGTATTTGAGGTTTTTTAGAGTGCCAAGAGCTAAATGAGTTACCAGCTATCCAGTTTTCTCCATTCTGTGTGCCGTCCTGGGCGCCATTGCTCCTAACTAGAATGGAAATGAGGTGTATTTACAGAGAAAATATTTTGTTCTTCAAATGCCAGAGACTGTTGAGTATCTTTTTGAAGTCATAGAGGCTTCAGTCTATAAATGAATCACTTATTTCCAACAGGTTTATCTCTAACTTTTAAGCATAGCCTTCAGGATTTCAGATTAAAAAAAAAAAAGCTGTAAACTATTTTTGTCCTTAAGAATATTAGCATGAACTAGCTCCTAGCTTGTTTTGCCAAGGTATTTTTAAATGGTTACACTGACTGGAAACAGAACAGCTCAATTATATTTGATTAACGTTGTAGCACCCCAAATGCACTACACAACCACCAACATTCTAATCATACCACAGTTTAACAAGCTATCAGTCCTTCTGGATAAGATGACAAAGCAAGGGATTCTGCAGATTTTAACCACTGTCCCCACTAGAGCACTATAGTAGTTGCCACAAGCAGTTAAGCCTTTAACAACTGAGGTTCTGATTCAAGGTTACTAAAATGACAGTGATTGAGTACATTTAAAAATACCTTAGCCGGGCTTGGTTGGTGGGCGCCTGTAATCCCAGCTAGGAGGCTGAGACAGGAGAATGGTGTGAACCCCCAAGGCGGAGCTTGCAGTGAGCCGAGATTGTGCCACTGCACTCCCGCCTGGGCGACAGAGCGAGACTCTGTCTCAAAAAAAAAAAAAAAAAAAAAAAAAAAAAAAAAAATATCTATCTATCTATCTATCTATCTATCTATCTATATCTTCATCCCATCAACTCATTAAGAACTGAGACTATACTCCTAGCATAAAGATGAAAGGATGATAAGTACACTGGAAAATAAAAATAATTAGATTTGAAATGACTGTTAATTGCCTCTAGTTAAGCTGGGAGAAAAAAGTGAAGAGAAAGGAGTCAGAAAGCCTTTCTGATCCAGTTTCATATAATTATGTCTAAGATTGTTCAGATATTAATCCACTTAAGAGTTTTTGGACAAAAGCCAATTATAAACTCATTACTCCAAAGACAAAGGTACTTGTCACATCATCCAGATTCCACTTAAATCAAGTCCACTGAAAACCTTTTTATTCCTGGTATTTTAACCTGTAGGCCTTAGTAGGCTGGGGAATAGAAAAACTTCGTATTGATACTAGAGGACTAATACTGAGCATGAAAAATCATAGCAAGGCAATTTACCAGAATTTGCAAATACTTATCAACCTATTTTATATGGCACCTGTAGACAGCATCTGAGGAATATTTGTACAAAGGTAATTTGGTAATTTAAGTAACACTGTACACTAAAACTTTGGCATCTACATTACATTTAAAGCCAACCAATAGTTGTCAGTTCCTGCAAGCAGCCTACTTCAGTATGAGAGCAGAGGTTTATCAGTGTTATGCCTACAACTTTAATTCATTCATCTAGAGGATTTTCACTGATTTTTATAGAAAGAACCCAAATGATTCTACTTAGTAATACATTTATAATCAAGAAAGAATCTGTTAAGACCTTGAAAGACAGCAGGAAATGCTTTGTCTGTTGCCTGTGGTGGGGTAAGGAACAAAGCACAACTGGTGAAAGATTGGCTGAAAATGAATTTCGTCTACTTTCTATTGACCCTGACAGAAAAAATACTACTTCACTGTATAAACATAAAGACATGCCTGCCAATGCAAAGGTCTATCACTAGGTCTTCTTCCCTTTTAAAAAATATTAGAGCATGCATTCTCAATGGGGGTCAATCACTACCAAGGATTTAAAAAAAAAAAATTGGTTGGGCATGGTGGCTCACGCCTGTAATCCCAGCACTTTGGGAGGCCAAGGCAGGCAGACCACGAGGTCAGGAGTTTGAGACCAGCCTGATCAACGTGGTGAAACCTCTACTAAAAATACAAAAATTAGCCAGGGGTGGTGGTGGCCGCCTGTAATCCCAGCTACTCAGGAGGCTGAAGCAAGAGAATCGCTTGAACCCAGGAGGCAGAGATTGCAGTGAGCTGAGATCATGCCATTGCACTCCAGCCCAGGTAACAGAGTGAGACTGTCTCCAAAACAAAAACAAAAACATTTTACTCTTTTCATGTACAAAGCACAGAAACAGTACATACACAGCGTATCTATGGTAATAAAATTTATGGGGGACTCTATTAGAAAAAAGTCTAGCTGGGCGCGGTGGCTCAAGCCCATAATCCCAGCACTTTGGGAGGCTGAGGCGGGTGGATCACAAGGTCAGGAGATTGAGACCATCCTCGCTAATCCGGTGAAACCTCGTCTCTACTAAAAATACAAAAAAATTAGTCGGGCATGGTGGCGGGCGCCTGTAGTCCCAGCTACTCGGGAGGCTGAGGCAGGAGAATGGCGTGAACCCGGGAGGCGGAACTTGCAGTGAGCCAAGATCGCGCCACTGCACTCCAGCCTGGTGACAGAGCGAGACTCCGTCTCAAAAAAAAAAAAAAAAAAGCCTAAAAAGGCTGGGGGTATGATAATGGAAAAAAGCTTTTGAAAAACTGAATTAGAAGTCCAACCTCTTGGTCACATGCATTTCCCCTAACTAAAATATGCTATTTCAAAATATCCTGTAGCATTTTTGGTATATGGAGGTTTTTTTTTTTAAATAAGAATGGAATAAACATCTATATATAGAATGAAATAACATCTATAACTCACAGAGTAAGGCTAAGAAACTTACAACCAGCTCTAAAAACTCATTTAGTTTCTAAGGAGACAGCCTTAGAAACTGACAGTTAGAAAAAACATTTATCCAATCATAATTAAAAGTACAATTTAACATCTATATTAAGAATTACATACTTGAGGCCATAGGCTGGCACTGGCACCTGAATTCTAAAATTACCACTTAAGATTCAGAATGGAATCTTTTTATATGGAATGGAATCTGCAATCTTTTTATAAAGCATTCCCTTTCTTTACACTATTACTGTCACAAGTGATATCCACTTACTATAATGTTCTACTAAGTAAACACTACAGTGTCATTATGAAGAAACAAACTACGATCAAAGATAATAATGTAGTTCTGGAAGATGACACACTTTTTCACTATACACAGTATAAAATGGCACACTTTGTATGGAAGAAACATGCAATGAATTGGTTGTAGAAATATTAATGTAGTTTTAGCTACACCAGAATTCTGTGTAGGTGGTTTACAGTTTGGGAGTCTAATTATTACTTAATGGTATACAGATACAGTAAAGACATCTGAACACACAACATACAATACCACTAGGTATTAACATGGAATTTAAAAAAAAAAAGACTGATGTATAAAGCCTAAGTGTAAGTATGGACTTTATTTTTTTAAAAAAAAGTCTTTTGAGAACTACAAATTACAAAGTAAAAGCAGATCACTACGTAGAAATCTAGTGAATACATTTTGCCTGTGCATGAAAAACTTTATCAAAGTTACTCATTTTAACAAATTCACCCCATTCACAACAATCAGTTATAATGTTCTTTTTAAGGTTACTATACCTTTATTTCAAATTATATTACATGTTATTCCCTCAAAATGAACTTTTAAATGACAAACTTTTGGCTCATAAGAATGGCACCTTCAAAAGGGGCGATTTCCACTCAGTCTCTGGTGGCATTATTCCAGGCTAGTTTCACCAGTTAAAAACCTTCAAAATGTTCACTTTTAACACAAAGTCTTCCCATAAAAAATGTGGCTACATTTTCCCCCCAATGACTACATACATAGATGGGTAGCAGCAAGAAAAGATGAAAATGAAAAGGCAGCCATTAAAATAAATGGATCAATTGTATACCAAGAAGTATTTGGCTCATGGCAATTAAAAAACGGCAACTAGGGTATGTTAATAGCCAGAGGCTTGAGTCATTACTGAGTATATTAAGAGAACGAAGCCAGTCCAGTATGACCGAGTAGGAATATATAATTGTCATTGCACTTCATTTGTTATAGCAAATACTCTAAGCCAATAGGAAATCTAAGCTATATCTAGATTCCCAATTAGAACATGCTGACCTTTAACATTTTCAACAATTTTTACTGGGTTTAGTACATCAGTCATTTTCTTTACTCAAACTCCATTACGAGTTCTTTCCTATCAATCTAAGTGTATTCTGTGCATAAAATACCTTAAATGTTAAGACTTTTCTAAGGTTCATTTGAAAATGGTTGTATGAAAAGAATACCC